>NC_000006.12:20363030-20666060 GCF_000001405.40 Homo sapiens
CACAGGGGGCAATTTTGTGATACGCCAAAAAGCTCAGCGTTATTCATTCTAGGTGATCTAAAACAAAATATGAATTTTGATTAAATAGTTTAAAAATTATCTTAGATAATTGAATCTTAAAGCACTATTGGAAGTAATTCACATCAGGAAACTATTGTGAAAATAATATCAATCAATAATAATATGTCACTTTGGCACCAGTTTATTTCAGATGTTGCCTACTGAATATATTGACTGGTGAAATGTTTGAGGTCCTTTTCAAAAAGTAGTAGATTATATAGATTATAAGAAAACGACATCTGCAGCTGCTATATGATGTGTCTAAGGCATTATCATCTGTTGAATTTGTTGACGGATCCTAAGAGAACTTAGCCTTGGGGAGGAGAACAATGGAATAGGTCATCAGAGGGCAACTGAGACAAGGACAAGTTGTGTATCCACTGGAAGTAAGGTATACAGCCGTCTGTCAGGTGGGGGCTGGGACGAAAACCATAGCAGCTTGTTGAGCGCTGTGGAAGCTACAGATTTTGGGCAAACAGGTTCCAGTGATGAACTTTTTTTTTTTTTTTTGAGATGGAGTTTCACTCTTGTTGCCCAGGCTGGAGTGCAATGGCGAGATCTTGGCTCACTGCAAACTCTGCCTCCCGGGTTCAAGCGATTCTCCTGCCTCAGCCACCCGAGTAGCTGAGATTACAGGTGCCCGCCACCACACCCAGCTAATGTTTGTACTTTTAGTAGCGATGGGGTTTCACCATGTTGGCCAAGCTGGTCTTGAACTCCTGACCTCAGGTGATCCACCCACCTCGGCCTCCCAAACTGCTGGGATGTGAGCCACCGTGCCCGGCCCCAGTGATGACCTTTGATGAAACTAGGCACAAATGCTTATTTAGAACCAACCTCATCAACCCACTGGTAAATACACACCAGGCATGAGAAGAGAAAAATGAGAGAGATGGTGGGACCCCAAGGATGACAGTTTGCAACTCTCGGAAAGGAAAAACATGAACATGTTCCTATGTGTTAAAAAAAATCGAACTCCATTTTAATGGCTTTGCAACATCTTAGAGATTTGCTGACATTTATTCATTTTCTTATTGTTAGTCATTAAGTTTATTTCTAATATTTCATTATTATAGATTATATTGAAATATATGCATAAAACTTTGTCTACATTTCAAATAATTTCATTGAGGTCAATCCCTAGAAGTGAAATCATCGGGTCAAAAGACACAAACATTGTAGCAGTTTTGAAACATGACCCTAAAATTCTTTGCCACTCCTCTCATGGAGAACCAGGGTCTATTTTCCCTCCCTTTGAATCTGGGTAGACTTATGACAACATCAACCAAGAGAGTACTCTGCCATTCAGTGTGATGGCTGGAGGACTCATGCTTGGAGCCCTGAGCCACCATGTGAAAAATCGGGCTACCCTAAGGCCACCATGCTGTGAGGAGCCAAGCCACTTGAAGGCCACATGAATCATTCCACATACCTAGTTTTTGTATCACACCAGTCCAGGTGCCAAACTTGTGAGTGAACAAACCTTCAGTGGGTTCTAGGTACAGCTTCTGAGTCACCCCAAGCCTTCAAGTCCCCAGCCAAGGTACTACACATTACAGAGACAAACCATCCCCACTGTAGGCTATCCAAATCTGATCCACAGAATCTGCGAACACAATAAAATGGTTGTTTAAAGCCAAGGTTTCCGGGTAATTTTTTACACAGCTGTAGTAACTGGAACAAACATTTTTAGGGTTCTTGATATATGCTGTCAAATTGTTGTCTAAGCAGCTCATAGCAATTTGGCCTCCCACCTAGGATATATGAGTGTTCCCATCTCACTGCTCTTGATCCACACTGACAGATTTTAGAGTTTATCTCTTTTTTTCTTTTTACAGTTTTATTATAGAAAATAAATATTCACAAAAATTAGACAATAATATATTGAACACCCATGTACCTATCACCCAGTTTCAATAATTCCTGCTTATTTCATCTCTTCTGCTTCTTGTCCTGATTTCTACTTCCTATCAGCAGAGCAGTTATATGTCTTTTCTTCTCCTCCCCTTCTTCCTCCTCCTTCTTCTTCTTCTTCCTTCTTCTTTGAGAGAGGGTCTCACTCTATTGCCCAGGCTGGAGTTCAGTAGCATGATCCTAACTCATTGCAACATTGAACTCCTGGGCTCAAGTGATCCTTCAGCCTCACCCTTCCAAAGCGCTGGGATTACATGCGCCACCATACCCAGCAAAGCTGCTGTATTTCTAGATCACTCTTTTTAAGTAAAAGCACATTTGCTTCTCCTAGTCGGTGAAGACCAGGATTTTCCAGAAATAGCCAGATTAGACACTAAACAAATAAACAGCAATGGAAGAAGAAAGGAAGATAATAGCTACTATGTATTAAATAGGTACAATGAGCTAGGCACTACTCTAAACATATCATACAAAATAACTCATTTAAGTTTCATAGGGACCCTAAGAGGTGGGTAAAATTAATTCTCATCATCCCGTTTTACATATAAGGACATAGAGGTACAGGAAACAGCAATTTGTTAAAATTTGCACAGCTAGCTAGTATGTGGTGAAAACAGAAACTGAACTCAAGCAGTCAGGCTCCAAAGTCTATACTGATAAACACTGTACTACATCATTTTTTCTCCAGGGACACCTGATTCTGTGGCTGGCTACAGCAAATTAGTTAGTGTGGCACATTGATCCGATTCCCTGATCTACCATTACTTCGGTTATTGAGGAGATATTTGAAGGCTGGAGGTATAATATGTTGCCATTTGATTGGGTGGCTGGAGAAGTATGGCTGTTTATGTGCAGAGCCTCGTAAAGAAAAAGCCAGCCCAGGAAAGAATTATAGCTTAATAAGGTCAGGGTTTTTATTTCATAAGGAGTTGGGTCTCATCCATATTAAAAGAAAAAAAAATGTAACCTTTGGATTAATATGGAGGAATGGTGTTGCTTCATAGCTAATTCCTAAGGAAGTAACAGAAAAAGTAAAAAAAAAAAAACTCCTCAAAATCCACCAGCAGCAATCAGACGAGGAAAGGAGCACATGCTAATACCATAAGCCTCCAAAAAGGTGGTACAGGAAGAAAATAAGATTCTGGAGCTAAGCAGGACAGCATCTTGGCAGGGCTACCAATCCCAACTCTTTCACTCATGGGCCATAGAATCCCAAGCATTCTCATCAGTATTCTAAATCTGCAAAGAGCCCATCGGTATGCTTTATCCTTATCTTTTCTGTCTTCTGACTGCAGTGAATGAAAATGGCTGCTGGGGAGAAATTGGGTGAAACAGTCAACTGGAGTAACATGAATGAGAAGACTCCAGGGCTGTACTCTTAATTGGAGAAGGGAGCCAAAGCCTGTGGAAATGGGTACACCAGAGGGATGAACTGAGATAGAAATAAGCCCGGAGCTCAGGTTTTCTAATGAAGAAACATAGAAACATAGTCTCTGCTGAGCTCCCCCTGCCATGCCCAGAGGGTGCAAAAAAACAGGAAACACCCAGCCGCAAATTATAGCACTTTGGGGAAAACAAACTGGTCTCAGATAAGGTGGGAAGGCAGTCACGAAGTCACCCACACTCCATCAGAGCAAACAGGGGGTTTGACAGAGCTGCCCGAACTTGAGCAAGATGAAAAGAATCAGCCCTGGCAAGGAGGCAGTGGTGCCTGCGGGGATGGGGGTGGAGTGGGGGTGGAAGAGACACAGCCTCACAGAAGACAAACACACACTACAGCCGGCCTGAGAATTCAACTCAAGGAAAAGAAGTGGGGCTGGGTGCAGTGGCTCACACCTGTAATCCCAGCACTTTGGGAGATCCAGGCAGGAGGATTGCTTTAGCCCAGGAGTTCGAGACCAGCCTGGGCAACATAGTGAGTGAGACCTCATCTCTACAAAAAAAATAAAAAAATTATCCTGGTGTGGTAGCTAAATTTTTTCCCCTGAGTAGACCCAGCCACTCGGCAGGCTGAGGTGGGAGGATCGCTTGAGCCCAGCAGGTTGAAACTGCAGTGAGCCATGATTACGCCATTGCACTCCAGCCTGGGTGACAGAGCGAGATCCTGTCACAAAAAAAAAAAAAAATGGCAAAGAAGGAATCACCCTTACCAGAGTCTCAAGCACAAGGCAGAGCAACCAGGTGATGAGGGCTTTCAGAAGAGGCCTACTACAGAGAGGGGACATTGAGGAGAAGAGGAGGGAGGGTAGGAGAATATCCACAGGAGGCTTCCTCTTATCCCTTTGTATGATTCAAGGGAGTGAGCGAGTCAGCTCCCATTTTAGGACCGTTCCATAAACCCTTCAGAAGACAGCTATTTGAGCACCACAACATGTAGGGCAGTAAGCTCTTTTCATGAATGAACTCATCTAATCCTCACAGCAACCTTTAGATAGATATGATTATTGCTCCATTTTAGAGATAAGGAAACTTGCCCATGAGCACACAACTCTGGTCCCAGCAGGCTCTGGGTCCAGAGGCCTATCCATTATACTTCCTTGGCTCTCCTTTACTCAAAGAGAGGTCTAATCTTGCTCCAGAGGTGGAGGACCCCATGGCTTTACCAGGTAGGCAGAAAAACTAACCACAGACTGCCCAGCCTGGGAGAAGTTATGAGTTCTTTGATCCTCCTCCCCACTCCTAACCCCCGAGAGTTGCTGGGGAGAAAGGAGGACAGTGGCTCCATCCGGTTACACTCTCACAAACAAACCATATTTTCTATCTAAATAACCAGCTGAAATTAATCTGCTCTCTATTAAGTGTTAAGATCTTTCTCTTAGGTAAATGAAAATCCCTTCACCAACAGGTTTAGCTTCCCAGGCTGTAGACTACACCCATGCATAAAACACCCACACAGGCACACAGGGCTTGCAGCAGTGTTTTACACAGACATAATTATGACTCACAAATAAGCATGGCTGGAGCTAAAGAGCTCAACTAGAAATTACATAAGCATGGATGACATCCATTTTCTACTTGAGGAGTACTAACATGAAGCATTGTGGATTGGAGATTAAATTAACAGAAGGCAGAGTAGGCCATTTATTTGATGAATTCCTGCAAGTGGGGATCTGTCTTATAATCATGGGTCCACTGTGGGGGTGTAATAGTTCACCAATTAACAATAAACCCAATGATAAACCCAAAGGTTGCTTGCAGGAAGGCCCCTGGCCTGCAAATCAACGACTCTAAAAGTTTTTCTTTCTACACTTCATATCTGGTGTTCTAGAGTTGTTTATCTTTCCATGATCTCATTCCCACCTGTTTGCTGAAGAGAAGTGAGCTGATAAATTTTGATTGCTCCAAGAAAGTAGCCAAATTCTATCAAACTCAAGTTAAAAATAAGAAAGGAGGACACTGCTAGGACCCTCAGCTCAGAAGCATGGGGGAAACAGGAAGTGTCTACATCATGCAGGGTAGCAAAAGTGTTCCATCCAAAGGTTGTACGCTCCACTCTATTTAGCCCCGTCTGTCTTATTTGTTATTTAATTTGTTGTTTTTTTTTTTTTTTGAGACAGAGTCTCATTCTGTGGCCCCGGCTGGAGTGCAGTGGTGCAATCTCAGCTCACTATAACCTCCGGCCCCCAAGTTCAGGTGATTCTCCTGCTTCAGCCTCCCAAGTAGCTGGGATTACAGACGCGTGCCACCACGCCTTGCTAATTGTATTTTTTAGTAGAGATGGGTTTTCACTATGTTGGCCAGGCTGGTCTTAAACTCCTGGCCTCAAGTGATCTGCCCACCTTGGCCTCCCAAAGTGCTGGGATTACAGGCATGAGCCACTGCACCCGGCCACTCGTTAATCTTTTTCTAAAATTTTTGATGTATGAGTGTGTGGAAAACTTGTGAGAATAGGAGAGATAGAAGAAGTTGATTGTGGCCCTACCTCCAATGATCTATTTATTATTATTATTATTATTATTATTATTATTATTATTATTATTATTGCTTTCTGTATGGCATGTCCACATGTCGGCACATGTAAAGGTGTTAATTATGAAGACATAGAAGGTACAGGGTAGTAGTTACCTCAAATAAAGAACAATGACTGAGAGCTGTATTGGCACAGGTCACAGTCCCTTCCTGAGGGAGGTAGATCGATGCAGGAAATCATCACATATATTGGGAGACTCTGGGGGCCACCCCTGATTCAATCTTGGGTGTTTAGATTCCATTGAGAACGAGTCAGTAAGGACTACTACCATTTAGGGACATTGTGCATATAGGAGGGTTTGGAATGTGCACATGTTTAGACGACAGACAGCAGTGAAGGATCCAGGAAGGGGGACAGGAAAAGGAGAAGGATCAGGGGAAAACCATGGAAGCCAACAGAGTAGAGAGTTTCAAGAAGGACAAGGTGAGCTAAAAGTTCAAATATTCATCCTCTTGAGTCTTTTCGCTACTTTAAAAAAAAAAGTCCTTTCAGCCAGGCACATTGGCTCATGCCTGTAATCCCAGCACTTTGGGATGCCGACGCAGGTGGATCACCTGAGGTCAGGAGTTGGAGACCAGCCTGGCCAACACGGTGAAACCCCGTCTCTGCTATTAATACAAAAATTAGCTGGGCGTGGTGGTGCATGCCTGTAATCCCAGCTACTCGGGAGGCTGAGGCCGAAGAATCGCTTGAACCCGGGAGGCAGAGGTTGCAATGAGCTGAGATGGCACCATTGCACTCCAGCCTGGGTGACAAGAGCGAAACTCCATCTCAAAAAAAAAAGAAAAAGTCCTTTCTGGATCCTACACATCCCCCTCCTACTTTCTCCCCAGCTACTGTGCAATCAAGAGTCCTTTCTCACTCTCAACCCAGTCCCTGAGTGATTCAACCTATATTCATGGTATCATAGTTTCAACTATCTCCTGCCTACATGGTGAAGACTCTCAAACCTACTCCTCCTGCCTAGACCTCTCTCTCTCTCTCTCTCTCTCTCTCTGTGTGTGTGTGTGTGTGTGTGTGTGTGTGTGTGTGTGTAGTTTAGGCTCACTTTTTTCAACTACCTACTAAACAATTTCCCCTAAATACTCCACAGTCCCCCAAATATCCCACAGTCCCCTAAATACCCCACAATCCCTACGGAACTTTTCACTCTTCTTGTCTGGAACTCTCAGCTGGACACACCATTACCTAACAAGTACCCAAGCTGGAAACCTGTGAAACCTCTTTGATAACTCTTTCACATCCAATCCCTGAGACTTGATGCTTTGGGCTCTTGAACATTTCCAAGATCATCACCCCATTTCCAGCCAGAGTTCCAGCCTCATCATCCCCCACCACAGTAATCTCCTGTTATCGGTCTCCCCATCTCTATCCTGCCTCCCTTGAGCCCATCCTTCCCACATCCTCAGAGGCATCTGAATGTACAGTCCACCATTTCATTCTCCTGCCTATGTTTATTTCTATTAGATGTTGAGCTCCTTTAGGACTTGCTGGACACCTTCCATTTGCTGGGTCCAGATTCTCTCTCTACACATCTCTTTCCTGCTATGCTCCAGGAGGCTGATGTGTGAACAACACCAGTGGCTTTCTCCCTCACTGGTTCCAGGAGAGTGAGGTCAGGGTGTTATCCCCAGCTTCCTGCTCAATGACTATGCCCTTGATTTAAGACCAAGACCACACCTCGTCAGGAAGCATCACCACACAGCTTGCTGGTACTTCTCCTTCACCTCCCATGTTCCAGAAACTACTCCCCGGCTCCCAATTTCAGGTCTAGGAATGGTCATGGATTCCCACTATTACCAGCCTTAGGAGACTACACTATCCCATGTGGTTGCCTAAACTCTGTCTACATTCTCTTCAAGTTACCCAATATGAAGTGCCATCTGTTTTCTGCCAGAATCCTGACACGAGGACAGAGATGGCTCCTTATTTACCTCTGTGGCCTCATATCCAGCATAGCGCTTGGCATTCAGTAGGTGCTCCATAAAGGTTGAATAAATAAATGTGTCACCCTGCTACAGTTTGCCAAGTCATGCCCAAACATGTCTGAGATACCAGAAAGTAGTGGTAATTAATGAACTCAAGAGGAGCTAGAAGGACATGCTTCCAAAAGCAGAGGTCGGGAAAGATTAGAGGAAAGCCTATGTGGTGGCTCACACCTGTAATCCCAGCACTTTCGGAGGCTGAGGTGGGAGGATCACTTGGGCCCACAAGTTTGAGACCAACCTAGGCAACATGGCAAGACACCATCTCTACAAAAAGTATAAAAAATTAGCCTCGGCTGGGTGTGGTGGCTCACGCCTGTAATCCCAGCACTTTGAGAGGCAGAGGCGGGTGGATCACCTAAGCTCAGGAATTCGAGACCCGGACAGCCTGGGCAACATGGCAAAACCCTGTCCCTACTAAAAATACAAAAGATTAGCCAGGCATGGTGGCGCAGGCCTGTAATCCCAGCTACTCAGGAGGCTGAGGCATGAGAATCACTTGAACCCAGGAGGCAGAGGTTGCAGTGAGCCGAGATTGCGCCACTGCAGTCCAGACTGGGCAACAAAGTGAGACTCTGCCTCAAAAAAAAAAAAAAAAAAATTAGCCAGACATGGTGGTGCACACCTCTGGTCCCAGCTACTCGAGAGGAAGAGGTGGAAGGATTGCTTGAGCTTGGGAGTTTGAGGCTTTAGTGAACTACGATCATGCCACTTCACTCCAGCCGGGGTGACAGAGCAAGGCCCTATTTCAAAAACAGTGGGTGGGGGGAGGGATTAGAGGAAAGAGAGAATGGCCTGAATCTTCCTAGTAAATTAAGGAGAAAGGGACTTTGCCTTTGGAATGTGAAGAACAGTTGGAACAATTGATGTGAGAGATGAGATATGGAAGATATAGAAACAAGAACTGTCGATTAGCAGAGCAAGCTGAGTGGGTGTAAGCATTTGTTTGCATTTGCACTATTTATAGTGTGCCAAGGCAGCAATTCTCTGACTTGGATGCAAGAACCAAATTCAAATAAACGTTGATGAAGCACTCCCATGTGCCAGGCATTGTGTTAGGATCTGGAGACATGGTAGTGAATAAGACATAATTTTTATCCTCAAAAAGATCACAGCAGAGAGGGGAAGACAAACACATAAACAGATCATTGCAAGGCCATCTGGTAAGTACTAGAATAATGGTATGTGGAAAGTGCCAACAGACAGTCATTCAATCCAGCCCAGAGTAGAGGATAAGGAGGAAGTCCAGAAACACTTCCCAAGCTCTTAGAGGGATCCCAGAAGAGCCATCCAGATGAAGAACAACTTAAAGTTGGTGTTTCACAGTGGGCAGGTCTACATAGACCCACCTCAAAGTCCGAGGAAGCTGAGAGACCGAAGAAAGTGGCTGACAAGTCCAGTTTCTTAGGAAGTGAAATATTTAATAGGGATTTATGAACAGAAGCCATGTCTGTGTCTTGGGCGGTGGTGAGACAAGATGGTGGATCCCCACGACATTACCGTCAGTTCCAGGGCCTATATACTATGGGGAAGAGGTGGTTCAGAAGGGATGTATGGGACAATTGAAGTATGATAACATCAAGGTTGTTTGACCTAAGGGTGGGGTTTTCGGTAAGTACCTGCTCTTACACAAGGAACAATAGATCAGCTGGAAATTTTAGAGGCCTTCCCAGAACTGGGGTTAATCAGAAGCCAACATGGCGGATTCACATCCAAGATGGAGCTGATTCAGCCTCCACAACTGGGGCTAAGTATAGCGAGCAGGGAGATGGTCAAAGGGGTTGAAAGCACAGGATTCCTACATCCCATACCCAAGATCCAAACACTATAGCTTACTTTTAAAAGTCTGTTTTTCTAAATCGATGATTTTAATTACAAAAGATAACTTTAAACATGTCTATACATACTTCAAATAAACCAAAAGAGGTTTTCAGAGTAAAAATAGAATGTCTAGGCCAGGTGTGGTGGCTCACACCAGTAATCTCAACACTCTGAGAGGCTGAGGTGGGAGGATCGCACTAGGCCAGGAGTTCGAGGCTGCAGTGAGCTAGGATCCACTGCACCCCAGCCTGTGTGACATAGGGCGACACTGTAAAAAAAAAAAAAAGTCTGCTTTCACCTCACTGTCAATCCTCCTCCCCTTCTCAGAGGTAAACCCCACTAACTGCTAGGTAGGTTTCCCAGATTTTCTTCTATGTGTGGTGGAATACTATTTTGGTATCTTAATCACTGTGATTTTGTCTTCAATATTTTTTGGTTTTGTTATTCATGTTTTTTAAAAAATTATTGTTGTTTATGTTGAACTCTTTTCATCATACTCCCCACTACATACACACAAGGTGAAAGCAGGGCCATGAAGTGGGGTCATTGCAGGCATCAAGATGACTCATGGTCAAGGCTTTCAATTCCAAAGACCTGAGCTTTGGAAGAAATAAAAGTATTTTCAGTTCCCAAATCTTAGTATTATGTATCAACATCAAAGCCCTGTTATATCTGAGGCTAAAAGCTTGTAGCATGAACAGTAGTTTGGAAATAGAATGAGTGAAGACTCCAACATCCTTGTCTCAGAGACTAGATAAAGAATGGAGTGATAGACGGAACAGACCATGACAAAGGGGGCTATGTGGCTCAGGATGAGGGGCAGGACTGGAAGCAAGCAGAGCAACAGGAGAGGAGACCACACTTTCCTCCCCTGGAGCACCAGAGAGCCAGCAGCAGCCTAGGCAATGTCCACAGAGAGCCCAGCAGCCATTCGACCAAGTAGACCCAAGAAACACTTTAGCTTTTCTGGTTGCCCTGTGGTGAGGACTTCCTTTAAATAGCAGCTAGCTGGACAGCCATCAGATATCCAGCAGATATGATATCTGTTTATGCTTAGGTCATTTATAGGCCTCCAACATGGAAACGAAGCCAGGATACATGAAAAGGTAGTGGTGTAGGAAAGCAAGCCCCAGCATCCTCACTGGGTAGATTGGAGAAAGCCAGCTTGAGACCTCTCCACAGCCTGGACAGGAAAGCCCACAACTGACCCTACACTCATACACAGGTGCAGATAATTTTTTAACACCCATTGGATCATACTACATAGACTGTTCCATAATGTAATAGTTCTGACTTTCAGCACCTACAACAGAGAGGATGAAGTAACTACTCAATAAATATTTGTTGATGAAATGAATGGTAAATGGGTGACCTTTCCATGTCAGAAATACAGACTTCCACTATTCTTTTTGTTGGCTCCATGGTATTCTATCGTATGACACAATCTATTGAAGTATTTCCCTACTAATGGACATTACAGCAAGTGCATTTCTGTAGATTAGATACAAAGTTCAGGTATAGCCAAGTTATACAGACATTTTGATAGATACTGCCAAATTCCCCTCCAAAGTTCATGTGGCAATTCATGCTTTTAGCAAAGGTAAATGATAATTATAGCTAATGGACTGAGAGTTTATTGTACCCAAGATACCTTCCCAAATGTTTTGCATGGATTTGTTTATTCCTTAAAATAGATTTTAAGATAGGTATTTTGGTCTCCGTTTTACATATTTAGAAACAGAAGCTTGGAGAAGTCAAATAACTTCACCAAATCCATGGATTAGTTATTTGGAGTCTAGACCATGTCCTTAATCATATGCTTCTCTAAGAGAATGTATATATTACCCTAAACCTCCACCAACAATAGGGATTTATGCATTTTTTGGTCAATCTCTCGAGATAATGCAAATGAACATACTATATGAGCTCTAATGTGGATATAAAGGTTAAAATTATTAGAAAGTTGACTCCAACTGGCCACTTCTCTAATAGACCTAATCATTTATCTTTTGGTGGCTAAACAAATGGTTCTAATGTTTTTGCTGATGGTGTAAGATAATTACTCAGGGATCTGAGTTGCCAACAGTAAAATCACAGAATCTAGCTAGTTTCAACAGAAATAGATTTTATCATTTCTATCTAAGCTCATAGAGTTTCCAAGAGGAACAGAACCAAGTTTGGTGGCCACACAGCCAGCCACAGTGTCAACAGGAGAAATACCCAACCACACAGGAGCCTGTCTAAAACCAAGGAAACCTCTCAGCTATTGCCAAGACCACTGGACAGTGGACAGTTGTGCCACCATCACAGCTACCCTGAAAATTTTTCTTTTTTTGGGGGTGGGGGATGGAGTCTCGCTCTGTCGCCCAGGCTGGAGTGCAGTGGCGTGATCTCAGCTCACTGCAAGCTCCACCTCCTGGGTTCACACCATTCTCCTGCCTCAGCCTCCCGGAGTAGCTGGGACTACAGGCGCCCACCACTGCGCCCAGCTAATTTTTTTTTTTGTATTTTTAGTAGAGACGGGGTTTCACCGTGGTCTCGATCTCCTGACTTCGTGATCCACCTGCCTCGGCCTCCCAAAGTGCTGGGATTACAGGTGTAAGCCACCGCACCCAGCCGAAAAATTACATTATTAACTGCAGAATCCTACCTCCCCATGGGCTGCAACTTACGTTGTTCACTTCACCTTCCAAGTTTCTGGTGGAAGCTACTTGCAAAGGAGTCCAAGAATTGTTTTTAGCTTCTTAGCCTCTGAGATACACAGAAGGGTTTGGAGTGAGTTCTACGCAACCAGCAGATTCTGCTACAAATAAACATATACTTTTTCTCACTAAGAAGTCAATAAAATATTGACCTCTGTGAGTGCAAAAAAATGCAATCCATAAACATCTTTGTTTGTCCTGAATTGGCTAGCCTTCTTGCAATTTGTCCTAACGTGTAGGGCAAGACTGAGCTACAAGTGAGAATTGAGTGGTTTCAGCTGTAAGGAGAACAAAATCTAGAACTGAAAACCAGTAAAGATTTAATGTTCCCAAACCAAGATAGCTGATCACCTGTGAATAAAACTATAATAGGGGAGTATATCAATGTATTCATTATCCATCCAGCATTGACCTCCCTGCTCCTGAGAAGTGCATCCCCAACCACTTCCCTCTACATGATTACTATAGGATCTGCCTTACACGTTTATGCTCTTCATAATTCATGCATGATTACATGTCCCTGCCAAACGTGATCCCACTGATCTAGGAGTGGGCATCTGACCCAAGCTAAGCCAATGAGTGCCTTCTCTGGTAACTTTGAATTTGGGACTCTGTAGAAAGACCCATAAGATACAAAACTATAGACTGGTAGCACTGTTACTTGCCATTTGGGGGAAGTCAGTCTGCAGTCCAAGAGAAATAACACCAGCCCAGATGAGGGAAGCCCAGGTCAGAGACAGAGTGTTCCAGTAGTGTTTGAGCTCTGCTTCAAGTAGTCCCTGAGACACAGCTGCATTCAGCCTTCTCACAACTTACCCTACCTGATGGAGTCTAAGAAGCTATCCATTAAAAGATGCACCATTGGCTCGGCACCATGGCTCCTTCTGTAATTCCAGCACTTTGGGAGGCTGAGGTGAGAAGATCGCTTGAGCCCAGAAGTTCGAGACCAGCCTGGGCAACATAGCGAAACCCTGTCTCTACAAAAAATAAACAAAATTGCCAAGTGTGGTGGTGCATGCCAGTAGTCCCAGATAATTGGAAGGCTGAAGTGGGAGGATTGCTTGAGCCTGGGAGGTTGAGGCTGCCATAAGTTGGGATCACAACACTGCACTCCAGCTTGGGTGACCCAGCAAGACCCAGAGAAAAAAAAAAAGCCTGTAATCCCAGCACTTTTTGGAGGCCAAGATGGGTGGATCACCTGAGGTCAGGAGTTCAAGACCAGCCTGGCCAACATGGTGAAAACCCATATCTACTAAAAATAAAAAAAATAGCTGGGTGTAGTGGCACACACCTGTAATCCCAGCTATGCAGGAGGCTGAGGCTTGAGAATCACTTGAACCTGGGAGGAAGAGGTTGCAGTGAGCCTGGATTGCGCCATTGCACTCCAGCCTGGGTGACAAGAGTGAAACTCTGTCTCAAAAAAAGAAAAAAGAAAAAAACGATGCAGTATTACATTATGTATGTGTTTTAAAATACACTTGCAATTAAACTATAGACTCATTCTATTTCTGATATTGAAAAGAAGTGTAATGCAAATTTTAAAATCAATGAAATAGTGTAGTTATTCAACTCCTCCTTGAGCCTAAGCAAATTCAAGTTGGCTTGCTGCGTTGTACAATCACAAGAATAGCTAATATATTATGGACTTACATATGTGAATATGGTGCAGAGAAAAGATCCAACCTGGGAATAGGATAATGTGAAAAAGACACAGCAGTAAGTACTTCTTAAGGGAAAAATTATTTCATGGAAGAATTATAAAGAGCGTAAATTATCCTGAAAGTAATTGTGACTGTCAGTGTCCTCATTTGCTCCAGTATTAACTCAGAAGCACTCTAGTGGCCCATCATGAGGTGAAGAAATAATGACAGTACGATAGTTTCAAGCAAGCCAATTAAGACATTTTCCTATAATTATCAAGCATAAACACAATTTTGAATATTGGTTAGTTTACATGAGCATCTTCTCAAAAGTAGGAAAGTCCTCAGAATTCTCCATCCCTAATATAATTAAATCGTGGCATAACAATTAGTGATGAAAGAGTGATTCAAGCTAAAGGAAGCTTTGAAATACGCCAAATACGCAAACTTTTCTTTGGTAACGAAACCATTTGGAAACTAAGATTTACTTTTGTCAGTGCAGGTAAAGGGCCGTATCTGAAAGGCTGCAGACAGTTCCGAGCTGTCAAAGATGGTGATGCCACCAAAAAGAATGTAGGTAGCAAAAGGAGAATTCATTTTTACAGGTACAACTGTCCTGCAGCCCACTTTTACTTTAAATTTGGCTTGTGGTCCTGCTTCTGCTGTAATGTGAGCTGTGAACTCACACAGCCTGCCAGATGGCAGTGGGAAGCCCATTAGTTATGCATCACACATCCTGATCAAAACTGAAAGAAATTATACTCAGATTGAGGAGAGATGCTCGACAGTGAGGCAATGATTAGAATTTTCTGTATTTCTACAGAAAATTTCACATAATCATTGTCCATAAATAAACTCATTCTTATGATCTACAGACCCAAATCTGGAATAAGTTCCAGAGGAAATCCTCTCATGGTTTGGGTCATAACATGCACATTCCTGTGGTATTCAGTAAAGAATGCCATAGAGCTGATGCCCTTGCAAGGTTATCTAGAAAAGTCTGAGAACCAGAGTGTAAGCTAATACATTAAATGTCGTGCCTTTCAGAGGAGGTGCGTTCTTTAATGGGTACTGGGAAGGAAATAGAGGAATTCAGTTACAAGGGAAGCTTATTAGAATCTTTTCAAGAGAACCAGCTTGCTGAAAATAAATGGGAAATGCAGTATATAAATACTGCTGATGAGGAAGATTCTAAGCAGTACTTTGAGAGGGGCTGAGGGGCCCAAAGTGTATAAAATAACATTAACTGATTGTAAAGTTTATAATCTTTCAGATAAAACATAAGATTGCATTTGTTGCTCAACAAAATCATGAGATGGTATTGTAATCATACATTACCAGCTTTCCACTCAATAGAAGACATTTATATAAGAGCTTGTTCTAATGTACTCTCCTGAGAGCAGAGCTTTATTTTTGTTGCTTAAGGAGAACCAAACATTGTAAATATGTCTATGGAAGCCAGTCCCAGCTTTGCTTCAAATCATCTTTTGGACAGGAAGCAAATGAATAAACATCCCTAGTTCTCAGTTTCCCCATCTATAAAATAAGAATGGAGGACCAAGCTTGGCAGCTCACGCCAGTAATCCCAGCACTTTGGGAGGTCAAGGTGGGCAGATCACTTGAGGCCAGGAGTTCGAGACCAGCCTGGCTAACATGGTGAAACCCCGTCTCTACTAAAAATACAAAAATTACCCAGGCTTGGGGGCACACACCCGTAATCCCAGCTATTTGGGAGGCTGAGGCAGGAGAATCGCTTGAACCCGGGAAGCGGAGCTTACAGTGAGCCGAGATGTGCCACAGCACTCCAGCCTGGGTGACACAGCGAGACTCCGTCTCAAAGAAAATAAATAAATAAAATAAAATAAAAATGGAAATGCCTGTCTTCCTCCACTCCCAGGGATGCTGTGAAGAAAAATGAACCTGAGAGAGACAATTCAAAGCAAAAAAGCTCTGTCTCAGACGAAGAGAAGGGGGGAAAAATCTCTTTCAGCCCTATCCCCAAATTTTCTGAGAAAGCTATATTAAGTCAACAGACATTCACAAGAACCTGTTATAACTCTAACAATCTTTATAATCCAAAATCAGCTCTGAGGGAAGCTTAGTGGACCACAAACATGCAACTGTGGTACCAAAGATAGAGAAAATAGTGCTGGGGTCTAAGGTGAAGGTTGCCCTCCAGTTGTGAGGGAGACATATGAACACCCCCTGCCCTCCTGGAGCATCCAGTCTTGTGCTCAGTGGAGCCCTGGAGCTGTGGTTTCCAAGCCCGTCTCTGTATCTGAATCACCTTTGAAGCTTCCTAAGGACATAAACCCCTGGGTGCCTCTCCCCAGATCCAGTGAATTGGAGTTTCTGGAATGGGGAGGGTGTGGTTGGGAGCAGTGATTGGATGAAGCCACTGGACTTCCCATTTGGGCTTGCATCTGTGTAGCTTTGCCTTTATTAATGTTTAGCAAGATTCTATTTAATCAGGGATTCCCTATCTAAAACAAAACTAAAACTAAAACCCTTTGATTTTGAAAAACCATAGGTCTAATGGGTTTCCTCATAAACTGTACATTATTTCTGGAGTTTCTTTTATTCATTTATTAATTCAACAACCATTTATTGTGTGCCCGCTTTGGCACTAGGCCTCAGCAGTGAAAAGGACAGAAAAAGACTCAGTTCTTACAAAGCTATCATCAAGAGAAATAGAACATCCAGGCCCCCAGCTTTTTTTTTTTTTTTAGGTTTTATTCTTTAATTAAACCAGATGTTCTTCCAGTAATTCCATGCATTCCTTCTTACTCCTATCCCCTTGCTGCTACCCTTTCATCCTACAGAAATCCGTTTCTATTTATTTGCAAACACAGATTCTAACACTTGCTCATCTGAAGTGTATTAGTCCTTGCATATTTCTGCCATTGGTTCTGACCACACAGTGCAGTAAAACAAGCGTGTCTGTGTAACATGTGCTCGTTCCCTTGCTTTGATTTCTTCTGTTTTATATTCAATATGACATGTAGGAAATGTGTATCTGAGCAGGATGTTTACACTTACATACCTCAGGCAGATATGATTTGATGAGTAACACAGACATAATCAATCAATTGACAAATATTTATGGAGACATTCCTGAAAATAGAAAACAATATCCTCATTCTCAGGAAGTGTATCAAACCTCTGGTGAGGAACAAATCCCTTCAGGAATCTGAGGAGAAGGAAGGTTTTCAAAGGTGACAGGCAAATTATCTCTTCTTGCAGTCCAAAGTCAAAATAATGACTGCCTCACAGGGAACAGCTTTCACATTAGGTTTTGTTTTTTTTTTCTGGTGCCATGCAAGAATGAGACTAGCGGGCCAGGTGCAGCAGCTCACGCCTGTAATCCCAGCACTTTGGGAGGCTGAGGCAGGAGGATCACCTGAAGTCAGGAGTTCGAGACCAGCCTGGCCAACATGAAGAAACCCCATCTCTACTGAAAAATACAAAAATAGCCAGGCATGGTGGCCACACCTGTAATTCCAGCTACTCGGGAGGCTGAGGCAGGGAGAATTGCTTGAACCTGGGAGGTGTAGGTTGCAGTGAGCTAAGATCATGCCACTGCACCTACAGCCTGGGTGACAGAGAGAAACTCTTCTCTCAAAAAAAAAAAAAAAAAAAAAAAGACTAGTGGATAGCTAGCTAGAGGGATAGATAAGATTTTCACTGTTCCTCATGGCTATCTCACCAGCTTTGGGTAGGACAAAATAAGATCAACTCTAGATAAAATTAACTAATAGGAAAGATGGCACTCTGAGTGTCTTTTTCTCTTTGCTCCTCCTGCTCCCCTCTGAGCTGTGCCTTCACATCCTTATCACTTCATAAGCATCCACTCCCACCTTTCTGCTCCTAGAACTCTATGTGCCCTGACTCCTTACTAGGGTGCTAGGATGCAGCTTGCTACTCACCCCTCACCACCATTCATTAACAGGATGGATCCAGCTGCTTCATGGTTAGAGAAAATAGTGCTAGGTGGGTAGCCCTTCCTTCTTCCATGCTCCAAAATGTTCCTCCTGAAGTTGGCTGGTCAGAGAAAGATGATGACCTTCCCAGATAGAGAAGGACCACTGTCCAAGTAAGAGGCCTACCAGTCTCTCCCACAACCCTCCAAGCTCTTTCTCTACCACCAAACTAAGCCTTTCCTCTAACAGCTCAACTGGGTCTTCTTGCTCACTGCCCAGGAAAGCCAGTGCACTGAAAACAGCAGGTTTTGCAGCAAAGAAAGAATTCAATGATCACAGGGCCAGCTAAGTGGAAGGACAGGATGTTCTCAAATCTGCCTAGCCTGAAAGGCTAGGATTTTTAAGGATAATTTGGTGGGCAAGGGGATGGGGAATGGGTGCTGCTGATTGGTTGGGGATGAAATCCATAGACATGTCCAAACCGTCTTCATGTGCTAAGTCAGTTTCTGGGTGGGGGTTGTAGGACTAGTTGAGTCGTGGGTCCAGGTGGAGTCAGTTGATCACCAGAATGCAAAAGTCTAAAAAATATCATTTTGACAATAGTGACAATTATCTATAGAAGCAGTTGGGGAAGTTAGAAATCCTCTGACCTCTGGCTACGTGACTCAAGCAGTACGTGATTATAGAAAAGCAAGTTAGGGAACAATGGCTGGTTATCATGTTAGCAGAATCCAGGCCCCTTCCATAATCCTAGCCTATGGCGTTTCATTAGTCTTACAAGGGTGGTTTTGGTCTGTCAGCAAGGACGGGGTTAATTTTGGGAAGAGAGTGTGCCCATCTTTTTTGTTTGTTTTGTTTTGAGATGGAGTCTCACTCTGTCGCCAGGCTGGAGTGCAGTGGCATAATCTCGGCTCACTGCAAGCTCCGCCTCCCAGGTTCATGCCATTCTCCTGCCTCAGCCTCCCAAGTAGCTGGGACTACAGGCACCTGCCACCATGCCCGGCTAATTTTTTTGTGTGTTTTTAGTAGAGACAGGGTTTCACCGTGTTAGCCAGGATGGTCTCGATCTCCTGACCTTGTGATCCACCCGCCTCGGCCTCCCAAAGTGCTGGAATTACAGGCGTGAGCCACCGTGCCTGGCCTCCCATCTTTGTTTTAAAGTTAACAAAGGCAGTCAGCTTTTGAGGTTAGAAGCAAGCTGGAACATTTTGGTTAGATTTCTCTCCCTGTTATAAGTGTTGTGAAGGTGGTTTCACTTCTATCCAGATTCTTTGACATTGCTGGTAAATTTAGCAGATTAGGTAAATTATTCCTTGCTAAGAGGCCGAGAAGAAAAGAGCCCTGGAGAATCTACACACTCACCTTCTACCTTTCTCAGGTGTCATCTGGGAATTATTCCAACCTCTAAAGACAAGGTCCTGACCTTTATTCTCTAGTCCAAATAAATGACTAAGGTAAGCAATTTTAGGCCAGATAGGAAGGGTGGGAGATATATTAGAACAGGAGGATCTTCACCTTATACTGCTACAAATAGGTCATCCTCAACACCGGACCAGTTCAGAAGAGAAAAATCAATGGCCTTCTTTGCAAGCCATCTTCTGCAAGAAGGGAAAAACATTAATATATACTTCAGGTTGCATTTATGTATGCTTTGTAAATTTTCTGCCATAGTTTTCATTGAAAAGGCTTTCCTACAACCATAATGTATAGGTATTTCTCTATACTTTTCTAATAAAATGACCTTAGAATTTAAGAAAATTTTATAATAAAGGGTTGGGAAAAGTAACTTTAGAGAGTAAATATTGACTATTTCCTATTAAACAAAGGATCCATTATTTTTCTGTGAACTTTTTTTTTTTTTTTTTTTTTGGAGACAGGGTCTCACTGTATCCCCCAGGCTAGAGTGCAGTGGCACAATCTCAGCTTGCTGCAACCTCCACCTCTCAGGTTCAAGCAATTCCCATGCCTCAGCCTCCCAAGTAGCTGGGATTACAGGCACCTGCCACTATGCCCGGCTAATTTTTTTGTGTTTTTAGTAGAGACGGGGTTTTGCCATAATGGCCAGGCTGGTCTTGAACTCCTGATCTCAGGGGATCTGCCTGCCTCAGCCTCCCAAAGTGCTGGGATTACAGGCACGAGCCACTGTGCCCAGCCTCTGTGAACTCTTAAACCATTAGGGAGTAACTGAAAGTTACAAATCAAAATATTCCTGGATTTTTATAGGAGTCTTTTGGGTTGTTTTAAGAAACTTAAGATATAAACAGAAAATGTTATTCTGAACAAAAGAATATGATTTTCCATGGATAAGTTGTTAGCAAAGACATTTACCTTTGTTGTGTAGGATTTACTAGAAAGGAATTTACCTGGTGTGTTAGCATCCTAAGGGTGCCATCACAAAGTACCTAAAACTGAGTGGTTCAAAACAACAGTTTTACCATCTCATGGTTCTGGAGGCTAGAGTCTGAACCAAGGTGTTGGCAGAACCATGCTTCCTCTGAAAGCTGTAGGGGAATCCTTCCTTGCCTCTAGCAGTCTTTGGCATTTCTTGGCTTGCAGCTGCATCATGCCAATGTCTGCCTTCCTTATTAAATGGTGATTTCTTTACATCTCTGTATCTTCATGTGGCTCTCTTCCTATAAAAACGCCAGTCATATTAAATTAGAGGCTGTCTTCTTATAAGGATGGCAGTCATATTGGATTAGGGGTCCACCTTATTCCAAAATGACCTCATTTAACTTAACTAATTGCATTTGCAATGACCCTATTTCCAAATAAGGTCACATTCTGAGGTACTAGGAGTTAGGACTCTAACATATCTTCAGTGGGGACGGGGCAAAATGCAACCCATAACATCTGGGATCTGTAGTTGTATTTGAGAATGACTTGAAAACTAGATCTTGCTCTCTGGAAAGGCTGGGTACTGATTCTAAACCAGTGTTCCATTTTCAGAGCTGTGTCATCTGTAGGCCACTGGACACCCATTTCGGTGGTATAAGCTGTGGAAGGAGCATTGAATCAAGAGTATGAGTTGAAAACTGGGCTGGGCACGATGGCTCTCGCCTGTAGTCCCAGCACTTTGGGAGGCCGAGGCAGGTGGATCTCGAGGTCAGGAGTTCGAGACCAGTCTGGCCAACATAGTGAAACCTTGTTTCTACTAAAAATACAAAAAAGTAGCCAGGTGTGGTGGTGTGCTCCTGTAATCCCAGCTACTCGGGAGGCTGAGGCAGGAGAATCGCATTAACCTGGGAGGTGGAGGTTGCAGTGAGCCAAGATCGCGCCATTGCACTCCAGCCCAGGCAACAGAGTGAGACTCCAACTCAAAAGAAGAAAGAAAGGAAGGAAGGAAGGAAGGAAAAGAAAGAGAGAAAGAGAAAGAAGGGAAGGAAAGAAGGAAGGAAGGGAGGAAGGAAACAGCTCTGTCATCTATAGTAGCTATGTGACTTTGGGCTAGGCATTTCATATCTGTAACCCTCTGTTTTAGGGTTAAGGTATCTATGCTTTACAGAAATAGAAACACTTACATGTTATGGAGGGTAAAAACACCTAGCCTCATTGCTTATTTTGAAAATTTTTTTTTAATTTCTTACAAACAATAATGTACTCATATATTACTTTTTTTTTTTTTTTTGAGGCATAGTTTCACTCTTGTTGCCCAGGCTGGAGTGCAATGGTGTGATCTCAGCTCACTGCAACCTCTGCCTCCCAGATTCAAGCAATTCTCCCCTCTCTGTCTCCCAAGTGGCTGGGATTATGGGCGTGCACCAGCATGCCTAGCTAATTTTTGTATTTTTAGTAGAGATGGGGTTTCACCATGTTGGCCAGGCTGGTTTCAAACTCCTGACCTCGGGTGATCCACCTGCCTTGGCCTCCTAAAGTACTGAGATTACAGGCATGAGCCACCGCGCCCAGCCTTATTACTTTTAAAATTAAAATATTTTCATGAATAAAGCATGAGGCTTTATCATCTGTAAAGCACTCACAAATTAAAATATCAATAGATTTAATAAATCAGATCGAATATCTTAAAAGTGTTACTATTCCTTTCAAAGTACCTACCATTCATCTTAGATTTTACTTGTGCAAATAAATGGCATTTGAGGCCCTTGTCCACAACACGTTCACAGATCCATAGTCTACCTCTTTCTTTTTCTTTCTCTAGCCCTTCACCTTTTTTGTTTGTTCTTCTTCTACTTTTCCTTCTGTTTTTCTGTTGTGTTTTTTTGAGACAGGACCTTGCTCTGTCACCCAGGCTGGAGTACAGTAGCGCAATCACAGCTCACTACAGCCTTGACCTCCCAGGCTCAAGTTATCCTCCTACCTCAGCCTCCCAAGTAGCTGGGACCACAGATGTGCACCACCATGCCTGGCTAATTTTTTTTGTTTTTTGTAGAGATGAGGGCTCACTATGTTGCCCAGGCTGGTCTCGAACTCCTGGGCTCAAGCGATCCTCCTTCCTCTGCCTCCCAAAGTGCTGGGATTACAGGCATGAGCCACCACACCCGGCCATGTTGTTTCTCTTAGGGCTTCTTTTCCACCCAAGACCATTCCTAAGAGCACACAGGATAAAAAGAGGTTGCTGACCACTATCACAGACTAGATAGCAGGCAGCCCACCCTCTAGTGCCCCATGTTACACTTATCCATGACATTTATTTGATTTCAAAGTAGCTGCAGTGGAGAGTTCTGTGCACCCTGATGGTCTTGCATCTCAGGCAACAGCCTGACATCTCTCCATGCTTCTGCCTGGAGTTTCCTTCAAAGCTGAGGAAGCCTACTCAGCTGTTGCACCAGCAACCCCAAGTTTTTGAGGAATTAATGACCCAAGTGTTAACTCTCAACTAACAAGGGATCATCAGTGTCACCAGATGAATGCCCCAGTTTCCCTTCTCCTGGAGGGACAATTCTGAGACATTCTACCCAGGGTGTCCCCAGCAGAAGTGAGCCCCAGTTGCCCTTAGTAGTCATTAACTCATTAACAGACCCTCTTTATGGACTTTTCCTCTTTCACGCTTACTATTACCTCACCCCTGCTTTCAGATGTCATCTCCCCAAAATTCCACCTGCACCCAAGTATTTACCTCAGCCTCTTGAACTCAACCTGTGACAACATCTAACAGACTTGAGCTCCATAAGCTTTTAGATATGAACCATTCTGTTTGAAATAATGGTAACCCAATATGTACTAGCTTAAGCAAAAAGGGGGCACTTATTGACTCACATAACTGAAAAGTACAGGATGTGGGGGCTCTAATTATCTTATTAACACTTAGATTCTCTTCCCTCTCTCATTCACATTTTCCCCTGTTGGCTTCATTCTCAGGCTTTCTACCTCCAAGTGGTAGCCCTAGATGATTTAGGCTCGTATCCTCCCAGCTTCAGAGACAGCAGAAAGAAAGAGTTCCTCTTTTCTATTAAATACAGAAAACAAATCTGTACTTGAGTTTCATTGGCTTGGTTTAGTCTGCATGCCTACCTTTGACATTAGGTTCTACCTCTATGCATGCACATATGTATGTATGTATGTATTTAGGTGCCATGAGAGAACAGGAATAGTAAATACTTGGAGGAATAAACCTTTCACTTTTCCTGGTGAATATCTCACCAGCTTTGGGCAGGATGAAACTCAGATCAACTCTAGGCAAAACCAAAATAAGGGGAAAGATGACCCTCTGAGTCTTCAATGATTAAAACCGAAAGACTAGAAGAGATTAGCCAGGCCTAGTCTCTTAGGCCTAGATCACATTCACACTTTTACAGAAGAGAAAGTGGGGATCAGTTTCAACTAAATCACATGGGCTAGAGATGGTCCCTAGCAGTGGAGAGCAGAGGATGTGCTCACAAAAGCAGCAGCCGCTTATGGACACACACACACACACACACACACACACGAGTATCACACACACACACACACGAGTATCACACACACACACGAGTATCACACACACACACACGAGTATCACACACACACACGAGTATCACACACACACACACGAGTATCACACACATATAAATCCACGTATGTCTATTTATCCAACAAACATTTACTAAGCCTGTCCTATGCACTAAGCACAAAAAGACAAATTGACTACAGAAAGGAAAATTTAGGCTGGGTGTGGTGGTTCACACCTGTAATCCCAGCACCTTGGGAGGCCGAGGCGGGCAGATCACTTGAGGCCAGGAGTTCGAGACCAGCCTGGGCAACATGGTGAAACCCTGTCTCTACTAAAAATACAAAAATTACACAGGCATGGTGGCGCTCACCTGTAATCCCAGATACTTGAGAGGCTAAGGCATGAGAATCACTCGAACCAGGGAGGCGGAGGTAGCAGTGAGCCAAGAATTGCACCACTGCACTCCAGCCTGGGTGACAGAGACTCCATCTCAAAAAAAAAAAAGAAAGAAAGAAAAGAAAAAAATGTACTCCCAAGATGTTCACAGTTAGTGAAAGAAAGAAAAATAGAAAACAGGAAGAAATCAATAGACGATCACTTTAATTCACACATTACGGAAAAGGAGATGACACATCTGTGTCAGGCTGGGTTTTCTGGCATAATTCACTGTGATGTCTCACCTAGATACATCAAGAGTTGGCAAACTCTTTCCGTAAAGGGTGAGAGTAGATAGCTTCAACTTTGTGGGTCAAACTGTCTCTGTTGCAAGTATTCAGCTCTATCCATGTAGCTTGAAAGCAGCCTCAGACAATAGGTAAACAAATATGTCTGGCTGTGTTCCAATAAAACTCTATTAATATTAATAGAAACCAAAATTAGAATTTCATTTAAGTTTTCACCTGTCGTGGCATATTCTTTTAATTTTTTTTCAACCATTCAAAAGCCCAAAAAGTATAAGTGCCATTCTTAGATTGCTGGCTATGCAAAAACAGACAGTGAGCCAGATTTGGCCCAGGGACCACAGTTTGTCCATCCTTGACCTAGGTTACTGCCAAAGTCCTGACCCCTCCAACACATTCTCCCTACTGTCGCTGAAGGAATCCTTCTTAGACCAAATCTTTTCCTTTTTCTTTTTTTGAGACAGAGTCTTGCTCTTGTCGCCAAGGCTGGAAGTGCAATGACACGATCTCTGCCTCCCGGGTTCAAGTGATTCTTCTGCCTCAGCTTCCCGAGTAGCTGGGATGACAGGTGCCTGCCACCATGCTCAGCTAATTTTTGTATTTTTAGTAGAGACGGGGTTTCACCATGTTGGCCAAGCTGGTCTCAAACTCCTGGCCTCGTGATCCGACTGCCTCAGCCTCCTAAAGTGCTGGGATTACAGGCGTGAGCCACCGTGCCCGGCCTCTTAGATGAAATCTTATCGTGTCACATACCTGTGTAAAATTTCATAATGATTTTTCAAAATGTCTTGATAATTGTTTACAAGGTTTTTTTAGGATGGCCTGCTGAACCGCTTTCATTTCCTCCACCAAGCCATGCATTCCATGTTCCCTGTTCTTATCCCATATTACCCAAATAATTCCTACTCTTTCTTCTACCATTACCTCCTCCAAGAAGCCTTCCTAGACTGTCCTCCAAGCTTGGGCTACGTATTCCTCTGCAGTGTCTTGATACCACTGTGTATTGCCTCACATCACAGTACTTATTATATGTTATAATATATAATTATATTATTATTATAAATCCATATTTGCTAGCCAGTATCTTCAAGTTTGATGAGGGCACCCTTAAGTCTATCTGCTTCTTACTTATATCCACACTTTCTAAATCAGGGTCTTGCACAAAGTAGATGCTCAATAAACATTTACTGAATAAGTAAATAATATGGGGTGGGGAGGAATGACCTGAGGAGGTGTCACAGAGGAAGCATTCCCTCAGCAGGGTCGTAAACAATGAGTAGTAACTTGCCTTTGACCCGTGGGGTGGCAGGCATTTTCAGGTAGAGTGACAGCTACATCAGACATGGAAGTAGGAGAGCACATTGGAAGAGCTCCAGGTAGTTTGGTATTGGTATGGCTGGAGTGAATGTTGCCTATTGGAAAATGAAGTGAAATGAGGCTAGAGAGATAACATGAGAAGTTGTAGGCTAATGTAAGGAACTGGGTTTTAATTTTTAAGGTAATGGGGAGCCTCAGAGAGATAAAATTGGTTGGATTTACATTTTAGAAAGTTTAGAAAGATCTCATTGCCCATGTTGATAGCCCAGCTCCAATTAAAGTATCTTAGACAAAGTAGACACGATCATTTTGGCAGTAGAGTTGACTGGAGTTTGATGCCAACTTCACATTAGGAGATAAATCTGGAGTCTGCAGTAACTGTTCATATAAGAAATAAGGGACACATGAATTAAGAAAGTGTTCATGGAAGCATATTGGAAGTATGTATTTGAAACTCAGAAAAAATGGTCGAACTGGAGATACAGAATTAGAAAAAGCCTCAGCTTATAGATGTATGCAGTTCAATGAAATAGCCCATGTGTGGCTATTTAAATTTGAATTTAAATTAATTAAAATTAAATAGGACTTTAAAGATCTGTTCATTGGTCACACTAGCTATATTTCATGTGCTCATTAGCCACATGTAGCTAGTAGCTACCATATTCAACAGTGCAGAATTACAGAACATTTACATCATTGTACAAAGTTCTGTTTGACAACACTACGTAAACGGTAGTTAAATTTGTAGCTAAGGTCAAGATTATTCAGGAAGTTCCTCAAAAATTTAAACATACAACTACGATATGACCTGGAAATTCCACTGCTAGGTATATTCCCAAAAGAATTGAAAGCAGGGACTTAGATACCTATACACCAATGTTCATAATGTCCACAATAGCCAAAAGGTAGAAACCACGCAAGAGTACATCAAGAGATGAATGGATAAAAACAATGTGGTGTGTGTGTATATATACATAGTGAAATATTATTCAGCCATCAAAAGGAATGGAATTTTGACATACAGGCATATGACAGAGATAATGCAAGTTCAGTTCCAGATCACACTAATATAGTTAATATCATGATAAAGTGAGTCATACACATTTTTTGGTTTCTCAGTGCATATGAGTTATGTTTACACTATACTGTAATTTATTAACTGTGCAACAGTATTGTCTAAAAAACAATGTACATACCTTACTTAAAAAATACTTCGTCACTACAAAATGCTAACGATCATCTGAGCCTTCAGTAAGTCGTAATCTTTTTGCTGGTGGAGGGTCTTGCCTCGATGTTGAAGACTGTTGACTGATAAGGGGTGGTGGTCACCGAAGCTTGGGGTGGCAGTGATCATTTTCAAAAATAAGACAACAATGAAATTTGCTGCATCAATTGACTCTTCCTTCCATGCAAGATTTCTCTGTATCATACAATGCTGTTTGATAGCACTTTACTTACACTAGAACTTCTTTCAAAATTTGAAGTCAAACCTCTGAAATCCTGCCACTGCTTTATCAACTAAGTTTATGCAACATTCTAAACTCTTTGTTGCCATTTCAACAATGTTTAAAGCAGGGGTGTCCAACCTTTTGGCTTCCCTGGGCCACATTGGAAGAAGAATTGTCTTGGGCTACACATAAAATACATTAACACTAATGATAGCTGATGAGCTTTAAAAAAAAATTGCAAAAAAATCTCATAATGTTTTAAGAAAGTTTACAAATTTGAGTTGGGCCGCATTCAAGCCGTCTTGGGCCACATGCCGCCCCTGGGCCATGGGCTGCGGGTTGGACAAGCTTGGTTCACAGCATCTTTACCAGGAGTACATTCTATCTCAAGAAACCACTTCCTTTGCTCATCCATAAGAAGGAACTCTTCATTCACTCAAGTTTGACCATGAGATTGCAGCAATTCAATCATATCTTTAGGCTTCACTTCATTTTTTGTTTTTTTGTTTTTTTTGTTGTTGTCGTTTCTTAAGAGACAGTATCTCACTCTATTTTTCAGGCTACAGTGCAGTAGTGTGGTGGTCATAGATCACTGCAGCTTCCATCTATTGGGCTCAAGTGATCTTTCTACCTTAGCCTCCTGAGTAGCTGGGACTAGAGGTACATGCCGCTATGCCTAGCTAACTTTTTAATTTTTTGTAGAGATGGCGTCTCCCTGTGTTGCCCGGGCTGGTCTCAATCTCTTTGTCTCGAGAGATTCTCCCTCCTCAGCCTCCCAAAGTGCTGAGATTGCTGGTGTGAGCAACCACACCCAGCCCTCCACTTCTAATTCTAGTTCTCTTGCTATTTTCACCACATCTGCAGTTACTTATGCCCACTAAAGTCTTGAACCCCTGAAAGTCATCCATGAAGGTTGGAATCAACTTCTTCCAAACTTCTATTTTTTTTTTCTTTTCTTTTTTTTTTTGGAGACAGAGTCTTGCTCTGTCGCCCAGGCTGGAGTGCAGTGGCGCCATCTCGGCTCACTGCAAGCTCTGCCTCCCAGGTTCACGCCATTCTCCTGCCTCAGCCTCCTGAGTAGCTGGACCACAGGCGCCCGCCACCACACCCGGCCAATTTTTTGAATTTTTAGTAGAGATGGGGTTTCACCCTGTTAGCCAGGATGATCTCAATCTCCTGACCTTGTGATCCGCCCGCCTCGGCCTCCCAAAGTGCTGGGATTACAGGCGTGAGCTGGGCGCCTGGCCCCAAACTTCTGTTAATATTGATATTTTGACTTCCTTCCATGTATCATGAATGTTCACAGTGACATCTAGAATGGTGAATTTTTTCCAGAAGATTTTCAATTTGCTTAAGCCAGATCCATCAGAGGAATCATTATTTATGGCAGCTATAATCTTACGAAGTGCATTTCTTAAATAATAAGACTGGAAATTCAAAATTACTCTTCGATCCATGGGCTGCAGAATGGATGTTGTTTCAGCAGGCATGAAAAACAGCATATTAATCTCCTTATACATTTTCATCAGAGTTCTTGCATGACCAGGTGCATTGTCAATAAGTAGTAATATCTTGAAAAAAAAATATTTCTTTCTAAGCAGAATTTCTCAACAGTGGACTTAAAAGATTCAGTAAACCATGCTGTAAACAGATGTGCTGTCATTCAGGCTTTGTTGTTCCACTAATAGATCACAGAGTAGATTTAGCATAATTCTCAAGGGCTCCAGGATTTTGGAATGGTTAAATGAACATTGGTTTCATTTAGTGTCACCAGCTGCATTAACCCCTAACAAAAGAGTCAGCCTGTCTTTTGATGCTTTGAAGCCAGGCATTGACTTCTCCTCCCTAGCTATGAAAGTCCTATTTAGCATCTCCTTCCAATAGAAGGCTGTTTCATCAATCTGTTGTTAAGAGTAGTAGCTACATTCATCAATGAACTTAGCTAGTTCTTCTGAATAACCTGCTGTAGCTTCTAGATCAGCACTTGCTGCCTCGCCTCACACTTTTATGTTATAAAGATGGCTTTTTTCCCTTAAACCTCATGAAACTACATGTGCTAGTAGTACTTTTCTTCTGCAGCTTCCTTGGCCCTCTTGGCCTTTATAGAATTGAGAGACTAGGGCCTTGCTCTGGATTAGGCTTTGGCTTAAGGGAATGCTGGGGCTAGTTTGATCTTCCATCCAAACTTTCTCTATATTAACAATAAAGCTGTTTCACTTTCTTAACATTCATGTGTTGGCTACAGTAGCACTTTTAATTTCCTTCAAGAACTTTTCCTTTGCATTCACAACCTGATTAACTCTTTGGCACAAGAGGCCTAGCTTTCGATCGGTCTTGGCTTTCCACATACCTTCCTCATTAGGCTTAATCATTTCTAGCTTTTGATTTAAAGTGAGAGATGTACAACTCTTCCTTTCACTTGAACACTTAAAGGCTATTATAGGGTTATTAATTGGCCTAATTTCAATATTTTTGTGTCTCAGGGCATCGGGAGGCCTGCAGAGAGAAGGAGAAATAGGGGAACAGCCAGCTGTTTTTGACACACACAACATTTATTGATTCCTTTTGCAGTCTTATATGGGTGTGTTTAGTGGTACCCCAAAACAATTACAATAGTAACATCAAAGATCTCTGATTACAAATCACCATAACAGATATAATAATAACGAAAACATTTGAAATATTGTGAGAATTACCAAGCTTTGACACAGAGACATGAAGTGACCACACGCTGTTGGGAAAATGATGCTGATAGGCTTGCTCCACATAGGGTTGCCACAAACCCCAATTTGTAAAAAATGCAACATCTGCAAAGTGCAATAAAGCAAAGCACAAGAAAAAGGGATAGGCCTGTATGTTACAACATGGATGGACCTTGACAACATTAGGGTAACTGAAATAAGCCAGACACGAAAGGACAAATATGGTGTGATTCCACTGACATGAGGTACCTAGAAGAGTCAAATTCACAGAAACAATGTAGAATCCTGGCGACAAGGGACTAGTACAGAGAAGGGAATGAAGAACTGCTATTTAATGGGAACAAAATTTCTGTCAGGGATGATGAAAAAGTTTTGGATATAGATAATGGTGATGATTACACAACACTGTGAATGTATTTGATTGTACACTTACAAATGTTTAAAATGATAAATATTACATCATGTATATTTTTACCACAATAAAAAAAATATGGTCCAAGGAGAATGTATAAAACAGGAAGAAGAGAAGGAAGAAGATATTAAGGGAATAATAGAAGAAAACGAAGCCATCAATGAGATCCAGTAAGTCAGAGCAGTTGAATGTGAATGAAGAGGGAGTGCTGTCAAGGAAACCAAGGTGGAAAGAAAAAAGGCATTTTCTACCCACAGGCCTGTTTGTGATATGCTGCCAACAATGTTCCCTATTTAAAACCCACAAGAAAGAGGTACAATCAGCCTACCAAATACGAAAAGGTGGTGTGTTCCTCTGCTTCTCCCTGTTCTAAATCTCCTTCTAATCATTGCCTAAGTGAGTCAAGTACCTCGACTCCCATTCTCTTCTTCAACTCTTGCAAGTTCTCTCTGAGAAAAAAAAAAACCTCTCATAACTCTCCTTTCTCTTAATGCTTAGGGAAATGTCTATCTACTTGATATCGTTTCCACCGCAATCCTACAGTATGGATTCAAAACACATGTTTAACAGGAAAGGGGGCTGGGCACGATGGCTCATGCCTGTTATCCCAACACTTTGGGAGGCCAAGGTGGGAGGATCCCTTGAGGCCAGAAGTTCGAGACCAACTTAAGTAACATAACCAGACTCCGTCCTATTAAAAACTAATAGGCTAGGCACGGTAGTTCACGCCTGTAATCCCAGCACTTTGGGAGGCTGAGGTGGGCAGATCATGAGGTCAAGAGATTGAGACCATCCTGGCCAACATAGTGAAACTCCGTCTCTACTAAAAACACCAAAAAAATTAGCTGGGTGTGGTGGCGCACACCTGTAGTCCCAGCTACTTGGGAGGCTGAGGCAGGAGAATCTCTTGAACCCTGGAGGTGGAGTTTGCAGTGAACCGAGATCGTGCCACTGCACACCAGCCTGGCGACAGAGCGAGACTCTGTCTCAAAAACAAACAAACAAATAAATAAATAAATAATAAATAATAATTGGCCGGGCATGGTGGCTCACGCCTGTAATCCCAGCATTCTGGGAGGCCGAGGCGGGCAGATCACCTGAGATCAGGAGTTCGAGACCAGCCTGACCAACATGGTGAAACCCCATCTCTACTAAAAATACAAAAATTAGCCAGGTGTGGTGGTGGGCACCTGTAATCCCAGCTACTTGGGAGGCTGAGGCAGGAGAATCTCTTGAAACCAGGAGGCGGAGGTTGCGGTGAGCCGAGATCACACCATTGCACTCCAGCCTGGGCGACAGAATGAGACTCCATCTCAAAAAATAATAACAATAATAATTAATAATAAAATAAAAGGAAAGGGAAGGTAAATCTAAAGATGGTGCTGAGACAGCATCGTTCTTCCATCTCTCCTTACCACCACATGAAAACAGAAAGGACATCTAGACTGCAAAACCAAATATCCATGGCTAATGTTTACAGCAAAACTCGGTGACAGAGTAACCACATGAATCCCAAAGTACAAGTGAGTGGGGACGAGCTACCAAGTGCCATAAGAGCTGTGTGGCATCAGCAGTGAGGGAGAAGGGGAACCAGGTAGTGTTGGTGGGACCCGAGAATAGGAGAACCCCCAAACAGCCAATAGAGCTTCACTGGGATGTCAGTGAGCTGACACAGGGACAGCCTCTAAAACTGAGAAGGGTCCTGTCCTCCGGAGGTAGGTGAGAGCAGGGGGCTGTGGTAGGAAGGTCTCAGGTAACTGGGGCACTCTCTCAAAACCGACCCCCAGGTCTGTCTCAAAACCGACCCTCCAGGTCTGTCTCAAAACCGACCCCCCAGGTCTCTCTCAAAACCGACCCCCAGGTCTGTCTCAAAACCGACCCCCCAGGTCTCTCTCAAAACCGACCCCCCAGGTCTCTCTCAAAACCGACCCCCAAGTCTCTCTCAAAACCGACCCCCAGGTCTCTCTCAAAACCAACCCCCAGGTCTCCCTTTTAAGATGAGGTCTCACACTGAGGAGAAACTGTTAAGAGTGGAATCAAAATTGATCAGGATATTGCTGGGCACGGTGGCTCACGCCTGTAATCCCAGCACTTTGGGAGGCTGAGGCGGGTAGATCACTTGAGGTCAGGAGTTTGAGACCAGCCAGACTAAACAATGAAACCCCGTCTCTACTAAAAATACAAAAATTAGCTGGGCGTTGGTGGCGCATGCTGTAGTCCCAGCTACTCGAGACTGAGGCAGGAGAATCGCTTGAACCCGGGAGGCAGAGCTTGCAGTGAGCCGAGATCATGCGACTGCACTCCAGCCTGGGTGACAGAGCGAAACTCCGTCTCAAAGAAAAAAAAAAAAAAGTCAGGCTAATAGTTATTTTTGGTGTGAGGGAGGGGGTTGTGCTCAGGATGGGGCACAAGAAAGGGTCCTCAGGGGTTCAGGCAAAGTTCTATTTCCAGACCTGGGTGGTGGTTACAAAGGTGTTCAACTTAATAAATCCTTAAGCCAAACATCTGTTTTGTTTGGTTATCTTTATATTTTATGTCACAATAAAAGTCTGTTTCACAAACGCAAGGAAACACAAACCTTTGAGATAATACCTTTCTTTTCCATCCAGTATATTTTGTCTGAATCACATTACTTGTTAACTGAGCAAGAAGAACTTTAGTAAAAGAGGCTATTTGCAACCACAGTATGGTCTAAATAAATGATTCTAACAATGAAAATCTCAGTTGCTCAAAAGATACTATGTACAAGGGAGTTTTCTATGCCATAGCTGCCAAAGAAGCCAATGGATAGGGCAGAGACTGCTAGGTCACGGATGGCAGTATTTCTCAGAGTGTGTTGTGTGGACCACCTGCATCAAAAATATCCTGCCTATAATGCAGATTCCTGGATCCCTACCAGAGGTTCGGATTCAGAAGACATACTTGGGAACAGTGCTCTACACCAGAACTTCATCCTAGATTTATTTTAAAACACAAGCTCTATCCAAACAGTACCTTCCTGATCAAAGAACTGAAGAGAAGAAACTCAATACTAGTATCTACACTACTATCTATAATAACTATAATGGTCAATTTTCTAGGATAAGCACTTAGAAATTCTGTTATGAGTGTTTCATGTGGTAATGGCTTGAGGACATACTCCTCCTTCTTCTAAACCAGGAAGATAAAACAGAGAATGTTATTTCTTTGTGGGCAACTAACTGTATTGCAATTAAAAAGCTTTAAACTCCGAAACTAGTCTTCCTCAGATCCTAAAATTTAAAACTATAGGCTCTAAATCTGATGTGGCAACCAGATTTGGCTGAACTAAATTAAAGGCACAATTTAAACTTTTGATGTTCCAAAGACCTTCTTTGCTTGTGAACAGTTTCCTTAATCTCCTTAAAAAATAATTTTTCTATTCTGAATTCTCGTACAACTGTTGAATAGCATTGTTTCTTGGAAGTTGTTTCTGTAGATTTTATGCATGTTGGCCAAATTGTATTTCTAGATGAAAATGAAGACTTTCAGAGAAGATTGTAATGTCAAACTCTATCTATAGATAGTATGTATATACATATATATGTACATGTATATATATAAACATTTGGTGTATGTGTGTGAGTATGAGCGTGTGTATGCAAAGGAATCCAGAGCTCATGTAAACAGGAAGGATAAGGAGCAAGAGGGATATCAGAAACATACATCAAGGCATTTAGGCGTTGGGGGAGGGGGCACGGGTCAGGGGGCAATTCTAGCTGTAGCAACGGGAAGTTATGGAAGTCCAAGGGTATACACATGACTCTGGCTCTTAGTCTCCAGTGCTCAAAGGAATTTTCTGGAAGGGCTTGTGAAAAGCAGATTCTTGGGGCCTGCCTTAAAGGATTCTGATTCATTTGGTTGAAGTAGAGCTCAGGAATCTGCATTTTTATAAGCTCCTTAGGTGAGTCTGTGTCTGCCGGTAAGTCATATGTTGAAAACTCTTCGGTAGGGTCTATAGCTCAGGCTAGCAGTTAGTATCGTTGATGTCCAGCAAGGAATGATACCTTGGCAGGAATAAAAAACAAGATGGGGGCCAGGTGCAGTGTTTCACACCCGTAATCCCAGCACTTTGGGAGGCCGAGGTGGGCAAATGGCTCGAGTCCAGTAGTTCAAGACCAGCCCAGGCAACATGGCAAAACCCCATTTCTACAAAAAATACACACACACAAAAATTAGCCGGCCTTGGTGGTGTGTGCCTGCAGCCCAGCTACTTGGGAGGCTGATGTGGGAGGATCACTCAGCCCAGGAGGTGGAGATTGCAGTGAGCCCTGATCTCATTGCCACTGTACTCCAGCCTTGGCGATAGAGCAAGAACCTGTCTCAAAAAAACCAAGATGAGTAAGAGTTGACAGGTTTGAAGTTTCAGGTAGGCAGGATAACAGGCTGTGTTCGTTTCTTAGGCTGCCATAAAAATTACTACAGACTAGGTGGCTTAAAACAGTAGAAATTTATTCCACTACCGTTCTGGAGGCTGGAAGTCCAAAATCAAGGTGTTGGCAGGGCTCTGCTCCCTCCAGAGGCTCTAGGAGAGATTCTGTTCCTTGCCTCTCCCAGCTTCTGGTGACTGTTGGCATTCCTTGGCTTGTAGCCACTCACTCCAGTCACTGCCTCCAACTTCACATGGCTTTTTCCTCCTCTCTGTGTGTGCCTCCTCTGGGTGTCCCCTCTAAGGATCTTTGTCATTGGATGTAGGGGCCACCCTAGATAATCCAAAATGGTCTTATCCTGAGATCCTTACCTTAGTTACATCTACAAAGACCCTTTCCCCACAAATATCACAATCACAGATTCTAGAGATTAGGATATAGATACATCTTTTGGGGTGCCACCAGTCAGTCAACCACACAGGCCTATTCTGGGAAAACTAGAAGTCTTGGGGCAGTCAGAGCAAGGGAAAGAGGGGTAATTGTTGGCAAAAACATCCGGTTCTACTTCTAGAAAAATTTGTCTTCAAGGGAAGGTGAGGAGGGCTCAGACTGAGGAACCAGCCAGATGCTGGTCACTAATAGATCAGCAGGTTGGAGTGGGATAGACAGTAGAGCTGACTTTATGTTATTATTCTGAGTTTCTGAGTCAGGATTCTATGATTGCAACTAACCAGGACATGGCTGCACTCCTAGTATGGGACAAAGCTAAGCTGCCCTAGCCAGTGGACATCCAGGGGCTCTAGGAAGATTAGACGCTGAGAGTCAGGTTGGACAAAGAGCTGCAAAGCAGGATCACACATGTAAGTAGATTCATAAATAGCTGCCACTTATTGGGCATTTGCTATATGCCTGGCACTTTACATGTATTATTGCCTCTTTCCATCAAAACCTAGCAATATGGGTGTCGAAATATGGGTCTCCATTTGACATATAAGAAAACAGACTTTTTTATTTTTATTTTTTGAGACAGAGTCTTGCTCTGTTGCCCAGGCTGGAGTGCAGTGGCATGATCATGGCTCACTGCAACTCCGCCTCCCAGGTCCAAGTGATTCTCCTGCCTCAGCCTCCCGAGTAGCTGGGATTACAGGTGCATGCCACCACGCCTGACTAATTTTTGTATTTTTAGTAGAGAAGGAGTTTCACTATGTTGGCCAGGTTGGTCTTGAACTCCTGACCTCAGGTGATCCGCCCGCCTTGGCTTCCTAAAGTGCTGGGATTACAAGCGTGAGCCACCATGTCCAGCCTAATATTTGTATTTTCAGTAGAGATGGGGTTACACCATGTTTGCCAGGCTGGTCTCAAACTCCTGGCCTCAGGTGATCTGCCCTCCTTGGCCTCCCAAAGTGCTGGGATTACAGGCGTGAGCCACCACCCCTAGCTATATAGCTAGTAAATGGCAGAGCCAGAATTTAAACCCAGATCACTCTGACTCCAAAGCTCATTCTTTCTGCTAAAACATGCTACCTCTTCCACAAATTAATAGCCTACCTTGGATTTCAGCATCTTATCTTCCACTATCTTCTCTCTTTGAACTCTTCTCTCCACCTACTCATCCTAGAGTTCACTAGACATAAAGTGTCAAAACATCTGTTTCTCTACCAAATACCCTATATTAAAAAAACTTGGGTAAGGTAGAATGATAAATATCTGAAAGCTTTCTAAAGCAGAATTGCAGGTGTGGGTCTAGAGTGTGAACACTTGCTTTCTTGTGGCTGTGTCGTATTTATCTTATTGCAATCACTTGTGGGGAGCTCAAGCCAGGATTCTATGCACAGCCCCAGTCCCAGGCTGGTCTCTAATCATAAGGCGCAGGTCTATAATTACTGTGTATGTTGCACCACTCCTCCCTCACAACCCCCACTACTGCCACCAAATGCAAGCTGCCAGTGATGCTCTGCAGATGGTAATATCCAAGTAGTGACAGTACTAGTTTCTTCCACAGGTATATCCATAGAGGAAAGCAACATTGATGGAACAAGAGCAGGGAAGCTGCTGGTATATTACACTTCTAGCTCATGCCCTTTGAGTACCACTTAATCTGCCCTAAAGATAGTGTCACTTCTGGCCAGGCGCGGTGGCTCATGCCTGTAATCCCAGCACTTTGGGAGGCCAAGGGAGGCGGATCTCCTAGGGTCAGGAGTTCAAGACCAGCCTGGCCAACATGATGAAACCCTGTCTCTACTAAAAATACAAAAATTAGCTGGGCGTGGTGGCACGTACCTGTAGTCCCAGCTACTCAGGAAGCTGAGGCAGAAGAATTGCTTGAACCCAGGAGGCAGAGGTTGCAGTGAGCTGAGATCGTGCCATGGCACTCCAGCCTGGGCAACAACAGCAAGACTCTGTCTCAAAAAATAAAGATAGTGTCACCTCTACCAGTGTCGACAAATGTTTAGGGCTATGGATCCTCAACTAGCCTGAATGCAAGACTAAAATATTCCTGAGCCTGGTGCAAGGTTTAATGGAACTTTTAACTCATCTGTTTCAGAAAAGGTAACAAGGCTAAAATATTAAGGAGTCCTAGCCTGATCTGACACATCTTGTCAGGTGTTTCATAGCACTCTGAGTAAGAGTTTTGGGAAATTAATAATAGTAATAAAAATCTTGTGAAAGGGCTCAAGGTGTTGCAATCCTCATCACCTATGAGCACCAATTCTGCAGCTGTTTTGCACGTAACTATAAATTATGATCTAGTCTCTACATACATAACTTCCCCCACATTCCTGCAGGGGTCTCTTTTCCTGCTCAATCTCAGGAGCAAGCTTTAATTTTAAGACCCATGAATACTTGAACAAATTCAGGAGTCAGTTTGACACATCATTTTATATTTTTCTGATGACAATTTCTAGTTTACTTTTTAAAAAAAGACACTATTTTAAAAATACTTTGGGATAGGTTTGAGTCGTTGTGTTTGCTTCCAGTCAGAGAACTTCCTACAAAACTGAAGATATAAAGTGCTGATGCCTGGGCGTGCCTGCGTTCGTTGGGGGCACGACGTCATCGTGGGAAGCGTGTACTTTTTCGGATTACTGCTTGGCGGATTAGAAACCCGTAGATCAGTTCTAGGTTAGCCCTGATTAACTGCCCTGGGTGTTTCTGGGCCAGAGGGAATGTCTGCTGGATTCAAACCAATATCCGTTGTAAGACAAAAGAGTTAATTTGTACTTTACCCCTATCCAGGCTAATAATGAAGGTACCGGGAATGATCTGGAATGTTAACTGGTGCCCGCAATCGCGTCTGCTGAACCTTCTGCCCCCACGATTCTGTCTGCCCACATGCTTCTGTCTATCAGCCCCGGCCTCGGGATCAGCTCTCGCCGCGTCATTGGTTGGATTTCAGGAAGGGAGAAGCCCACGATTTAAAGGGCTCCTTTTGCACCTGCCAGACATCGTCCGCATGGTCCAACTTGCCTTTGGCACGTATCTGGAAAAATCTCCTGCGCTGTTCGTTTATTGCACTGACTGGTCAAAGGAAAGAGTGTTCCCTTAGTCACCTTGACAATTTCCAAAAGCGAAACTTGGGCTCTAGACTAGATCTACACTGAGTCTGCGGGGCGCGGAGTCCCTGCCCAGGTCAGTAGCGCCGGCCCGGCGGGCGGGCGGGGACAGGGGCGGAGCCTAGGCCAGGCGTGGTCTTCCGTGGGAGAGAAGGAAATTCTTTGCCCCACCCCCTAAAAACTGCTCTTCTGCCAGCCAATCAAGGAGGCCTATGCAAATAGGGTCCCTGTCGCCCCGGTAACCATGATGCACGGCAGCCAATGGAAACCAGCAAGTCGCGGCCCTGCTCCATGATTGGGACTGAAGTAAGGAGGTAGCGGCCCAATGGGCTGTGGGAACGGTCCTCGGCGGGTTGAGGGGCGGGGATATGCAAATATGGTTTGAAAAGCCGGCGGGAAATCCGAGTTTCGCGGGAGGACCTTGGCGCGTAAACCGTATCCCTTCATTCATTGTCAGCAGCAGCTTCCTGGAGCCATTTTTCAGCTGCCGGCCGCAGCACCCGGGCTGCCGCCGCCGCCTCGCAATCCGTTGCATCGGCCGCCCCCGACGCCTCCATCCCCGCTTGGGGCCCGATATCCGTGCGGCCGGGACCCTCCTCTCTCCAGAGCCCCGATTATTTTTGGCCCCCGGGGCCTGTGCGGTGCGGAAAAATAAAAAGAAAAGAGAGAGAGGGGGCTCGGAAGCGCCGGGCGGGGAGGAGAGAAGGAGGAGAGACTTGGAAACTCCGACTGCAAATAATAAAGAAATTGAAAACAATACATTAATATACCATAACACTAAAAAGAGCAGGAGCGAGAGATGAGAAAGGGAATCCAGCCCGCTCTGGAGCAGTACCTGGTGACCGCCGGGGGTGGGGAGGGGGCGGCTGTCGTCGCCGCCGCCGCTGCAGCCTCCATGGACAAAAGGGCACTGCTAGCCAGCCCCGGCTTCGCCGCCGCCGCCGCCGCTGCCGCCGCCCCGGGCGCGTACATCCAGATCCTCACCACGAACACTTCCACCACCTCCTGTTCCTCCTCCCTCCAAAGCGGCGCCGTAGCCGCCGGCCCCCTCCTCCCCAGTGCCCCCGGCGCGGAGCAGACCGCCGGCAGCCTCCTCTACACCACGCCGCACGGACCCTCCAGCAGAGCCGGGCTGCTGCAGCAGCCACCAGCGCTGGGACGCGGCGGCAGCGGCGGCGGCGGCGGCCCTCCGGTAATACCCTCCCTCCCCACCGTCCCCAGCCCCGGCGGGAGGTGGGCTCGCACCGCGCGGGGTCGTGGGCGCGCTGCGGGCCGCTCGGGGAGAGCACTGGGCCGAGCATCGTGGGCCTCGGGGGCTGCCCCTCCAACGAGGGTTCATTGTTAGACCTGAGTGCTCTTCCCGGCGCCAGGAGGGTCGGGGGGCTCGGCCAGGCGCGCGGGGCGGCGGGGATTGCCTTGGCGCGAACCACATCAAACACTCCAAAACTTTTCGCGGCCCCCCCTTCTTTTCCTGCACTTTTCCCTACCCCCACTCTCCCTTCCCCTCCAACTCGAAGCTTCCTCTTTCTCGGGCGTAGGAAGGGGTCACGCCCCGGATGGAGAAGGGGGTGGGGGAGGGAGTAGTGAACTGGGGTGTGGGGGGCTCTGAGGGGTTGAAACCGGGGGACTGTTGGGGTGCTAGCCCCCAGTCGGCCTTGGAGGCTCGTTGGCGGCCGGGGGTCCCTGCGGCGTGCTCGGAGCGCAGGGGATCGGCGGGGCTGCGCTTGACACATTTTAGGATCTGTAACTCCCGGCAACAAAGGGGCTGGGGGAGGTGGAGGGGAGTCGGGCGTGGGGGAGGTGGGGCTGGAAGCCGGGTGCGGACTGGGGCGTGGGCTGTCTGGGGTGAGGGGCTCGCGGGCTGGCGCTCTGGCCTGGGCGCATCCTGGCAGTGGCAGCGGCGGCGCCCGCGTGGCCCAAGCGCCCAGGCCTTCCTCGCCGGGCCCCGGGCCTGCCCTTGACCCGCCTCTCCCCTTGCCCCTTCCTTCCCCGCCCTGTCCCCCTCTCCGCCCCCCGGCGACGGAGGGCGGGGGCAGCTGGGTTCCCGTCCCGCCGCCTGGGTCTGTCCCTCTCTCCGGGACCCGCCGGTGACGTTTCGCACACGTGCGCGCAGGACGCGCCTGTGACTGGGGAGGAGGCGGCGGCGGGAGGGGGCGCTGGAGGGGGAGAGGGGGGCACCCACTTCCTCCTGCTCGCCGGCTCCCTGGCCTGGGACGGTCCCGGCGCCCTCGCACCCGCCCCCGGCACCGCCACCCTCCCTCTCCTCTCCCCACCCCCCCACCGGCGCCCGCCCTCGCCCTGCGCCGCCGGTCTGTTCGGCCCTCCGGGCCCCCTCTCCAGCCGGCCCCCCACCTCCCCCCGGAGCCAGGCTGGTTTCGGAAATGCCCTTACAGCAGCAGGTTAGTGACCGGGACGGCTCGGGGGCCGCCGACGCCGCGGGGGCACCGGATTCTGTTGGGGGCTGAAGCGGTGAGGGTAGGCGGTTGAGCGGGGTTTTGGAGTGGGAACGGGGGGTTGGGTGCTCGAGGGAAATGAGTAAGCAAGAAAAATCTAACTAAGTAAATGCCCCGGCCTCCGGTTCTAGGAACCTCGGGGCGGGAGTGTCTGCCCCAGGGGGTGGGTATGGTGTTTACGTGGATTTTTTTTCTAGGGGGCGGATGGATGGGCGATAGAAAACCGGAGGGGGCTTCTCGCCAATGGCCGAGTTGAGCTCTGTTTTCTGTCTTCCTTCCCTTGTGCTGGAGGGGGAGGGGGGTGGGTCAGAGGGTAGGGTGTCTGTAGGATTCCCAGGCCACCCGCCACCCCCTCCCTTTGTCCCTGTAATTTATAAAGCGCCTTTGAGAGATGATTTAGGTCAGTATGCGGCTTCTCTTTTTGTTGGTACTAGAAAGAAGTGTGGCCCGGAGGTCTCCCCTTTCTCCTTTTCTCTCCTTCATTCCCTTCCTCCATGCCTCCGGGTCTTCACCCTCGTGGTGAGGCTTGGCCTCCACGGGGCTAGAACCGAACCAGACTCAGTTAGATCCATGGTAGCCTGATTATACCAGGCGTGGACCTCACCTTGTCTCAGCTCCAAATGGGTTTAATTTTTGGAGAATCAAGATTTTGCGGGAGTCTTTAAGAAAGTCAGCACATAGGCAGCACTTTGGGAAATGGGATGGGTTTGGGAATAATGAGGCGTTTTTTATTTCTTTCCTGTTCCCAGTTTCTCCCCGGGTTCGGTCTTAACTGCTTTCCAGCCCCAGAGATACTTGCTGGGCATGTGTGATGTAGTCTTAGTCAAAGAAGCTCATCGTTTTTTAGTGACTAGGGTCTGCCAGCAGGGGGGAAACGGAGCACAGTACCTGCTTAGACATAGCAGTATCCGGTGTGCTGGGTTTTCAGTCGCAAGAATATTCCATGCTTTTATTAGCTTCAGATACTCTTACTGACTTGACCTAAGCATGTTTGGACATATTTTAAGCATATTTGACCCCTGCACAGTTCTGTTACTATTTCATAAACCTAACCTTAAACAACCAGCTATTGACATACTTCTTGGATTAGATTCACAGATTTGCAGGGGGTAGTTTTGATAATGGGAAATTATGAGAGCTTCAAGTTGATTTTTAAAAAATTTTAACAGTGTTTGTTGGGCCAGGTCCCTAAGACTATCTTTCAAGCCAGGTTTATTATATCTAGTTCATTGTATTTAAGTATTTAAAGTATACTAAATTACCCTCACCATCTTCCAAGTTATTTCAAAACTTTATTCTCCTTGACATGAAATTATTATTCCAGGAATAATAATATCCTTTTGAGTTTATGTGCACACAAAAGGTTTTTCATTACAGGAATATAAATGTTACTCATATACATATTCAGAAGCATTTTTTATATGATTGCAATGTATGCTGAATCATTGGTTATCTGCATTTTTTTTTTTTTTTTTTTTGAGACGGAGTCTCATTCTGTCGCCCAGGCTGGAGTGCAATGGCACGATCTCGGCTCACTGCAACCTCCGCCTCCCGAGTTCAAGCATTCTCCTGCCTCAGCCTCCTGAGTAGCTGAGATTACAGGCGTGAGCCACCACGCCTGGCCGGTTATCTACACTTTTAAGAGCTATTTCTACTGGCCGGGCGCTGTGGCTCATGCCTGTAATCCCGGTACTTTGGGAAGCCGAGGGGGGCGGATCACGCGGTCAAGAGATCCAGACCATCCTGGCCAACATGGTGAAACCCCGTCTCTACTAAAAATACAAAAATTAGCTGGGTGTGGTGGTGCGCGCCTGTAATCCCAGCTACTCAGGAGGCTGAGGCAGGAAAATCGCTTGACCCTGGGAAGCGGAGGTTGCAGTGAGCTGAGATCCCGCCACTGCACTCTAGCCTGGCGGCAGAGCGAGATTCCGTCTCAAAAAAGGAGCTGTTTCTTCTGGGAGGGTGTAGGAAATTTATCTAGTCAATGCATACAAAGTCTTAAGCACTGAATATAAAGTTTGATTTATTGTTTTTCTTATCGAAATTATATTAGACTTCCATGTAAGTCTTCGAATTTTGAATTTTGTTGATATTCTTTCCCTAAGCAGGAAAGACAGGATGGGGAAAGCTAAGTGATTGGCTGAACAAAGACCACCTAAACACTCTGTGTCCAAGAAGAGGTTGAAAAGTCTTCAGGTGGCCAGAGTTGCAGACCTATCTGGTTCTGATCCCAAGTTCTGTCTCAAGAATATCTAAGGACTTAACCAGAAGCAACTTCTTCACCTTTTTTTCAATGGGGGTAAAAATATGAGTACTACCTTACCAGCTGTAAAGCATCTATTATTTACAAATTGTATGTTCATTGGCAAATAACTTAATCTCTCAACTCAGTTTCTTCCTCTGTAACATAGGGACAAAAACAGTGTCACCTTTAAGGTTCTTTTGAAGAGTTAAATATGATAATGCATGTGAACTATTTAGCACAGTGCCTGGCAAAAAGTAGACACCCAGTACAATTCATATTTATTATACAAATGTTAATTTTTTTCTGACTTAGTGAAATAGTGTAAGGCCAGGTGCACATTGTCCCTTTGTTTACATATATGAAGAGAACTGTTAAAAGTCTTTAAGTGATCTGTAATTAATTATTTATGCCCAATTAATTTGGGCTTTTAAATATATAAAACATGGCCATCCTAGGGGTAAAATAGGGACATTTCAGTAAGACACGCCTATATAGAGATAGTGGTGTTGAACTGCCAAGCATATGCCTTGAATTGTGACAATTCAAGGCCACATCATCCTCACTTTTTTGCCTGAGTTCCACTCCGTCCATGATTCCACAGACCTGCCAACTTTTGGGTGCAGTTTATGCTTAGCGGCTTTTGTTAGACCTGAACTCTCAATCTTCACCATGTCAGAGACATGCATTAGACAAATTCCATCTTAGTTGGTGAACTGTTGGAAATGTAAGAACTCCAGAGAAACCATAGTCAGAAGTGCTACTCAATGGAGCAGACAAGGCTTCATCATTTTCTGCTGCTGCTTCTAAAAAGAAGCTGAAATTATTTTATTCTAGAAAATTTGGGATTTAATAATGTAAGAGACTATGTCCTGTCACAGTCATAGCAACCTACTGATTCTACTTTGGGAAAGAGCCCTCAGTGCTTGAAATTTTCATCTAAGAATGGAGAACCATAGGTGCTATTTCAGCAGGGTCTCTTTTCCTGTACAATTATAAAAAGAAAAGTGCCGGGTTCCTGTGGTTCTATACTCAATAATCTTGCTTCTGCTGAGATATATGGTTGATGCCAAGTTTAAGCTGGGAGACAATTTTTAGTCACTACATACCCCAAAATGGAAGTTTTAATATAATGCAGTGCCCAGACTTGGGCACTACAGGTAGCTCCACTATAATCAGTACCAAGGGCGCCACTCTAATCATCCTCTGAAACAAAGCACCCTTAAATATGGCACTGTGGGCTGAAGAACTCCACCTTGTGAACAGGAAAGGATTTTTTGTTTTTCTATAAATCGCCACCTTGTGTATTACTTGGAAGAATGGATTCTGAGATTAATGTTATACTGTGTAAAGCTAACTTGAAAACAGAAAATAATACTCTAAGCCTAGACGTGCATAAATAACATTACCTGGAGATTGACAGACGGGGTGAAAGCTTTTATTGTGGTTTCTCAGAAATATATAAAGCAGTAGTTTTCCTTTAACTCTTCTGTCTTTAATGCCATCTGCAAAGATATATCATCCATACCTTTAACCTCTTTCCTAGGGATTTGGACCCATTTGGCAAATAGCTTCAAGTACTCATAGTTAATTTTCTGGCTGGTTTTCCTAAGTTAACCTGATTTTACAAATATTCCATTTGTAGGACCAGTTTACATCTACTTTCCCAAGCTAGCCAACTTCAATTCCCTTTTAGTCATCTACTTCCTACTAACAGCTGTAACTAGGATGAGTCAAAATCAATTGCCTATGCTCACCAGATCCCTGATAAATTCCCATGAAGCCACCTGAAAGGTGGTAAAAGCAAGGTAAAACGTGGTGAAAGCAAGGTAAAGAAGGTAGATTTCACAATTTTGTTTTTTAAAAAGGGGAATCTTCCCTGAATTCTTTGAGGTACTAAGTACGTGGTTTAATGCATATTTTCATTCTTGTTAGCAGTTTAAAAATAATGTTTCAGAGACTGTATTCACGATTGCTAAAAAGCATTTTTTCTACTAATCATTGTTCATGGGACTTAACAATGGAAGATAACTGGGAAAGCAGTAAATATAGGAAACCACTAATAGTGTCTCCTTCTTCCTACCCTGACCCTCTCTTTGGCTTCAGAAAGTGACGAGGAAAATGTATCTTTCACAAAGAAAAGTTATACCACAGAAGGTACTAAAAAGCAACAACTGCCTTTGGGGACAGGAAACTTACAGAGTGGGGATTATTATAGAGGGATAACATACCGAGTTTCTATTTCAATAAGAGGGAAATTGGTTTATATTCTGTTCACACTTGTTTCAAACCCTCTCCTCTAAAAGCAATGTGTTTTTGGAATTCAAGGAATGTACGTTCTTTCCCCAACCTTAACTGGGGGTCAGTCTTATGGCCACCATATTTGTCTACAATATAACTTTTAAAAAATATAATTTTTGCCCTCAAATACTCTCCTATCCAATGCAATGTAACTTTGAAGGAGAAGTGATGAAGGCCACTGGTTGCCAGATTGTATCACACAGCCAGATGCACTTTGCTTTGATGAAGAATCTAAGTGATGCAGGCCCCCACTTAGCTTTGTAAACTAAGGCAGGGGTTTATGTCAGCTCGAGGTAGAAAGCAGTGAGAATTGGCAGCTGATGGAATAGAAAGGGGACAAAAAGAATAAAAAATAATTGACTTTAGTCTGCTTTCCATTACCGTAGCCCAACTCTCTGGGGCCATTTGTGTGGTCTAGACAACATTCTTAGAACTTGACAGTCCCTGAGAACGATATTCTAGGTTGGCATGGGCAATAGTTGGCATTTACACTGGTCTTGGAATCATAACATTTGAGAAGTGTAAGGCACAAGAGTCCTCATCTGCCCAATCCCCTTCATGTTGCAGGTGAGGAAATTCAGGCCCAGTGCTGTTAAATTACTTGCCCAAGGTCACAGGTCTTTGCTAGTGGCAAAGCCAAAACCGAAACGGGAGACTCTTGAATTCTTAGAAGCCTCATTCACCAAGAGAAGGTTAACTGTGTCTCATGAACCCTATATGGGAAAATTGGGGTGTGTAGGACACATTTTAGATTTCCTTCAGGAGTGGTTACCTTTTTTAAAAATGCGCACATAAAGAAGTGTCCTTTAAACAGTTGGCTGTGGGGGTAATGACTTATTCCCAAAGATACAAAATAAGCAAGGCTACTTTGGATGTTAAATGAAAGGGAATTATTTAAAAAAGGAAAGAATGACTCTTCAAAACGTGATAGTAATATTTTTAAAGATTTATTTGATATTCGCAAATTTGTCTTCTGTGGTTATATCAATTCTGTTGCTCAAAAAGTGACACATGCTTCATAGAGAATAGAATCTAAAAGGATTTTTGAGACTTTCTTGGGGAGAAGGACACACAGTGCCCCTCTGGTAGTAACGGAGTTTTGTCCTGGGCCACCAACATCCTGAGTGACTGTCATGCTTTCAGAGGTCCCCAGCCCTTGCCCAGTAACATTGAACAAGGTGTTCTTCCTCTGTGGTTAGCTCCAAGATTTCTGGTTTAGCAAAGTGGCTAATCAGTTAACTCTTTAAGAGGAAATTGTCATTCCTTTAGCCAACGCTAATTTCCTTAAAATGCCTTCTTTTCCTTTTTGGAACTGAGAAAGCTTAAAAATAGAATTGCTTCAAGCCCTGAGGCCTGAAAGTGAAACATAATCTAACGTGGCTGTAGTGCACTGACTCGTTAGGGGCAGCGATATATGGCTTATCTGTAATCCACAAACCAGAAAGGTGCCCAGTGTAGATACGGTCTAACAGCCAGTGAGCATTAAGTACCAACTGATGAGAGTAGTAATCAGTGAAGCTGATTTCCTCTGGAAAGTTTTTTGGCGAGTAGAGTTTGTCTTAGAGAGTGGAGGATTTGAATGCCTCTTGACTTTCTGCTGAGGAGAGCTTCTGCCTGCTCTAGTTTTTATGATCCTGAAGGGTGGTAGCTCTGGACTCTGAGAATGATGGGCAGTGAACTCAGGGTCTGTATATTTCGTTCCACTCTGCTCTTCCCCATTTCTGATGCTTTGGGGGCTCCATTTCTGATACATAACCAGAGCAGCATCCCTGAGGCCCACACTATCTCCTGTGTGCCTTTCTGCATCTGGCAGTCCCTTGGAGAGAAGGAGGCTCATGTGTTTATAACCTGCACCCTGTCCTAAAAGGCATAGTGAGGGGCAGCTGAGTATAAGGTCAGGCCACTTAGCCTGGAGCCAGAGTGCCTGTGTTCTTGTTCTGGCTCTGCTCACTAGCCCTGTGACTTTGGGCAAGAAACTTGGCCTCTATGTTTTCATTTCCTCATCTGTAAATTGGGAGGAATGATAGTACCTACCTTATGGGGTTAGGAAGTTGCAATGAGTTCTTATTTGTAAAGTGCTTAGACCAGTGTCTGGCACGTAGGAAGGATTATGTGTTAAGTAGAAACATGGTATAATTGCCCTTCCTTCCACAGGCATCTCATGGGCTGTCCTTTTGTGATCCATTTTCTTGGTTTGTTTTTGTTTTGAGACCAAGTCTTGTTCCGTTGCCCAGGCTGAAATGCAATGGTGCAATCTTGGCTCACCGCAACCTCTGCCTCCTGGGTTCAGCCGATTCTCCTGCCTCAGCCTCCCCCGTAACTGGGATTACAGGTGTGCGCCACCACGCCCAGCTAATTTTATTTGTATTTTTAGTAGGGACGGGGTTTCACCATGTTGGTCAGGCTGGTCTCGAACTCCTGACCTCAGGTGATCTGCCCGCCTCGGCCTCACAACGTGCTGGGATTGTAGGCATGAGCCACTGTTCCTGGCCTGATCTATTTTCTTAACTAGCCCTTAGTGTTCATTTCACCCCATTGCACCTCTCTAAAAATGGTGATGATGGGAAGGAGAAGTAAACCGTGGAATGGCTCTCGCCTAATGCAGTCTTTAGGGTCTAGGGTCTTTGTATTTCTTTATAAGCTGCCCATTGACTTGGGAAAAAGAACTGAAGAATAAGCTTCTTGTAGTAGTGCTATCAGTAGTGATAGTGTCATGAATAAAACCTTTATTTCTGTGATTAAATGTATTAATAAAGTGACACTACTAGCATGAATGACACTATTAACATAATTTCAATCCTGTACAGTAAACCATGGCTTAAGACTGAATGGCAAGAATCAGGGTGTCTGAGCTGCTGGGCCCTGCCAGACTCGGAGCCCCTGCCAGTGTGTGTATATCAAGGCAGGGCGGGGGGTTGTCTTGCTCTCCAGAGGCAATGGAACCTGCCTCTAGGCCTCCCTTTTCCCTTCTCATCTCCTCACCCCTCCTTTTTTATGTTAGATCTATTCCTACCCCTTCCCCTTCGCCTTGCCCTCTGCCTGGCTCTTAGAAGGAAGCAGACTTGCCACCTTCAGTGGCTGCTTCCCGGACTTACCAAATTAATTACCACCTTTTCCTGCCATCAAGGGATGGTGAAATCTTGCCTTTTCGGTCTTGCTTCCCATTCCTCTGCACTCGGCTGCTGCGACAGTGTGGTGCTGCAGGCACCGCAGATTTCCCTCTGGTGTGTTTGCTCGTAGCTTCTCCCTCTCCACCTTACTCCTTTTGTTGCCCTCCTCCCACTGGCCCATTGAGGCCCACATCAAGGGAAGGCGTAGGCACAGCCTCCCCCAGTTTCCCAGGGGCTTGGGCCTCTCCCTTCCCTTGGGTTACTGCTTCTTTCCTGTAACACCTCATGGTCTGCCTCGTAGCCTAATCTTGCATGTTCATGACTTACTCCTCCTCCAAACCTGTAAGCTCCAAGAAATCGGTCTGGCTTGCTTTTTCATCATGTGGTCCCTGCAGTGCCCACTACACTATAGGCTCAGCTACCTGAGAAGAGGCATTTTCATTAGACACCTTCCATGTGCTTGGTACCCCATTAGTCCTATTGGGGATACAAAAGAAGTATGAGGTGTGATCCGCCCACTCTTGAGTTTACAGTCTGTTGAGGAGACAAGCTTTAAACACAAGTTGATCTGCAAGCAAGACTAAACAGGCGGTAGGGAGAAAACAAGACTCATCTAGTCCTCAGTTGTGTGGTGTCGACAGAAAGTGCCAGAGGAACAGGTGAGAGTCACCAGACTCCAGCTGGGCCGTGAGATGGGGAGGCCACGGTTGTCAATCTTGGAGTACATTAGGGCACACATGTGAATCTCCCAGGGCGCTTTTTAAAAATACTGATACCTAGGCCCCACCCAGACCAATCAGAATGTCTAGAGGTGAGATTAAGACATGGATTTTTTTTCTTTTTTTAATGTGCTCAGTTGGAACCACTGGGCTTGGTGGAAAGGGAAGATTGGGGAGGCCCTTTCTGGCGGGGAGACATAAGTCAAAGGCAGGCAGGCAGAAAGATTGGCGTCAGGAGGCAGCATTTGGACTAGAGTCATCAGTATGGGGAGATAACAGGACCGAAGGTTGGATGTGTTGGCAAAACTGATCTAGAATTGGAGTTGCCTTTCTACAAGGGCTGGGCGGGGAGTAGATTGGGGGTGGGAAGTTTGAGTGGTGTGGGGATTGTTCACGAATAAAGAAGAAACGTACTATCAAAAGGGGGCCTTGGGACCTGGTCACAGGCAGTGGGTGCCAGAGGGGATGGCAGGCCTTGTGTTTTGCCAGGTCTTCAACCTTCTCAAAATGCCAGAAATCTACCAGTTTTAAAATGTTGGCTGAATTTAAAAGGAAATTGCGCAGGCCAAACAAAATAGGTCTCTAGGCCAGATTTGGCTTAAGGGCTGCCACTCAGCAGTCTCTGGTCTATGGGATAATAATAGCTAATGTTTATCGAGTGCCCGCATGTATCGAGGGCACTAAACTAAGTGCTTTACTCGCATTAGCACATTATCCACATAACAACCTATGAAGTGGGTATTATTATCATCCTTGTTCTACACAGGGAAGCAGACAGCCAGGGGTTAATGGCCTGGCTCTGGGCCCCATTAATAAGTGGGGCAACTGAAATTAAACCCAAGGAGCCTGGCTCCATAGTCTCAGCTTATTCCTAGTATTTATCCTCTGTGGTCTCTGGCATTGTATTAAGTAGTAAAAATCCAAGATACCTGTCAAAAAGAAATAATCCAGTGTTTTTCAAGTTTACCTGATTGCCTGTAGCACTTGTTACAGATTCAGATTCCCAGGCTCCATCCCTATCCTCTGTCAGAAGCCCTAAGATCTTCTGATGAAACATTCTGGAAGCACGGCTAGTTGAGCACAGGGAAAAGTTACTGAAACTAGATTGTCCAGGTGAAGGCAGGAGCCTTCTGCCACATCCATTCACATAATGCTTATCTCAGCTCTTCCTCGTTTGGAAAGACCCCAGGGCCCCAAGCCTCATACCTGCTCTCGTGGTTCCAAAACTTGCAGACTCCCAGGTTGTAGCCCAGGCAAACCATACAAAGATGGGTCTCCCAAAACTTAAAAGATGTGAAACAAGAAGTGGTTTCTTGGATTCTCAAGCGGTTGAGAATCCGAGCTCAGGAGGTCAAAGTGGGCTTGGTGGCTAGACGCCAGGCACCAGCACCAGCTGGGTACCCTTGAGTGGTTTTTCTGCCTTAACAGTAGGAAGGCTTTTCATTCTGTCTGGTCTGGACCTGCCTGAAACACAGCTAACCAAGTGGACAGAGCGAGAAATGTGAATACGAGGACCAGAGCACACCATTTAGAGTACGGGCGCTATTGAGTTGATGAGTCTGGAAGCAGGATGGCAACAATGATGGTGTGAAAAGGCAGGTGGAAGTGAAGGGCAGATTAAGGGAGAAAAGAAATACAAGACCTTTGACTCCCAAATATTTAACTCCAGGGGCTGGAAGAATGGGTGAGGCCAAGCTTCTCCTCTGTCTGGGGTGTGCACTGTGTGGAAGGCATGATTAGTCAGAATGGATGGGGTGGTTGTGAGTGACTCCATGGGCCATCCCGTTTTCTGAGGGGCTAAGGCTGAGCACCGGAAGTGGGACTTTGGCATAGAGGTTATAGTGGAAGTCTTGATGAACAATAGCAGGCCAAGACCTGGTCTCCCTAGCTTACAAATAAAAGAAATTTAACATGGTGCCACAAAAACCTTTCATCATTTTCACTTCTTCCTCTGTAATATGAAAACGAGACAAATTCATCAGGTTGATTTTTGGGGATCGATGCTGTCAGGGCTCGCAGAGACGAGCCATCAGATGTTATTTATTACATGCTTTACCCCGTCTCCTAGCTGCTGTGAGAAAGCCCACAGTTTGCAACCTCACAAAGCAAAGAGCCAGCTGGAAAGTACTGTGCATCCAGACAGGTCACATAGTCATGTCCTGAACCAAGATAGCTCTTTTTGCCATGATTTCCTACACTCTCTGATTTTTCTCATTAAAAAAAAAAAATCTTGAATTTATTTTCTTAAGCTCTAGCATTCTAAAGTTTAAACATATGAGCCTTTGAATACTCCTGTCTAGGAAAGAGCCGTGTAAATTCTAAGTATCTCTATAATTGACTTTTGATATGTTACTTGTGTTTAAACCCAATTTGCAACACCCCTTTTGTTGGCTAATTTTGTCGCTATGTTGGGTAGCAGAACTTGTGACGATCACACTAATAACATAAAGTTTCCCACCTTTCTTGTTGCTGTTTTCCTTGTTAGCATCTCAGACTTCCCAATTCTGGGAATAGTCTCTAGGAGGCAAGGTTTTCAGCTTTGGAAATGCATGCGTGACACAGTAGTGTGGTATGGAAGGCGTGTGGACTTGAAGATCCGGCTCCAGAAACACGCTCTGCCAATTACCGTGTGTGACCTTTTATAAATTACATCCATGAGCTGTAGTTACCTAAAATAGTGATCCTCTCTCCTTCACTGGCTGGAAGGATTAAATGAGATAGTGTTTATAGGAAATGTACTTTGTGTTCCTTAGTTGCCTCCCCCCGCCACTCCCCGTGGTAGGAACTCTTGAGTACTTGTCAAATCTGAACTCTCGGCATTTTTACCTCCTTCAGGGAAAACTATTGGACAGGCTCTTACTGAACACCCGCTTTTGTGCAGAATGCACTTCCTGATACTCTGGGAGTTTCAGAGGCTACTAAGGTGTCCTTCTGGCCCTCAAGGAGTTCATCTGGAGACAGGGAGACGACACATTTTCTTCAATAACTAAGAAAAGAAAGGGCAATGAAGACCATAAGGAAATAACAGTGAAGTTTCTTAGGCATCCAAACTTGATGGAGGGGACAAAGGAGGCTTCAGGAAGTTTTAAACTAGAACAGGACTTCAGCGCTCTTAACATTTTGGTCAGATACTTCTCCGTGGTGATAGTTTGTGGGCAGTTAACAGTGGTGGAGGGCTGTCCTGTGCATTGTAGCAAGTTTAGCAGGATCCCTGGCCTCCGCCCACTTAGATGCCATTAGCACCACTAGTTAACAACAATCGAAATTATCTTCACACTGTCAAATGTCCCCGGGAAGCAAAATCACCCCCAGCTGAGAACCACCGAACTAGACCTTGAAGAAAGGGTAGAAGAGGATATCATGTTTGCCTCTTCTATATATAGTACATATTTAAATTTTAAAATATGATATACATTTTAAAAGCAACGGATTTCTCATAGCTGGATTAACTTTGGAATGCCTAACCACCCCATGGCACCCCAGAACTGGGATCCACTGCCCCTACTCTTGGTAGTGCTCTGTGCAGGCCACCTAAGCCCTGTCTTTTTTATGATGAGGCATGATATTAATTGGCTGCTGGAAGCCTCTCTAACTTGCAGAAGAAAGGATCAAAGTCTGCAGTTCAGGGAAGGAAGTTTTGCATTTATCATTGACCCAACTGGGTAATTTAAGAGCGACTTTCTGCTCAGGGTCAACTTCTCAGTGTGGTTTTTAATCCCACTTCATAGTTAGATGATTTGGTCACATCACTTTCCCTCCAAACCCCATTTCCTCGTCTGTTAAATGAGGAAAATCATGGTTCTTACCTCACAGAGTTACTGTAAGGATTGAATGCAATAATGCCTGTAAAGTGCTGGCTCCGTCCCTGGCCATGTGCTAAACACTCTGACATTTGTTGTCTTCCTCATGTATATCATTATTGTGGTTGTCATTAAGTTGGGCTTCCGTTTCAGGACAGTTCAACAGTAAGCAGCCATTCCCTTTGTTGCTGGTGCTTCTGCAGCTATTTTCCTTGCTCACCTATACCCACGCTGGCCCCAGTTTCAACCACAGGGCCGGCTGACCCATTTATTTAGCAGATAGGTGTTAAGCACCTAGCATATGCCAGCCACCATTCTAGGTACCAGGAATACAGCAGTGTCAGAACAGACAAAATTCCCTGCCTCTGTGTGGTTTGTGTCATAGTTGGTGAAGATTTTGCCACATCATAAATACCCTGGTCTTGTCTTTGATGGGTTCTTTTTCTTTTATTTTTTAAATGGTTCTAAGTATGTGGTGCTGGACCAGCAGCATTACTTGGGAACTTGTTAGAAATGAAAGTTTTCAGGTTGTACTCCAGACCCACTGTCAGAAACTCAGGAAGTGGAAGTGGGGGTGAGCAGCACTGGTGTATGGCTTAACAAGTCCCCAACGTCATTCCAATGCACCAAGTTTGTGTGTGAATCAGTGTTTGGGAAAAGAAAGGAGTAGGGGGAAACCCAGGCCGTAACTGGGCTGCAATGTTATATGGTAACATCAAATAAGGTGTTGCTCATATCATGAGATTCTAGTAACATCAGAGTTTACAAAGGATAGTCTTAGGTACACCAAGACACTTAAAACTAGCAGTACCCTTTGATCTCTTTCCTGGGCCTGGCCACCCCTCCTTTAAATGGGAGGGCTTTGGGAGGCCTCCTAAGTCACCACAGCACACGGGACTCAGCAACAGAAATTCTTAGCCTTCCCTAGGCTTTTCCTTGCCTGATATACAAGGAAGTTGCTTTCCCCACTTTTCTCCAGACTTCTGGCATGTTTGACAATTATTTTTTCTTTTAATTCCTTCAGTTTTTATTGGCTTCTTACCTGGCATCATTAAAAAATTTTTATAGCTGCAATCAAATTGCCAACTGGATGGACAAGGCTTATCTGAAAATGAAATGGTAGCTCTCCTTTGTATGTCTGGTAATTTGGGTATTTAAAGATACAGTGAAAAGTAAATGAAATGAGAGACTATGGGAAAGTGTCCAGTGTGGAGCTGGGCACAGGGTGACCGTTTGATAAATGCTGGTACAGTCTTCCCCCCAATCCCAACTCATTATAAAAACCAATAAAGGCATTAAATAGACACCACGGTTCTTTGTGTGAAAAGCTTTGGATTACATACAGTCTGAATGAGTGAATACCATAATGTAAATTGTAACCAAAATAATAGAATCCAAAATCTTAAGTAATGACTTTGAATAAAAATAAGTGTTTTAAAAGTTAGTAACTTTTTAAAAAATAAGTGTAATTAAATAAACTTTTAAATTTAAAAAGATGTTACTTGATTTTTATTTCCTGATAATGGATTTAAAAAAAAAAAAAAAGGCCCAGATCAGACTGGCAGAAATACTTTTATTTCTGCACTAGCCCAAAGCCTGGATATGCTTATAAGGCATATAACCTGTCCATTTAACAGCTGTCATTTAATTCACAAACACTAATTAATTACAGCCATGTTAAAAGGGGTGTTTGGGACGGTTTGGTAGTTCCTTTTGAAGAAAACCTGTGTCTTGAAAATGCATATGAAAGATTACCAGGTTCTGTTATATATAGTCCAGGTTCGTCTTGGTGGTTCTATTCGAAAAATATCTCTCTGACCATCGGTGGGCATTTCCTCTCTCTTTCTGTCTACCTACAGCCAAAACAAGTTCTGGTTACAGTGACAGTTTTAAGTTTGCCATTTGTGGTTGGTTCTATTATAGAGGCTGGGGGAGGAAGGCAAGCAGTCCTCACTTCTTGCTTCCTGCCTTGCTCTAGAGTGTAAGGATCAGCTTCTCTAATCCCTTGACTTTTCACTGCTCTATGTAGTCAGGGTAGACAAGGGGTGGCCCTCAAACAACAGCCACCTCTGGAGGTCTAGCGTGACTAAACCACTGTCTTCTTTTCCAAATCCAGCACTGGGGACCGACGTGTGGGCCTCCCATCTGACTTGTGGAGTGAAAGAAATGGGAATAGAGCAGCGCTGTCCATATAGTCGAGTTTTGTAAATATTTGTCAGATGGAACTAGAGATGCATTATCACATTCGACAGTAACAAGTGGCAAGTGTTGAGCTCTTTTAAGTCTTGCTTTTTATTTCTTATAATATGCAAATAACTGTTAAAATGGCCAGCCAGTTGGCTGTCTGTTTTAGCTAAGGTAGGTCTCTTGCAATTTTTGCACCCTAGGGAGATCTCAATAGGAGTAGGTCTAGCCCTAAACTGTGCAGGATTAGGAATTCTGATTTACTGATCTGGAGGGCGGCTTTGTGTTAATCAGAGTTCTAAAGGCGGACAAACTAGACTGTGAACTTAATACTTACCCTGAGAAGTATAACTGCCAAGTGGACAGTTGCAGAAATTGGTTATTGCCTGTGTTCTCGATCAGAAGGTTATTAGCTGTGTCAGAGTAAAGGCATTGAATGATCCCATTAGTACCTTCCAGCTGTGGTCTCCTCTCTAGAGCGTACCTGCAGGGGAGGGAGTACTGCTAGCCACTTATGGAGCATATGGACACTGTCATTCACCCACCCAGGTGTCCAGTTCCATGACTCTGGTGTGAAACACTGAATTTGTTTGTTACCTTTTTTTTTTTGTAAGAAAATACTTGTTTTTAGTACCTGCTTATTATTTTTTTAAAATAAAAAATATATAAGGAAGTGGAGTGAAAATGAAAATACTTTCTTCATTCCCTCTTGATCTTGCTTCCTTCCCAGAGATAACCACAATCACAGCTTGGCCTTTCCTTTTTATAATCATTTGCAAATCTATATTTTATTTATATAAAAGTAAAAATGATTCAAAAATACAAAAGTGCACATCGTGGCTTGCCCTTTTGCTTAGTATTTCCAGAGACGTAATTCCCTATCTGTATATATTGTTGCTCATTATTCTTTGTAATAGCTGCGCTGCCACTCGTTATATAGATATGCCAGAATGTGTTTAGTTATTCCCATTTGATGGTCATTTCTGTCATTTTTCATTTTAACTATTGCTATTATGAACAGTGCTACATTGGATATCTATGTACATAAGTTTTTGTGCTTGTGTGTATTTCTGTAGGCTGCATTTCTAAGCGTTGAATTTTTATATCACAGGGCATGTATATTAAAATGCTGATAGATTAGATAGGTCCAAATTACCCTCCAAAAAGGCTGAACAAATTTATATTCCCACCACAAGTGTAGAGAGTTGCCTGTTTTCTCATACTTTTTCCAACACTAGGTAACATTAGTCTTTTTGCAGTTGCTGCTCATGCTAGATAGTACCTCCTTTTATTTATTTATTTATTTATTTATTTACTTACTTACTTACTTACTTATTTTGAGATGGAGTCTTGCTCTGTTGCCCAGGCTGGAGTGCAGTGGCATGATCTGGGCTCACTGCAACCTCCATTTCCCAGGTGTTCAAGCAATTCTCCTGCCTCAGCCTCCCCAGTAGCTGGACTACAGGCGCACGCCACCATGGCTGGCTACTTTTTTCATATTTTAGTAGAGTTGGGGTTTCACCGTGTTGCCCAGGCTGGTCTCAAACTCTTGAGCTCAGTCAATCTGCCCGCCTCAGCCTCCCAAAGTGCTGGGATTACAGGCGCAAGCTACTGTGCCCAGCCAATTTTTATTTATTTATTGAGACAGAGTCTCATTCTGTTGCCCAGGCTGGAGTGCAGTGGTGCAGTCTTGGCTCTCTGCGACCTCTGCTTCCCGGGCTCAAGTGATTCTTCCTCCTCAGCCTACTGAGTAGCTGGGACTAGTGGCGCATGCCATCACACCCGGCTACTTTTTGTATTTTTTGTAGAGATGAGGTTTTACCATGTTGCCCAGCCTGCCTCCTTATTTTACTTGTATGTTTTTTAAATTATTGCTGCTGCTACCACCACCACCGCTACTATTACTGCTACTGACTAATGTTTATTGAATGTTTTTATGTGTCAGGGATAGTTTTAAGCACGTTATATGAAATCACTAATTTAAACCTTAACATCTCTATAAAGTGGGTGTGATTATTGTCCACATTTTACAGATGATGAAAAAGACGAATTAGTAAATTTAAGTATCTGCCCTAATTTGCATTTCTGTGAGTAGCCTCTTTGAATTCTTTATCATTTTTGTGCCCAAGGCTATTTATAGTTTTCTTACTGAATTATTGGAACTTTTAATGAACTATAGATAATGGGCTTTCTCTGGTGTGTGTGTGTGTGTGTGTGTGTGTATAGTAAATACAGGCATACCTCAGAGATATTGCAGGTCTGATTCCAGAGCACAGCAATAAAGCAAATGTCACAATAAAGCAAGTCATATGGAGTCTTTGGTTTCCCAGTGCATATAAAGTTTACACTGTACTGTAGTCTATTCAGTGGGCAACAGCATTATATCAAAAACCAACGTACATATTCTTAACTTAAAAATACTATATTGCTACAAAATGCCAACAATCCCCTGAGCCTTCAGCGAGTCATCTTTTTGCTGGTGGAGGGTTTTGCCTTCACACTGAAGACTGTTGCTGTTTAGGGAAGAAGTCATTGAATGCTGGGGCAGCTGTGGCAATTTCTTCACATAAGAAAAAATCAAGTTTTCCACATTGATTGACTCTTCCTTTCATAAAAGATTTCTCTGTAGTATGTGATACTATTTGATAGCATTTTTCCCACACTAGACCTTCTTTCAAAATCAGAGTAATCCTTCCCAAACTGTCCTGCTGCTTTATCAACTAAATTTATGCAATATCCCAAATCCTTTGTTGTCATTTCAACATTGTTCACAGTCATCTTCCATCTCAAGAAATCGCTTTATTTGCTTATCCGTAAGAAGCAACTCCTCATCTATTCAAGTTTGAACATGAGATTGTAGCAGTTCAATCACCTATTAACGCTCCATTTTCATTCTAGTTCTCTTGCTACTTCCACCACATCGGCAGTTTCTCCACTAAGTCTTGAACCCCTGTCATCCATAAGGGTTGGGATCAACTTCTTCCGAACTTCTGTTAATATTGATATTTTGGCTTCCTCCCATTAACCATGAGTGTTGATATTGGCATCTAGAATGGAGACTCCTTTCCAGAAAGTTTGTAATTTACTTTATCCAGATCCTTTGGAGGAATCACTATTTATGGCAGCTATAACCTTACAAAATGTACTTCTTAAATAATAAGACTAGAAATTCAAAATTACTCCTTGATTTATGGGCTGCAGAATGGATGTTGTGTTACCAGCCATGAAAACATTAATCTCCTTGTACATCTCCATCAGAGTTTTTGTGTGACCAGGTCTATTGTCAATGAGTGGTAATATTGTGAAAGGAATCTTTTTTTCTGAGCAGTAGTTATCAACAATGGGCTTAAAATAGTCAGTAAACCATGCTGTAAACAGATGTGCTGTCATTCAAGCTTTATTACTTCACTGATAGATCACAGAGTAGATTTAACATAGTTCTTTTTTCTGACCTGGGCTGGTTCACCCCTCCTTAGGCAACCTGGTGGTCCCCCACTCCCAGGAGGTCGCCATATTGATGCCGAACTTAGTGCGGACACCCGATCGGCATAGCGCACTACAGCCCAGAACTCCTGGGCTCAAGCTATCCTCCCACCTCAGCCTCCTGAGTAGCTGGGACTACAGGCATGTGCCACCGCGCTCGGCGATCTAGCATAGTTCTTAAGGGCCCTAGGGTTTTTGAAATGGTAAACGATCATTGGCTTCAACTTAATGTCACCAATTGCATTAGCCCCTAACCAAAGAGTCAGCCTGTCTTTTGATGCTTTGAAGCCAGATATTGACTTCTCCTCTCTAGCTATGCAAGTACTAAGTGGTATCATCTTCCAATAGAAAGCTGTTTCATCTACATTGAAGATCTGTTGTTTAGGGTAGCCACTTTCATGAGTGATCTTAGCTAGATCTTCTGAATAACTTGCTGCTGTTTCTATGTCAGCACTTGCTGCTTCGCGTTGCACTTTTATGATATGGAGAAGGCTTCTTTCCTTAAAGGTCGTGAACCAACTTCTGCTACCTTCCAACCTCTGCAGCTTCCTCACCTGTCAGCCGTCAAAAGAGCTGATGAGATTTAGGGCCTTGCTCTGGATTAGGCTTTGGCTTAAGGGAATGTTGTGGCTGGTTTGATCTTCTATCCAGACCACTCAAACTTTCTCCATATCAGTAATAAGGCTGTTTTGTTCTCGTGTCATTTGTGTGTTCATGGAGTACCATGTTTAATGTCCTTCAAGACCTTTCCCTTCACATTCACAACCTGGCTAACTATTTGGCACAAGTGGCCTAGTTTTTTGCCTATTTCAGGTTTTGACGTACATTTCCTCACCAAGCTTAATAATTTCTAGCTTTTGATTTAGAGGGAGGGATGTGTGATTCTTCCTTTCACCTGAACACTTAAGAGACCATTGTGGGATTACTAATTAGCCTAATTTCAGTATTCTTGTTTCTTAAGGAATAGGGAGGCCCGAGAAGAGGGTAAGAGACAGGGTACAGCTGGAAGGTGGAGCATTCAGAACACGCACAATGGCTATCAATTAAGTTTGCCATTATATATTGTTACTAAACATTATTTAGTGACATTAGTAATTGCAATAGTGACATCAAAGATCACTGATCACGGATCACCACAACAGACATAATAGTAATGAAAAAGTTTGAAATATTACGAGAATTACCAAAATTTGACAGAGATATGTAGTAAGCACTGTTGGAAAAATGGTGCTGATAGACTAGCTTGATGCAGGGTTGTCACAAACCTTCAGTTTGTAAAACACTGCAGTATCCGTGGAGCACAATGAAATGTGGTATCCCTGTATTGTTTTGCCCAAGCCTATTATGTTTCTTTTGATTTTTCTATGATGTATTTCTTTCTACATATGTTTATTTAGTTTTTATAATGTCATGTGTCACTTAACGATGGGGATATAGTCTGAGAAATGTGTCATTAGGAAATTTCATCATTTTGCAGACATCATAGAGAGTACTTACACAAACCTCATGGTATAGCCTACTATACCCCAAGGTTCTATGGTCTAGCCTCTTGCTCCTAGGCTACAAACCTGTACTGTATGTTACTGGGCTGAATACTGTAGGCAACTTAAACACAGTGGTATGTATCCAAACATAGCAACAGTATAGTAAAAATACAGTCTTATAATCTTATGGGACCACTGGAATATATACAGTCTGCTGTCGACTGAAAGCATCATTGTTTGGCAGATGACTACATGTGACATTACAGTGCTTTTTTTTTGAGACCAAGTCTTGCTCTTGTCGCCCAGGTTGGAGTGCAATGGCACGATCTCGGCTCACTGCAACCTCTGCCTCCTGGGTTCAACCGATTCTCCTGCCTCAGCCTCCCAAGTAACTGGGATTACAGGCGCCCACCACCACACCCAGCTAATTTTTGTATTTTTAGTAGAGACAGGGTTTTGCCATGTTGGCCAGGCTGGTCTCGAACTCCTCACGTCGTGATCTGCCTGCCTCGGCCTCCCAAAGTGCTGGGATTACAGGTGTGAGCCACCACACCCGGCCATTACAGTGCTTTTTTTGAGACAGAGTTTCGCTCTTGTTGCCCAGGCTGGAGTGCAATGGCCTGATCTTGGCTCACTGCAACCTCTGCCTCCCGAGTTCAACCGATTCTCCTGCCTCAGCCTCCCGAGTAGCTGGGATTACAGGTACCTGCCACCATGCCCGGCTAATTTTTTGTATTGTTAGTAGAGATGGGGTTTCACCATGTTGGTCAGGCTGGTCTCGAACTCCTGACCTCAGGTGATCCACCCACCTCGGCCTCCCAAAGTGCTGGGATTACAGGTGTGAGCCACTGCACACAGCCGAAATTACAGCTTTTACAGTTTGAGTTTGGTGGCTTGCTTTGGGAAGGCCTTTCCTAATCTGCAAACCATAACAATATTCTATATATTTTTTCTCCTGGCTTCATAATTTTATTATTTTGATCTTTAACCTCAGTGGAAGGGTGTGTGTGTGTGTGTGTGTGTGTGTGTGTGTGTGTGTGTTTTAAAGGTGTGACTTTATTTTTCCTAAACGAATAGCCAGTTAAACTAGTGCCATTTATTGGATGGTTCCGCTTTCCCCACGCATGCACTTGAAATGCCCTTTTCTCAGAGAGACACAGAGAGAGTGTGTGTATGTGTGTGTGTGTGTGTGTGTGTGTGTACATGCATACATGCATGTATGTGCTGTGTGCATGTGTGTCTGTGTTGTTCTGTCTCTGAACTTTCTACTCTGCTCCATTGATACCTTTATCCCTTTGTAAAGAAGCAGCACACTGTTTTGAATACAGTAGCTTTGTGATATGATTTGCTATAGATAAGGAAAATCTGCTTCCTGTTACATACTTTTTTTTTTCATTAAAATTACAGTTTTTATGTTCATGCTTACTTGCATTTTTACAAATTGAGCTTCTTCTCCCCCATCCACTGTGAGTTTAGGGTTATAAGAAAAAAAACTCTCTGCACTTATTAGATAGTCTACTGCACTGGGAATAGCAGTAAGCTGTTTACATTTTTTCTTTCATCTGATACAACAAACCTTGAGAGTTGGTGCCAATATCCTCATCTGTAGATGAGGAAAGTGAGGCTCAGTGATGAAGCAGTTTGTCCAAGGCTGCATTTCTGGACATTGGCAGAACCAGGGTTCCAGACCAAGTCCAGGAAATTTCGAAACCTCTCTTAACCATTATGCAACCCAGACACGTGGGGTTTTCTCACATGACGAGGGCAGGCCATTGTCTAGGGCGGGTTATCAGGTGTTTCTCCATGTCCTGCAGGGCGGTCAGTGGCTTTTACAGAGTAGAGTGTTTATTGCATGAAGGGAAGACCTAGCAAGATCTCTCTAAAGGATTTATCCATTGGGGCAGCAAGAGTTGAAAAATTTGGCTTTGCCAAGGGTATTTGTTCAGATTTAGGATACAAGTCAAGTTGGGACCACAGGCTAAAGTTTAAGTGAGTGGGGAGAGAAATTATTTACCCAGTGCTTTTTTTTAATGCCAGACACTGTAACCCTTCCTCGGCTCTTTTCTAGAGTTGGGTCTGTGGTTTGGAATACAAAGGTGAGGAATACACAGCCCTGGACATTCAGAATGGGGCAGTAGGCTGGGAGGAGCTGTGCGCACAACCCCAGGAACCTTCTACTTTTTTTTTTTTTTTTTTTGAGACAAAGTCTCGCTCTGTCACCCAGGCTGGAGTGCAGTGGCACGATCTTGGCTCACTGCAAACTCTGCCTCCTGGGTTCAACCGATTCTTCTGCCTCAGCCGCCTGAGTAGCCAGGACTACAGGCGTACGCCACAATGCCTGGCTAATTTTTGTATTTTTAGTAGAGACGGGGTTTCACCATGTCGGCCAGGCTGGTCTTGAACTCCTGACCCTAGGTGATCTGCCCGCCCGCCCCGCCTCGGCCTCCCAAAGTGCTGGGATTACAGGCGTGAGCCACTGCGCCCGGCCCCTTCTACCTTTTAGAAGAAAATGCAACAACGTGTCTTAGCTCTCTAGTGGAGGAACAGAGGTCTCAGGTGGATCCAGAAATGCTTTGCTATAGAGTGGCATTTAAACTGGGACATTCATGTGTCTAAATTACCTAACAGTTTGAGCCCTCCCTTCCCCCGAGGTGGTTGCTTCTTCATTTGAATTCTCTCAGGTGCCTTCTGTTGGTTCTTAGAGGTGAACATCAGAAAAGTAATTTTCTTTGGAGAAGTTTGAAGCAGCCTCCCAAACAGAAGTCCTGTTGAGCTCCCACTGGGAGTTTTGGAAAAGTAATCTCATTTATTAGGAATAGTGTATTGATTTTGTGTGTAAAATGGACTAAGAGGCCTGTGACAATGAGTCCATTTGAAATTGCAAATTTAAATATCTAATACAATAGTTGTGCGGAAATACTACACCAGAATATAAATGATTAGCTGCTTAGTGAATTTCTCATGTGCATGTAATTAATTGGCAGTGGTGGTGGGGATCAAGTTTGTTTTCATATCCTGAGTCCTTTAATTTACCTTTTCTTCAACAATTACTGGTGTAAGTATAGGGGAATTAAATCTTAGTGTCTTTTATAAAAATATATAGTTTTGCTTTGTCATTCATTTATTGTTTTTTGGTCTACATTATCCAATTTTGTATTACACAATAGAAGGCACCTAATCAAAGATTTCTTGTTTTTACTGCATGATTGCACTCTTAATTTTGTGAAAGCATAGGTTTACTTCCAGACTGAGAGGTAAATGAATAATTATTTTGTGATTTATTTAGCACTTGCCGCCCCAATCTTGTTTTTCACGTCTGCAGTTATGGCTGAAATATCTTATTCCATTCCCAGCCTCTCTGTTGGTGGTATCTGCCTGATCTCCACCTAGTGTCATTGTGGGATCGTGGCCACACATGGGCCTTCCAGGGCTGTGCTGTTGGTGACCAGTGGTGCTTGTAACCCTGAAGTGTTGGCATGGCCTCAGCTGACTGGGCTTTCCCTCATGCCCAGGGCTTAAACTTGAACTCTGCCTGCTCTGTTAGCAGTTTTTCTCTACATTTCTTTTAAAATAGACTTTCACTTCTTCCTTCCCATCCCCCCCAATACAACTGCCCTGGCATCCTGGCTTTTTCCATTCTTGACAAATGATCTGTCCACTGTAACTGTAGCTCCACTGTGCTGATATCTGTTGAAATTAGACCTAGAATCTAAATGTGGCTCCATGAAACTATGGGTGAGACATTTTTTTTCTTCAAATAGTCTATGGTTTATTGGCACCCCAAACCACCTATCCATACCTTCTCCACTGTGATGCTGGGGGAAGAAAATGGGGTAATATATGTGTAAAAGTGACTGAGAATGAAAAGTTCTGCATAAGGTACAATGTTAGCTGGGGTTTTTGCATATATAATAAGAAGACAAATGTTCACTACCACTCCTGCCTGCCTTCCCTGGGCATATCGAACTGATTCCAGCCTAATAGCATTTCTTATCATATAATGGGAATCACAAACCCTCCCTATGTCCACTCCTACAGCGCCTTCTTACCCTAATGAGGCTTTGTAACTCAAAGATTTAAACATCTCATTTATGCTCCATTGACTGAGTTAACCAAACACTTTGTATTTGGCCCTTTCCTCTTAGAAGTTCAGAACAATAATATGGTCCTGAAACTACTCCTGCAAAATCTGCTTAGGGAAGAAGGGTCGGCCAGGGCAGGGGTTACATTGGGGTTTGCAGTGTAGTCAGGCACCAGGGACCTGGCAGGTTGGGTGGGATCAATTCTTTTCACCTCAGGGCTCCAGTTTCTCATTTGTCAAATAAAAGTGATTTCTAAGGCCCCCTTCTGCTCAGACCTTCTGTGACTGTCCACTAAGCCACAGAGACTCACTGTGGCCATTGAATTCTTGGGGACCTCAGGGAGGTTTTGCTGCCGAAGTGACTGCCCATTCTGCCGGCATACATTTGGACTACCATTTGAGGTGACTTGGAGAGAATGTCACTGTGGAAGTTGGCCTTCCTGACACCTGCCACACACCTTCCATGCCATGCATCTCCTCTTTTCGAAGTCCTAGGAGCTCCTTGATGATATTTACTATTTACATTTGCATCTCTGATAGTGCTCTTTCCAAGTGAGTTGGCAGCAGTTCATTTAAATTCTGAAGCAGATCTCTGAGTTAGGGTTTGGTTCTTCTGGCCTTTGAGATGGGTGCTGCCCAGCACAGCAGGCCTCGGTGAACACCGCTGTTCACCAAGGGACTTTGGTCCCTCTCCTGCAACGATTCAGTGAACTGCCTTGAAGCTCTCGCAGGGACTCTGAAGTACTGAAATGTTTATTTCTAAGTTAGAGGCGAGGAAATGAAACTAAGGTCACAGACATTTAGTGATTTTCTTTTCTCCCAAGGTGAGGGAGGTGGTTAAGGGCTTGGACTTTGGAGTTTAAAATCTCACCAGCTGCGGGAACTCAGGCAGTCATTTCTCTTTTCTAGACCCAAACTTCCTCTTTTATTTTTTATTTTTTTTTATTTTTTGAGATGGATTCTTGCTGTGACACCTAGGCTGGAGTGCAATGGTGCGATCTTGGCTCACTGCAACCTCTGCTTCCCGGATTCAAGCGATTTTCCTGCCTCAGCCTCCCAAGTAGTGGGATTATAGGCATATGCCACCATGCCTGGCTAATTTTTGTATTTTTAGTAGAGACGGGATTTCACCATACTGGCCAGGCTGGTCTCGAACTCTTGACCTCAAGTGATCCACCTGCCTCGGCCTCCCAAAGTGCTGGGATTACAGACGTGAGCCACCACGCCCAGCCCCCAAGCTTCCTCATCTAACATGGGACGGTTAATGACTTACCTCTCAGGGTTGACTGGGAAGGGAGCGGCTGAATGAGAACCAATGTTGGGAATGTAGACAGGGTCAGAAAGGTTAGCCCTCTGATACGTGCTAAGCAAAGATTAGAGTTGGTGCTGAAAACAGGTCTCTTGCCTAAATCTTGGATTAGTACACAACTTCCACATATAAAGAGTTAGGGGCATCTTTAGGTAGATAAATCTATTTTAATTGTTCCGTAAATATATTTAGAAGAATTTTGGTCAACATGGATTTGGTGCAAATTTCGTTGCAGCTTTTTTTCCCCCTTTTGTTATTCTAAGCTGCCCTACAATGATATTTTTAGAAATTTCTGGGAACTCAAGACTGTCATTGCCAGGGCAGAGCCAAAACACCAGAGGTTCTCGTAGACCAGTGGTTCTCAACTGGGGAATGTTCTGCCCCTCATGTGACCTTTGGCAATGTCTGGAGACATTTTTGATTTTCGTAACTGGGAGTGGGAGATGCTATTGGCATCTAGTGCGTAGAGGCCAGGGATACTGTTAAACATACTATAACATATGTGACAGCCTCCCCACAACAAAGAATTATCCAGCCCAAAATGTCACTAGTGCCAAGGTTAACAAGTCTTGCTCTCAGATAATTCTTTGCCTATCACAGGCATTCTTTGTCCCCAGCTACAGTGTCATATAAGCCATCTCAAACAAGGGTATATTCGTTGTCCCCCTTATCCACGGTGTTGCTTTTCGTGCTTTCAGTTACCTAAGGTCCAAAAATATTACATGAAAAATTCCAGAAATAAACAATTCATAAGTTTTAAATTGCACTCGGTTCTGAGTAGCATCATTAAATACCACCTGGGACTTGAGTCATCCCCTTTGTCCGGTGTATTCGCACTATGTTACACTATTCCCCAACCCTCATTCCTTACTGTATAGGAAAAAACAGTATGTATAGGGTTTGGTACTATCTGAGGTTTCAGGCCTGCAGTAGGGGTCTTGGAATGTATCCTCGGAGGATGAGGAGAGACTACCGTATTTTTTCCGGAAAGTCTAGGACCATTTCTCAAACTAAGAGAAGGACAAAGTTGGAGAGGAAACTGTTTCTGTTCTGCATAGTTTGAGATATGTACAATTTTGAGACCCAATCCAATTTTTTTCCAACCACTTTCTTGTGTGTTTTTTTTTTCAGTATCTTAACCCACATTGATGTTTTATCTTCTGTAAGCACTAAACAGTGGCAAGTTACACAAATAAAATGTGTGCTTACTACATTTTAATTGCTCTTTTTTATGCAAATAATAATAGATGGTTTTTTTGTTCTTACACATTGATTCCTGGGGGAATTTTAATATTTTATTAAATATTAAATAAAATGCCCTATTTTTTTCCTTTCAAATTGAACCACCCTAGTTATAATGAGCCATCAGTTCTAAAATGAATCCTCTCTGTTAAAATGGCAGCTTGTTCTAACTAATCATGCTTTGAGTATTCTGCTGTAGTTAATCAAAGTTAAAATAGGAGGTTATATTTTAAATATAAATTCTACTTTTAAATTCTAAATTTGCTATTTTTCCATTCTGGAATATTATGATAGGGTTACCAGATAAAATACACGATGCCAAGTTCAATTTGAATTTCAGATAAACAACAAATAACTTTTTTAGTATAAGTAGGTCCCATGCAATATTGGGGATATAGATATTTTTTAAATTTGTTGTTTGTTTGAAATTCTAATTTAACTTACTTAATGCTCTGTATTTTTATTTGCTAAATCTGATAACTCTAAAGATAGGACTCAGGATAATTGGAAAATACCAGGAAATACCACTCACGTCTGACATCTCCCTGCATAACTTTATCTTGGATGTTTTACTTTACAAAGTATTAAGTAATAAATCTCGTATAGTTATTTGCCAAAGAGAAGGAAATAAATTTCTGAAGGGAATTTAGAAAATTTGTCCCATAAGCACATTTATTGGTCTTAAAGGGTAGCTTGAATAAACTGGAGTTAGTTGTTCACGTGACATTCAGAAGTACCATATTTGACATAACACCTCAATTCCAGAGGGGAAACTTGGATGGGAGAGAAAAATCCTTTTTATGGGTTGGCTTCTAGAGATTACCTAGAACTTAAGTGAGGTGATTTTACTCTTTCTTCTTTTCATAAGCAGTAGGATTCACTTCAGAGTTGAGGGCCTGTTGCAATAGAGGGACATGTTGATTATAAAAGAATTGGGTTATTTTTGGCTAAAGCAGGCAGATCACCTGAGGTCAGGAGTTTGAGACCAGCCTGGTCAACATGGCAAAACCCCATCTGTAATAAAAATACAAAAATTAGTTGGGCATGGTGGCGCACACCTGTCATCCCAGCTACTTGGGAGGCTGAGGCAGGAGAATCACTTGAACCCAGGAGATGGAGGTTGCAGTGGGCCAAGATGGCGCCACTGCAGTCCACCCTGGGCAACCAAGAGAGACTCTGTCTCAAGAAAAAGAAAAAAAAGAATTAGATTATCTTTGGAAAATAGCAAAAAGGCCCAACCAAAATTCTCACTTAAAACACAGAATTCACAAGAGTGTGCTGAAAATGAGCATGCCGGAGACACGGTATTCCTCAACACTTCTCGTCATCAGCTGACACCTGAATCTACCCGGTGGGAGGAATGCAACTGTCTCTGGATGCCACTATCATTACATCTCTGTGGCCTCAAATGGGTCCATTGCAGAATCTTGCTATCTTCAGTGACCTTAAAGATGTTTTTGCTTCTGGAGAAGGAACCAGCTGCATCAACGGTGATCTGCTGACTTCATACAGTACTCCGTCTGCTCCCACCTCGCATCCCATGGCCCAGTGTCCCGTGAGCTGAGATTTGCCTTCTGCTGACGGTGTCCTGCCTCAGGTGCCAGGAGCACTGCTTTTTGCTTTTTTGTCTCTCTAGGAGCAGACTGAACATATTGCAACCTGTGAGTCGGAGGGGGGTCAACACCCCAGGGCCACCCTCTACCAGTGGGAATGGAAGCCAGTGGATAAATGGCCCTACTTCCTAGAAAAGTTCCAGGGGGCATTCTGGATGCTTCTTGGGAGGCCTCAGCAGAATGAAGCCCCTGTTACCTGTAGCCATGACCTTCTACACACACTCTTCAATAATACACCCACCTCACTCTCCCTCCTCCTAGGATCACTTCCCAATAAACTACCTGCACACAACTCCTTGTCTCAGCCTCTGTTTTTGGAAATATCTAAATTTAGACACCTATTACATTAGTCTGGTAGGGCTGCCATAAGAAAGTACCACAGACTGGGTGGCTTCAACAGCAGAAATCTATTCTCTCCCTGATCTGGAGACTGGAAGTCCAAGATGTTGTCAGGGAGGTTTCCTCTGAGGCCGCTCTCGGCTCCAAGATGGCTGCCTCTTCACCTGGTCGTCCCTCTGTCATAAGCTCACCGGGTGTCTTTTCCTTCAGATTGGATTTGGGCTTACCCCAATGGCCTCTTTCAACTTAATCACCTCTTTAAAGGTTCATTCTCCAAATACAGCCACATTCTGAGGCACTGGGGGTTATGACTTCAACATAGGAATTTAACGGGGACGTGGGGGTGGGCGTTTAGCCCAAGGCACCTGTGAAGGAGAAAAATCTGATTTAGAATACAAGCTACCCCAACATAATTGGCCTCAAGATTGTGGCTGTTTTCAAAAAACTCTTCCATCTTGTATAGAACTCACCTACTCTGGGGCCTTGGGGAGGGGGGTCTGTGAACATGGAGGCCATGGTGTTCGTTGGCCACCTCCTTTTAGATTAACTGCGCAGCCTGTGTCTTCACTTCTGCTCTGTACATGGAGAAGACAGGGAAGGCAAGGCTGCTGCTTACCTGAAGGAGTTCAAAGTGTAAATAAGACAAGCCCATTAGATCTATCAGGGGAAAGCCGTTTAGGTTTGTTTGAGACAAGATATATGGTGTAGACCACAGACCTTACGTTTAGGGAAAGCGTACTTCTTCAGTGGGCTGAGTTTCTTGTAACAGAAGGTGTGGTCGGATGATTACAGCTGGGGTTGAATTAGATGATTTATGGAACAGCTTCTGCCCTGAAATTTTCTGATTGAGAGATGGATGTGGTCTGGAGTATGTGAAAATGGGATAGATGGAGGGAAGGTTAGGGGAGAGGTGAACAGGGCCTCTTCCAGGGTCTTGTGGAAGACCCTGTTCGACGTTTCCTCACGTAGACTGTCTGATGAGGCTCTTCCAGGGTGTGGTATGGCCAGGGTGTGTTAAATGTAGGGAGCACAAGGCAAGAAAGGGCTGCACCAAGCTGCTTCCTGCCTCAGGGCCTTTGCACTTGCTGTCCCATCTGCCTGGAATGGCCTTGCCTCACATCTTCATATGACCTTGGCTCCTTGTCATCTATTGACTCACCTGTCACTTCAGAAAAGCCCTTGCTACCATCTGGTCTGCCAGTCACTCTTTATCCTATTTTCATGTTTTATTAACATTCATCACCATCTGCAGTTAGACTCTTTTGTTTGCCTAGTGCCCACAATGTTGCCCGACGCTCACTAGGTGCTCTGTGAATATTTGCTAAATGAATGAAGAACTTGAAGGAAGCTGGCAGTGGGTGGACTCGCTGAGATTAAGGGGCATGGAAGATTACTCAAGGCAGCCTCAGCCCCTTTCTAATGTTTTGTTTTGTTTTTAAATTCAGACTCTGTGGACTCAGTTCAATTCACACAATTGCCAAGTGCCTGTCTGTGTCGTGCATTATGCTAGTTAGATCCCAGGAATCAAATGAATTAGACCTGAAGGAGATTACAGACCAGTTCTATGGTTCAGGTTGTTAATGTGGGCCCCTGGATAGAATTCTAGATATTACTTAATTTTTTTGTGTGACTACCCTCTAACTGAAATTTAGCGTTTTCTTCTAGTATGAACGTAGGCACTAAACCACAGTAGAACTGGCAGTGTGTTTGACTGTCACCCATAGAAATAGATATTTTCATATCACATTACACTTGTTGCAGCTGTCTTGAAATATTGTTTATGCTCATCATGACTTCAAAATTACAGTAATTTTTGACCTGCTGCTGGATCTTTTTATTTCACGCACTAACACAGAAGAACATAGATTACTGTATGATAAATTGCTTTTTAATATTTTGAATAGCTATATTTCAATACAAAGTGTTTCCTTTGTAATCCCATATATATATATATTTTCTTTTTTAAGACATAAAAAAGCACTAGCCTGAGAAAAGGGGTCCAATAGACTTCATCAGGAGGCCAAAGGAGGCGTCTATGGCACGAAAACATGAATTCTGGTGGAATTATGTGAAAAGAGAAGTCCTATCACTCCTTAAAATCATGTTAATGAAGATTCCTATCAAATGTGGTCCCCACCCCCTGCTCTGGGTTTACTGCTTCCCTGTGAATCTTCTCCACACTTTTGTTAATTTTGGGATGGAAGTTTGAGAGAGATACTTTTTTCATAGATAGGTTGGAAGTGATGCTCACCTTATCAGGACTGTAAGAGGATATTGCAAGCTTTGATGATTGAGCAGAAAAATCTTTGCACAGCTGGTCAGAACAAGCTTGTCCTGCCTTGTGGGAGGGACAGAGTTTTCCAAATGATCTTTTGGTTAAGACCTTAATTAAAAACAGCCTAAATTCACTTGTGGCAAGAATTTATTAAAGGAAGATAACCATGAGCAAATCCACGTTGTGGTATAAGAAAAGGGAGCACCATCGTTAAAAAAGTCAGAGGCTTGAATTCTGGTGAACTTAGCACAAAGAAGCAAGAAAACTTTAGACTGGTTTCTTAACAGTTTGCTATCTGTATAACTAGGGGTGAATTGATCTCAAAGACCTAAGAATCTGTGGACTTAAAGACACTGATTTGTGGCATAATTCGAGGTAGTTTAAACTGGAATATCAAGGTGTCAGAAGAAAAATGTACAAGTAATACATCTCAGTTTCTTTTCTCCTACGCCACTTAAATCTTAGACCCACCGAAAGCTCTAAATGTATCAGTGGATTTTTCATTATTTCCAAAAATATTCTGCTTGCTCTTTCTGAATAAACTATAGAGAGAAACACAGGTTTCTCTTCAGGTGCCTTATTAAGTTTAACTGTTGTATAGTACAGCTTTGCTTCTTTGTTTCATTTAGGACCAGAAGGGGTCCAGGTAGCTGAATATCCCTTCCTTGCCCTGACATCCCCATTCACTGCAGCAAGCTTTATAATGCCTGTGGTCATCCTTGGTATGAATGAGCACTGGAGACCCCACCATGGGCAGTACTAAGCAGAATCAGGCTTCTGTTCATCAGAATGAACAAAGGCACACGCATAAAATGAGAGCGTGGCAGATGGAGAGGGGTGGGGAGCCTAGAGGGTGACTGGCTGCAGGCCTCAGCAGTGGAGACAAGGGCACAGGAACATGGCGCCAGGGCCGACAGATTTGGCGTCAGCCGTGGATGCTCTGCATAGCACCCATCTGTAAATGGGTGTGGTCCTGGACAAGTGAGGTCCTGCTGGATTATTTAAGAATATTTTATGGTGAGTTGTATTTGTTCTTTCCAGCAACAGCTCTTTGAAGTAGTTTAGTGGTATATCCATTTTACAGTCAGCACTTCAGACTCAAGTTTGGTGATCACATGCCCCAAGTCTCCAACTCCTGGGCTCAAGCAATCTTCCTTCCTCAGCCTCCCAAAGTGCTGGGATTGCAGGCATGAGCCACTGCACCTGGCCGATGTGCCCCAAGTCATGTAAAAAATTAATAGACAATGCAGAATATATGGGAGAATGACGTATTGCTGGGCCTTTTTGATTTGCTAGTGAGACCAGAACACTTTAACATACTAAAAGTTATAGCTGGTTAGCAAGCCAACTTTTTAACTTCAAAAGATAGGGAAAAATAAGCATTATTAAAACTCATTGACTTGGCCGGGCACAGTGGCTCACACCTGTAATCCCAGCACTTTGGGAGGCCAAGGCAGGTGGATCACAAGGTCAAGAGATCGAGACCATCCTGGCCAACATGGTGAAACCCTGTCTTTACTAAAAATACAAACATTAGCTGGGTGTGGTGGCGCACGCCTGTAGTCCCAGCTACTTGGGAGGCTGAGGCAGGAGAATTGCTTGAATTCGGGAGGTGGAGGTTGCAGTGAGCCGAGATTGTGCCACTGCACTCCAGCCTGGCGACAGAGGGAGACTCCGTCTCAAAAAAATAAATAAATAAAGTAAATTCATTGACTTGCTGAACACCATAATTAAAGGGATTCTGGAGGTAAGAAAAAGGTGCTCCTTTTGTTGTTATATAACAACAATAAACATTATTGTTACTATTATTACAGCCCTTATCTTGCTTTCTTTTCTTGTCCCTATCAACCTTCCCTGGAAGAAAGAGAACTTTTCCAGGCTAAGATCATACATTAAAGAATTGTCCTTTTTTTTTTTTTTTTTTTTTTCCAAGACAGAGTCTCTCTCTGTTGCCCAGGCTGGAGTGCAGTGGTGTGATCTCAGCTCACTGCAACCTCCGCCTCCTGGATTCAAGCAATTCTTCTGCCTCAGCCTCCCGAGTAGCTGGAATTACAGGCATGTACCACCACGCCCAGCTAATTTTTGTATTTTCAGTAGGGATGAGGTTTCACCATGTTGGCCAGGTTGGTCTCAAACTCCTGACCTCAGGTGATCCACCTGCCTCGGCCTCCCAAAGTGCTGGGACTATAGGCGTGAGCCACCATGCCTGGTCTAAAGAATTGTCTTTACGATAGAGGAATGTTTGACTTTAGCACATTTCTGGTAAAATCAAGATTCTAGATCGGGGTGTCCAATCTTTTGGCTTCCCTGGGCCACGTTGGAAGAAGACTTCTTGGGCCACACATAAAATACACTAACACTAACAATAGCTGATGAGCTAGGAAACACACACACACACACACACACACACAGAGAGAGAGAGAGAGAAAAATTTTGTAACGTTTTAAGAAACTTCGTGAATTTCTGTTGGGATGCATTCAAAGCTGTCTTGGGCCACATGCGGCCCGTGGGCCGGAGGTTGGACAAGCTTGTTCTAGACGTTCTTCCTCTGTCTCTCTATGTTAGATGCTTTCCCACGTTAGCAGTCCTTTTCCCCTCCTCTCTTAAATGACCAAGCAGGACTAGGAAAGCATAAAGGCAATGAGAACACGCTGCCTGGGATTTAAGCCCTTGAATTCCAATAAGGTTCTAATATGGACTTCTACTAAAGCATAATGGTTAATTCCATTTAGAGAGTGGGGAACATCTTTCATACTTTTTAAAACATCAGGCCAGGTGCAGAGGCTCATACCTGTAATCCCAGTGCTGTGGGAGGCTGAGGTGGGAGGATCACCTGAAGCCAGGAGTTTGAAACCAGCCTGGGCAGCACAGTGAGACCCCATCTCCACGAGAATGTTAAAAATTAGCCAGGTGTGGTGGCATGTACCTGTAATCCCAGCTATTTGGGAGGCTGAAGTATGAGGATCCCTTGAGCCCAGGAGTTCAAGGCTGCAGTGGTTGCAGTAAGCTGTGATTGTGCTGCTGCACTCCAGCTTGGGCGCAGAGTAAGACTCAGTCTCTTAAAAATTTAAAGTCATTATTCCCAGGTGGAGTGTACTACTGAGAAATAGAAGTCCCTTGGTTGGACCTAGCTTATAAGAAACTTCAAAGCAGTCATTGCCAACTACAGGTGATGATTGGTAATTTGAGCAAAATTTGATAGCTTTTGAAATGGCATCAATTTAAAAGAAGTAGTTTTTGTTTCTTGATCCGGGGCAAGGCTATTATTCTGGTTTCCAATACCCTTTATCCATCTGAAGAGCATCAAAATTGGCGGGTGCCAATCAAGTTTGGAAATGGAACTGAGCAGCATAGTAACCTATAGAAAATTCATGAATATAGAAAATTCAAGATCATACATTAAAGAATTGTCTTTTTTTTTTCAAAAAAATTTTTTTTCTAAAAATGTAGTGTTATATTAAAATGTAGTGAATATTATAATAATTCTAAAAATGTAGTGTTTATATTGTTTTCCTGCTTAAGTTAGGCCAAAGTTGGTAAAATGCATTTTAGAACCCTATTTTTGTTAAGGAGAGCACAGAGCCACTGGTTTAGAGAAGTTTGTAATATCCAGAGGATGAAGAAAACGGACACTTGTCATTCTGAGTTCACGGGAACGGGAGAAACTGAACCCTTTTAGGTTGATCATCAGCTTGATGTGAAGGGACTTGAGAGATTCTCTAATCTATTCTTTCCTTTAACTGGTTAGGAAGCAGAGTCCAAGAGAAATGCCCTGCCCAGGGTCTGGCAGAACTGATGGAGAGCAGCCTTCGTGGCTACCACCTTCCCATAAAGTCTGTGCTCTCCAGCGGCGCTTGGTAATAAGATTTATTTAATGACACGTGTAACTCTAAGACTATTTGTGATGGCGAATACCACAGATTTGACTGGGTAATGTGATATTTGTTATTTGCTTTAAGTTAACTTTAGCCTTTAGCACAGTGTGATGGAAAGGGCACCAAACTTGTGATCTAGAAGACTTGGGTTCAAGTTTCAGATTTGAATTAGCTTTGCTTCTGCAAATCTGAGGACCCTATTTTCTTAATCCATGAAATGGGAATAATAATACTCACCCAATTTACCTTACACAGTCGTGAGGATTCATTGTAATGGGCTTTGTAAAAATATAAAGTGCTATATAAACATAAGGGTGTTAATCTCCTGTCTTTGGTGACAGGCTAAAAAGACATACTTGTTTCAAATTTTGGATACTCTAATTTGCATAATCTTACACATTCTCTTTCTCTATTTTTAACTCTATGTTTTCCCCATCAGATTTTTTTCTGTTAGGAGTTACAATATCTCTCTTCAACTGGGCTTTGCCTCAAGGTGTATAAACTTAAAGCATTATCTCCGGTGCAGTTTGTCAGTGTCTCGGCATATTTGAAATTTTTAGTACTGCATTTGGTATATGAAAGCTGCATCCTATGTAAGACCATAGGATATTTAAACAGATGTTCAAATTTCTATTGTGAAAATCCTAGCTCATTCCTTGCTAGAGATGAAGCACTGAGGACAGTACAATCACCACCTTAAAACAAACCACCTAAGCACAGCTTTGGCTGCACAGATTGGAAGGGAATCTGGTAATTACACTCTTTAGTTCTTCTGTGAATATAACCAATCTGGGCAATTTGGGCACCAGAGTGGATTTTTAGGCATGAATTATCTGGTTAAGTTAGCCAGATAATTGCCAGCTGTCTCCCGTGCTTTCTGCTCTGGAGACCCCAGCCGGAGTAATTGTCTTCTGTTTACTCATGCAAGCAAGTTGCTGGTTTCCATTTTCAAACAAAAACTAACTGCATGTTAGAATGGTATTTTAATTGAGCTATTTTTGTTGCTGATTCAGAGATTCCCCCACCCTTTGCCAAAGGAGTTGCCCAGATTAGAACCCATTAATTTAGTTGATTTGGGGGGTTCCTTGTTGACTTTGGGGAAGACATAAATATTATAAAAGAGATTTAGAAGTTGATGGTATAAGGTTTTCCGAAACATTCAAAACTTATCTCAAATTCTGACCAAACATTTTTCTACTAATTTTCCTAACTAAATGGAAACTCCAGCTGTATAAATAATGATTTTTGTTTGAAAACATTTTTTCTCTTGATTTTAGAACCATCGAGGGAATTAAATTATAAATAAGTAGCAGGAAAGAACAACTTTGTCAATGTGAAACAGAATGCAAAATTACTCACATTTTGAACTGAGTTCCAGAATGTAAAGCAACGCTTTAGCATGGGCTGCTGAAGCGAGCTGCTCTTTAGGGAGGAGGAGGAGGCTTACTGAGACGTTTTGTTTGTTTCTTTATTTTATTTATTAATGTATTTGCCATTTCTCCATTAGATCTGATTTTAATACTGTAAGTCTTTCCACTGATTACAAGTGCAGTGACATGTCCCTCTGCAACCATCATTTTCCTCCCATTTTTTCTTTTCTCTTTTTTAAAGAGACAGGGTCTCTGTCACCCAGGCTTGCATACAGTGGCGTGATCATAGCTCACTGCAGTCTCAAACTCTTGAGTTCAAGTGATCCTCCCACCTCAGCCTCCTGAGTAACTAGGACTAGGTGCATGCCACCAAAGCCTGGCTAATTTTTTAAATTTCTTTGTAGAGAGGGGTCTCACTATGTTGCCCAGGCTGGTGTCAAACTCCTGGGCTCAATCCTCCTGCCTCGGCCTCCCAGAACATTGGGGTTACAAGCATGAGCCACTGTACCTGGCCCTCCTCCAATTTTTTCTTAAGAAAAAAGAGAATTCATACTTCATTTACCTGACAGTCCTCATCCCATTTAAGTGTATACAATGGAAATACGTACATTTATGACCAATATTGGTCTCTTTCTTTCTGTAGGTTTGAGTTTTGATTATAGACTTCGATGGAGAAAGCAATGGCGCCACAACCCAGCCAGGGTGCCCTGCCAGGACTTCCTCATCTCTTGCAGTGAAACCCCCTTATCAAACATTACGTGCTATCTGGCCCCCTTTGTCATACTTTCTTGCACTCCACTTACTACATATCAAGGATTTGCCATGTTGTGGAAAAGTTGGTTTCATAACATATTTTGAACTCTTATTTAAGGGAGTTGTTTTTCTTATATTCTTCATTCCACAAATACTTAACCAAGGCATATTTTGCCACAGGTACATGACTTCCAAAGAAATCATAACTATAGTTATCCAAAAAAATTAAAATAATTTAGTAATGTCCACATCGTCTTAAACACTCTTCCAGAATGTTCCAAAGGAACAAATGGTTGCAGTGACTTTTAACTTTAGCCCCAGCCTACTTCCAGCTAAGGCAGTTCTCACTGCAGATATATGTATTCATTGGTCCAAAGAAAGAGAGAGGAAAACTTGGCTCCCGAGTATTTAGAGTGAATGATTCACGATTCTGTACATGGGAGTCTTGGCTCCTTCTCTGTCTCTCAGGCTTTTTGGTAGGAAGTCAATGATACCAGTAGAAAAAAGGCTGTTTTTCTGACTTAGGATTTGGTCCGCTCTCTGCAACCCACTAGAGAAACTGAAGTTTTCTTTCCATAATGATCTGAAGTGTTGATAGTTACCATCTCTGTAAAAGCTCATTAAAAAATGACTTATTTTCCTTTGGAAGGAGAGGTCACATGCTGGAGCTAGCAGTGGAATATCAGGACCAAGGATCATAAGCCTCCTGCTGTAACTCTGGTTTCCAGATTTATTTGAGCCTACTTCTGCCAGAAGTAAATTTGGTGGGCATCTTGAATGGAGAAATGAACAGATGATCAAGGAGAGGGAAAAGGGTCAGGAGTAGGGGTGGGAAGACCCCAAAATCCAGTGAAAAGGGTCAGGGGTAGGGGTGGGAAGCCCCAAAATCCAGTGTGGCAGATAAGGGGAGGCCCAAAATCCAGTGTGGCAGACAAGGGGTGAGGGCATCCGAAACACACAGTTTACTATTTTAACCATTTTTAGGTGTATGATTCAGTAGCATTGGCTACATTTACAATGTTATGCAAGCATCATCCATGTCCAGATTTTTTTCACCGTCTCTAACAGAAAATCTACCATTGAACAATAACTCCCCTCCCATCCCTCTAGTCCCTGGTAAGCTCTATTCTACTTTCTGTCTGTATGAACTTGACCACTCTAGATACCTCATATAAGTGGAATCATAAAATATTTACCCTTCTGTATCTGCCTTATTTCACTTAGCACAATGTCTTTAAGTTTCATTCATATTGTAGCATGTATCAGAATCTCATTCTTTTTATCTCTGAATAATATTCCATGGTATGTATAAGGCCCCATTTTGTTTATCTTTTCATTCATCAATGGACATTTGAGTTGTTTTCTTCTCTTGGCTATCGTGAATAATGATGCAATGAACATGGATGTATGAGAGTATCTTCTGTTTGAGTCCCCTTTTAAAATTCCTTTGGGTATATATCCAGAAGTAGAATTGCTGGTCATATGGTAATTCTGTGTTTAGCTTGTGTTTTTGTTTTTGTTTTTTTGAGATGGAATCTTGCTCTGTTGCCCAGGCTGGAGTGTAGTGGCATGACCTTGGCTCACTACAACCTCCACCTCCTGGGTTCAAGCGATTCTTCTGCCTCAACCTCCTAAGTAGCTGAGATCACGCGTGGGTAATTTTTTTTTTTTTTTTTTTTTTAGTACAGACAGCGTTTCACTGTGTTGGCCAGGCTGGTCTCGAACTCCTTACCTCAAGCCATCCACCCACCTTGGCCTCCCAACGTGCTGGGATTATAGGCATGAGCCACCGCTTCCGGCCATATGTTTAACTTTTTGAGGAACTATCAAACTGTTTTCCACAGCGGGTGCCCCATCTTACAATCCTACTAGCCATGCACTAGGGGATTGACGCGGATCCTTTCTTTGACCCATCCGCATGTCACCCAACCTTTTTTTTTTTTTGCTAACCAGCAGTTTGCTCAACAGGCCTCATCCTCATTCATCACTGGGTCTCCTTTTGCTGTTTGCCGAGTCTGCCTGCCCCTTTGGTGTTGGCTTTGGCTAGAGAAAGGAGCATATTTGTTTTGCTACTGACCTGGTTGGACATGCATGCCAGCCTGTTTATGAGGTGCTTTCTCTGGCTGAGGGAGTCAGGGGCTGTGCAACTGTATTCTTTAGTGTGAAGGTGAGCCAACACAGCGAAGTATGCTCGCCCTGCCTCCTCCAGAAACAATCTGCCTTTGAGTCTTTTCATTCTCCTGGTAACCGTCTTCTTAATAGCTGTGGCTTCATCTAAATGAAAAATTTATCTTGTGCTGCTTACCCAAAGGAGAGGCTCCTCACATGTCAGATATTATTTCACCAATTATCTCAGTAACTTCTGTGCTTTTTATTCCTGAAAGCAAAGTTGAGAATGATGCAGGTTTCCACAACATGCGGTGTTTCGTGCATTTTTATCCTTACGTAGTTACAAGAAACAAAGCAAAATTTAGAATTATTTGAAGTACTTTTAACACCCTCAATTTGATATGTTGTGTGTATATTTATATCTGGACACAATTCTTTTCATTGAACAGTATAGACAAAGCATTTAGAGGACAGTTAAGTTTCTCCAATAATCATGTTTAAACATATCTCAGGCCGGGTGAGGTGGCTCATGCCTGTAATCCCAGCACTTTGGGAGGCCGAGGCAGATTGGATCACCTGAGGTCAGGAGTTGGAGATCAGCCTGGAAAACATGGTGAAACCCCGTCTCTACTAAAAATAGAAAAATTGGCCGGGCATGGTGGCAGGCACCTGTAATCCCAGCTGTGCAGGAGACTGAGGCAGGAGAATCACTTGAACCTAGGAGGCAGAGGTTGCAGTGAGCCAAGATTGCGCCATTGCACTCCAGCCTGGGCGACAAGAGCAAACTGTCTCAAAAAAAAAAAAATCTCAAATCTATTTTTTAAATTTAACCTTTGAAACATTTGTGTAACGCAGGTGGCTCATGGGCACCACCATCTTCTTTTGGCAGATGAGGAAACAAACCTGTCTGTCAACACAGAAAGCTGGGTCTGCTCAAGAATTGCTGTGGGGTACAGTGGCAATAGCAGGGACAAGAGGGATGCAGGGGTCCTGTCTTCGTGTCTGTGGACCAGCCCTTCTCAAAGTCCACGGCTGCCCCTCTTGGCTCCATTCTTTGTCTCTTCATGGAATTGTTCTGTGGGAATAGTCTGCATATAGTGATTCTGCATTCCAACATCTAACTTCCCTGTGCCTTCCTATTTACAAAAGACACAGTTTCTTGACCTGAAATCCCCAGTTTGGGATTATTAATAACATTTTTTTGTAACCTGTAGTGCTTCAGATACTGTCTCAGCCTATGTGAATTCTGGTAGCATTATTGCCTTATAGAAATTATTTGACAGGCCAGATGCAGTGGCTCATACCCATAATCCCAGTGCTTTGGGAAGCTGAGGTGGGCTGATTGGTTGAGCCCAGGAGTTCGAGATCAGCCTGGGCAACATAGCCAGACCCCTATCTCTTCAAAAAAATTTAACAGGGCATGGTGGTGCACGCCTGTAGTCTTAGTTACTCGGGAGAGCGAGAACCCATCTCTGAAAAGAGCAATGCTAGAGGTAAGAAAGTCTATCTTTGTTTTTTTAAGCTGGTATTCCCATTCTGCCCCCCAATTTATCTTCACCCCTTTCAAGGTGAGTGCTTTGTGATGGCCCTAACATTTATTTAGTCTAAACAAAAGAAAAATTATTTGAGAGTTAATTGTGTGTGTCTGTACTGCATGTCTTCCGTCAAATTAAAAGTTAACTATTGCATTTTATTTATTTTACCTTAATTTCATATCAAGTACTTTCATACTTTTTAGCTTTTAAAATGACAGAGGCTGGGCTCAGTGTCTCACTCCTGTAATCCCAGCACCTTGAGAGGCCGAGGTGGGAGGATTACTGAAGCCCAGGAGTTCAAGACCAGTCTGGGCAACATAGTGAAACCAGGTCTCTACAAAAAAAAATTAGTCAGGCATGGTGGTGTGCGCCCATGTTCCCAGCTACTTGGAAGGCTGAGCCCAGGAGGCAGAGGCTGCAGTTAGCTGTGTTTGTGCCTCTACACTCTAGCCTGGGCAGCAGAGCGAGACCTAGTCTTGAAAAATAAATATAAAATAATAGAATGCTCTTCCCAGCTAGATTGTAAGGTTTTTATATGTTAGTGTCCCCATGGTATATTGTAAGTTGTAGGTACATACCCCTATTTATTATATGTTATGGTGTTTTTAGGCAATGAGATTTTTAATATTAGCTACTCATGATTCGCAACAAGTTCGGTCTTTATGAAATAAACTTCATTCAAATCTTTGAATTCCATTTTTAAGTGCAGCTACAGTTGATACCTTAGACAAATGAAAGATTTGTCTACTTCTTAGTTCATTCCTACAGAAAATAAGAACATCTAGTATCTAATATGATCCCTCGTGGGCCCTCAAGAAATACTAGTCTTTTTTAGAAAGTCTAGTCGTGGGTCTGTTTCTCTTTATTCCATTGTGTCTGCCTGCCTTGTTATTGCTGTGTCTAGAAGAAAATGAAGAAAATTAGCATGGCTCCTTTCGTTGCTGTTTTGTACAACTTTTGTATCCTCACTCAGAAGCAAGATCCTTGGAAATGAAATGCTATGTCAAAAACCAGACGAAAAAAACACAACAACAACAGAAAACACATTTTTTATAACTACTCGATTCAAGATTTTGTTGCTAGGTCTTGGAAAATGTTGTATGTCAACCCAAAGGTCTTGGGAAGTCCCCCTGAGTCATGAATGGGTGTGGTAGGACTGGGATGTGGACCTCTGGGCTTTGCTTCTGATGATAACTTCTCCTAGGGCAGCAGTCATGCTGGGGACAGCCGTTTTGTCTGTTTATCTCTAGGCCTTGCACTGTCCCTGTCATATAATAGATGCTCAATACATGTCTTTTGAACTGAACTGCATTGGCCTGGCCATGGTTTAAGCATTTGGACCAATAACACCCTGAGTGTCAAGTTCCTCCTCAGTCGGGCTGGAGAGTCGAGAGCGGGTCATGGTGAGTTGGTCTTTTTGTGTAAGAATCCCTAGTGGCAGCAGCGCCTTGTACTTAAAAATAGAATACTACCAACATCATCTTCCTTCCCAGGATGACAAGGCATTGAGAAAATTAGAATGTGTATATTTTCTCCCTTTTTTTTTTTTGAGACAGTCTCACTCTGTCCCCCAGGCTGGAGTACAGTGGCGCGATCTCAGCTCATTGCAACCTCCGCCTCCCGGGTTCAAGCGATTCTCCTGCCTCAGCCTCTCGAGTAGCTGGGATTACAGGCCCGTGCCACCAAGCCCAGCTAATTTTTGTAGTTTCAGTAGAGACGGGGTTTCACCATGTTGGCCAGGCTGGTCTCGAATTCCTGACCTCGTGAGCCACCGTGCCCGGCCTCTCCATTTTCTAAGACATGCGTTTTTTCATTTGTACATACGTATCTTAGCATTGATACCCCCTCTACATTTGTTTATAAAACAGTGGTACATCTTGTAATCAGTAGCTTCTTAGAACTGAGGAATTCGTTTTGTCATCACTCTGAAGGGCAGTTTAGCCAGTACAGTAAGTCTTCACTCCATAGGTTCTTGGAAATTGCAATTTTAAATGAATGAGATATCATGAAAGCAATTTGACCATAGGCTAATTGATATACATAAGACTTAAGTTCCTTCCAAAATACGTACAATGTTAAACACTGAAATAAAGGTAAGCTATACATACATTTAAGAAAGATTAATTTAAAAACAAGTAAGATGATTATTTAATCAGTTATTCCAGCTCGGGGTTTCTGGTGGATGGAGCCTGTCCCAGCAGCTCAGGGTGCAAGGCAGGGCACCAGCCCTGGACAGGATGCCATCCCATCACAGAGCACATTCGTACACAGCCAGAGTCACTCAGACTGGGACAGTGTAGACATGCCACTTTGCCTCATGTGCACAGCTTTGGGGTGTGGGAGGAACCCTGAGGACCCAGAGAAAACCCACGCGGATGTGGGGAAAACGTGGAAACTCCACCGATAGTGGCCATGGCCAGGAATCCTTTTTTTTTTCCTCATTAATGTTATAACAAAATGACATTGAATGAAATGTTATTCAAGGACCTGCTGTAGTTACAAATTGGTTATTAGACGGGTTGAAGTCTCTGCTTGGCCACTTTCTAGCTGACGTTAAGTTTCTCATCTGACTTAAAAGTCCAGGAAAGACGAAATGATATTATTTAGCACAGCAGCCTGACTTATAGTAGAGCATCAGTACATATTACCTATAGTTGTTTTCATGAAACTATTTCACCAGAAGTTTAGGGATTTATCCTCAAAGGCATTAGGAGTGCCTACACGGCACATAAGGGCATTGTTTTGTATCATACCACAAGTAGCACTTAAGGTTGGAATCATTGCTGACCCCAATGTAAAATGCCTCTTTCTGGACCAGAAAATGGAAAGTGAAATTTGCAATTCATCCCATGTTATTTATTTATTTAGAGACAGAGTCTTGCTGTGTCACCCGGACTAGAGCTGGAGTGCAGTGGTGCAATCTTGGCTCCCTGCAACCTCTGCCTCCTAGGTTCAAGCGATTCTCCTGCCTCAGCCTCCCGAGTAGCTGGGACTACTACAGGTGTGCGCTACCACACCTGCTAATTTTTGTATTTTTAGTAGAGACAGGGTTTCACCATGTTGGCCAGGCTGGTCTCAACTCCTGGGCTCCAGTGATCTGCCTGCATCGGCCTCTCAAAGTGCCAGGATTACAGGAGTGAGCAACCATGCCCGGCCCTCTGTATTTTTGATGGGATGGATGGTTCAACATTTAAAGAGAACCTAAAAAGTTAAAAGTAAAAGCAAAGAAGTCTTAATAACAAAAAGCACCTTCATGCAATGTCACTGTTTTACTGCATCTTAATAAAGAAATGTGGCCACCTTAGACCCAGAATATAATCAATTTTTAATTGTCTTTCTTGGATAATATCAAGATAGAGTGTAATAAGTTAGGTTAACATATTAGCTTGCATCTTGTCAGGGAAAATAGGTAGATCCTCTGAACACAGAGGAAGGAGGGACGTCCACGTTTGTCCTGTTTAGTGTCATACTGAAGAAGAGTATGACCAGCCAGTGCTGGGCGTTCTGCAGCTTGGGACAGATGTTGGGGGGAAGGGCACTGCCTTTCTTGTGAACTTTCTTGCCCAAGGGACAAATGAGCTAAGCAGTACTACGTTATTAGTGGGATGTGTATGTGTGTGTGTGTGTATGAGAGAGAGAGAGAGAGAAAGAGAAAGAGAACAGAGCCTGTAAGTCTTGCCATTTTGCCTTTTCAGACAACCCACCCCCACCCCTCAGCATAGGAATGTAGTCCTAACCCCAAGCCACTGCTTCTTCTGCTTGCAGCTCTAAACTTGAGCAGGTCTTGGGGGCAGTTCACCAGTGCACCACACTACACTACTCTCAGCAATCTTTTTTTTTTTTAAACAGTGATTTGCACTGATCTAGCCTCTAAGGGGTAAGGGCCGAGATGAAGCAGAGAATTTATTTTTATATTATGTCGTCTGGTGCAGAGACTGCTACAAAATCAGGAGTCAAAAATCTAAGGGAATAGGCTGTGAAGTCATTTTGTCCATGAGTTGTGTTACAACACATTCATTCATTGTAAACAATCACCAACAGTCATTGCCATAATTTATTCTTGGCAGTAAATTGGGTTTTCTAGTGACAGAGTAAGCCATCAGAATTAAGCAACCAGGAGCTCCAGTTCATGTGTGCTGGAAAAGATGTTTGCGAGACTTCAGGTACCACTACCTCATATTAAAGGTGAGCAAGTGGAGGCCCAGAGAGGGCAGGTGACTTGCCCAAGGTCACACAGTGGGTTAGAGCCATATCAAGGACTAGAACATTGGTAATCCATCACATCGTCCTTAAACCTTTCTGCCCCACTTCCTGTTGACACAATAGGCAGGATATTAAACTCCAGTTTCATTCCTGGGGATTGATATGAAAGGTTTTTTACTTGTCCAATCCCATTTTCCTTGTCCAGGCAGATGACAGGTAGTAATTTCAGAAACTGAGCAAGGGATGGTGAAAGCTAGATTGTAGTGGGCTCTTTTTGGTTTGGTTGTTATGAGCGCTCTCAATGCAAAGCTTAGAAACCTCTCCAGAGAAATAATCAGCTCTCCAAGGAGTGCTCTTGCAGACTAGCATGTTGCCTTGCTTGCTGGTGTGTATCTTCCTATAAATTCCTGGTATCCAGTGTCCATACAGGAGAAATTGGCTGACTTGTTTTCTTGCTGTGTTGTATGACAGATAATCAGAAATGTAACTCTGGTGCCTTGTCATGTGCCCAGAGGAAGTTAAATGTGCTTGCCTTTAATATGTATATGTATACACACACACACACACACAGCAGTTAGAAAATAGATGTTTGTAAAATATGATTTTTTTAGGGAATATGTAAAAACTGGCATCTCTTCAGATAGACATAGAGGTACTTAAAAACCTTGGTTAATATGTCTTGTTTGTATACTCCATGTGGTGTATTTTACACAGTATCTAAAGGTGTTGCCTGATTTTGAATTAGTTAAAAGACAGGTTAGAGACGTGGGAGAAGAGTATGTTGTATTTCTTGTCTGATCTGAGGAATTTTATATTCCTGAAGTCTATAATTAGGTGCTTGTGTTGATTGTTTATTGAAACAAAGCTGAAGGTGGGGGTGAGGGGAGTGCCACATAGTGGAAAACACTCTATGGCAAACATCTGAGCTTTACTTAAAAGCATGGGCTGCAAAGAAATGTAAATTCATTGGCTTAATTGGAAGAGAGTATTTATAGAAATTGAATGATCCAGTAAAACTAAAAGCCTGGCTTCTTTCATCTTCAGAGACCTGCCTTAGTAAATGCTGTTCTGGAAATCCCTTGCCTGCAAAGTGGACTTTGCCATCCAATTTCTGGCCTCCTGGCAGTCAGTCACTTTGACCTAACCCTATTGCTTGACTCGTATTTACTACGTACTTTCCTTTTTTGGCTTAGGGTTGTACTGAAAATGTACATGTAAAGAAAAAAATGTCCATGTACACTGAAGTTTTCTGATTTTTTATATAGCTCCATAATTTGATTTCAATAACTATTACAAAGAAACTTTTATAAGAAGATACAATTTGAAAATCTTGCTGTGCAGCCTCTTCCCATCTACTCTGCCTGCCTACTACGCCTTTTATAGTTCACCATATCCATTAGGTTCTCGAAAATTCTTCCACTGTTTATGCAAATCTTTAAATTTTTAAATACTTTTATTTTCCTTCTTAGAAAAGGTGACAACTAGATGCTATTCTGCACCTTGTTTTTACATGGAATCATATACCTTAATAAGCTTTTCAGACACTCTTTCAATCTTCTGCTATTATGAAGTTGCAGTGAATAACCTTGTATATCACTTCATACATGTGCAGGTATATCTGTAGGGTAATTTCCTATAAGGGGATCAGGATTTGGGCCAGCAGATATGTGCATATGTATTTGTGATCGTGTGGCTAGCCCCTCCTTTTTTTAACTTTTATTTTAAGTTTAGGGGTACATCTGCAGGTTTGTTATATAGGGAAACTCGTGTCATGAAGGTTTGTTGTACAGATTATTTCATCACACAGGTATTAAGCCTAGTACCCATTAGTTATTTTTCCTGATCCTCTCCCTCCTCCCACTCTCCACCTTCTCTGGTAGGCCCCACTGTCTGTTCCCCTTTATGTGTCCATATGTTCTTATAATTTAGCTCCCACTTATAAGTGAGAACATGCAGTATATGGTTTTCCGTTCCTGTGTTAGTTTGCTAAGGATAATGGCCTCCAGCTCCATCCATGTCCCTGCAAAGAACACAGTCTCATTATTTTTATGGCTGCATAGTATTCCGAGGTATATATGTACCACATTTTCATTATCCGGTCTATCATTGGTGAGCATTTAGGTTGATTCCATGTCTTTGCTATTGTGAATAGTGCTGCAGTGAACATACGGTATGCATGAGTCTTCATAACAGAACAATTTATATTCCTTTGAGTATATACCCAGAAATGGGAATGCTGGGTTGAATGGTATTTCTGGTAGTTTTTTTGGTCCTTGAGAAATCGCCACACTGCTTTCCATAATGGTTGAACTAATTTATACTTCCACCAACAATGTATAAGCCTTTTTTTTGGCAACCTCACCAGCATCTATTGTTTTTTGATTGTTTAATAATAGACATTCTGTCTGGTGTGAGATGGTATCTCATTGTGGTTTTGATTTGCATTTTTCTAATGATCAGTGACATTGAGCTTTTTTTCATATGCTTATTGGCTGCATCACATGTGTGTCTTTTGAAAAGTGTCTGCTCATGTCCTTTGCCCACGTTTTAATGGGGCTGTTTGTTTTTTTCTTGTAAATTTGTTTAAGTTTCTTACCGATGCTGGATATTAGACCTTTGTCAGATGCATAGTTTGCAAAAATTTTCTCCCATTCTATATGTTGTCTGTTTACTCTGTTGAGAGTTTCTTTTGCTGTGCAGAAGCTCTTTAGTTTAATTAGATCCCATTTGTCAATTTTTGCTTTTGTTCCAATTGCTTTTGGTGTCTTCGTCATGAAATCTTTGCCCGTTCCTGTTTTCAGAATGGTATTGCCTTGGTTGTCTTCCCGGGTTTTTATAAAAGTTTTGGATTTTACACTTACCTTTAATCCATCTTCAGTTGATTTTTATATATGGTATAACGAAAGAGTCCACTTTCAATCTTCTGCATATGGCTAGCCAGTTATCCCAGCACCATTTATTGAATAAGTAGTTCTTTACCCGTTGCTTAATTTTTGTCAGGTTTGTCGAAGATCATATGGTTGTAGGTGTGCGGCCTTACTTCTGGGCTCTCATTCTGTCCCATTGGTCTATGTGTCTGTTTTTGTACCAGTACCATGCTGTTTTGGTTACTGTGGCCCTATAGTATAGTTTGAAGTCAAGTAGTGTAATGCCTCCAGCTTTGTTCTTTTTGCTTAGGATTGCCTTTGCTATTCAGGCTCTTTTTTGGTTCCATATGAATTTTAAAATAGTTTTTTCTAGTTCTGTGAAGAATGTTGTTGGTAGTTTGATAGGAATAACATTGAATGTGTAAATTGCTTATGTTTTCCCATTTGTTTGTGTCATCTCTGATTTCTTTGAAGAGTGTTTTTAATTCTTGTTGTAGAGATCTTTCTAGTGTATTCCTAGGTGTTTTATTCTTTTTGTGGCAGTTGTGAATGGGATTATGTTTCTGATTTGGCTCTTGGCTTAACTGTTGGTATATGGGAATGCTAGTGGTTTTTGTATGTTGCTTTTGTATCCTGAGACTTCGCTGAATTTATGTATCAGCTTAAGGAGCTTTTGGGCTGAGACTATGGGGTTTTCTAGATATAGAATCATGTTGTCTGCAAACAGAGGGTAGTTTGACTTCCTCTCTTTTTATTTGGAGGCACTTTATTTCTTTCTCTTGACTGATTGCTCTGGCCAGGGCTTCCAATATTATGTTGAATAGGAGTGGTGAGAGAGGGCATCCTTGTCTTTTGCCAGTTTTCAAGGGGAATGCTTCCAGCTTTTGCCCATTCAGTATTATGTTGGCTGTGGATTTGTCATCGATGGCTCTTAATATTTTGAGGTATGTTCATTCAATATGTAGTTTACTGAGAATTTTTAACATGAAGCAGTGTTGAATTTTATTGAAAGCCTTTTCAGCATCTATTGAGATAATCATGTGTTTTTTGTCTTTAGTTGTTTATGTGATGAATCACATTTATTGCTTTGCCTGTGTTGAACCAACCTTGCATCCCAGGGATAAAGCCTACTTGATCATGATGGGTAAGCTTTTTGATGTGCTAGTGGGTTTGTTTTGCCAGTATTTTATTGAGGATTTTTGCATAGATGTTCATCAAGGATATTGGCCTTATTTTTTCATTGTGTCTCTGCCAGGTTTCGGTATAAGGAGGATGCTAGCCTCATAGAATGAGTTGGGGAAGAATCCCTCCTCCTCAATTTTTTGGACTAGTTACAGTGGGAATGGTACCAGCTCTTTGTACGTCTGGTAGAATTTGGATTTGGCTGTAAATCTGTCTGGTCCTGGGCTTTTCTTGGTTGGTAGGCTATTTATTGCTGATTCAATTTCAGAGTTCATTATTGGTCTCTTCAGGGATTCTGTTTCTTTCTGGTTCACTCTTGGGAGGGTGTATGTGTCCAGGAATTTATCCATTTCTTTTGGATTTTATAGTTCCTGTCGCTTGCCCTTTCAGTGGACTATTTTTGTTTTTTTAAATGGAATGCTTCACAAATATGCCCCTTCCTTGCACAGAGGCCATGCTAATTTTCTCTGTATTTTTCCAATTTTCATATATGTGCTGCTGAAGCGATCACCCTAAGTACTGTTTGATTTTTGCACTCCTGTCAACTTAATTAGGGCTGCACCAATAGAGTGGGTTATCAAACTTTTGGATTTTTGCCAATCTCATTTGTAAAATATACTTTATTGATATGGTTTAGATTTGCATACCTTTTTTAAAAAAGCAAAAGCCTGGACATCTTTTCAAGATGTTTAAAGGCCATTTGTTGGCCAGGTGCGGTGGCTCACACCTGTAATCCCAGCACTTTGGGAGGCTGAGGAGGGTGGATCACGAGGTCAGGAGATCCAGACCATCCTGGCCAACCAACATGGTGAAACCCCGTCTCTACTGAAAATACAAAAAAATTAGCTGGGCATGGTGGCACACACCTGTAGTCCCAGCTGCTCAGGAAGCTGAGGCAGGAGAATCGTTTGAACCCGGGTGGCAGAGGTTGCAGTGAGCCGAGATCGCACCACTGTACTCCAGCCTGGTGACAGAGTGAGACTCCATCTCAAAAAAAAAGAAGCCATTTGTTTTTCTTGTTTCTTTCTTTTTGTTTGTTTGTTTGTTTGTTTGTTTGTTTTGCAAACTGTACTTAATTCCTGTACGTGATTTACTCTTCTGTTGGATTCTTGCTCTTTTTCTTGTTGATTTGTAAGGGCTCTTTATATAATAGGGAGATTAGCTCTAAGTCTGTGATATGATCTTCAAATTTTTCTTGGTTTATCATTTCCTTTAGTATTTGTGGGGTTTTTTTGGTCTTATACAGAATTTTCCATTCTTTCTTTTATGGCTTCTGGATTTCGAGTCACAGAAAGCATTTCCACCAACCCCTTCCACACATACACGCACAAGAATTGACCCATATTTTCTTGCAGAATTTCTATGCTATTACTTTTTTTACATTTAAATATTTGCTCCATTTGAGGTTTATCCTGATATTCTGTTAAGTATGGATTCAAGTTTTTTGTTTTTGTTTTTGTTTTTGTTTTGGAAATAGGCTCTCACTCTGTTGCCCAGACTGGAGTGCAGTGGTGCAGTGACGGCTCACTGCAGCCTCGACCTCCTGTGCTCAGGTGATTCTCTTGCCTCAGCCTCCTGAGTAGCTGGGACCACAGGTGCACACCACCATGCCTGGCAAATTTTATTATTTGTGGAGACGAGGTCTCGCTACATTGTCCAGGCTGGTCTCTAACTCCTGGGCTCGGGCGATCCTACCTCCGCCTCCCAAAGTGCTGAGATTATAGGCAGGAGCAGTCGTGCCTGACTCAACTTTATTTTTTGTAGATGGCTACCCAATTTCCCTAACCACTTAGTCAAAATGCCCACCTTTCCTCCCACTGAAGTGCCACCATTATAAAGTAAATATTTTGTAAATGAAAAATGCCCACTATTCCCTTGTAAAACAAGAAACTGTGGGTCACCATTTTTTGGAAAGAATGTTTCAGTTCTCTTTTTAACTCAAGACAGCTCTTCCACTTTGTCCTCCAAGGATAATATTTACTCCAGAGTGAATGAATGAGGTTAACAACCCACCTGCTTGTTTCTCCCTAGTGGAATGTTAACATTTTGCCTCTTGGCACAATTCTCAAGATTTATCTTAAGACCCTGTCTCCTTTCACTCAAAGTATTTGTCTCTTTATCACAAAGCCTGAAGAAACATTTCTTGTTACTCAAGGACCATGCCTTTTATGAGCCCTAAGAACAGGAGTTATCAAAGTGTGGTCTTCCCCAGACCAGCAGTCTCAACATCAGCTGAGAATTGTCAGAAATGCAAACTGCTATCCTTGAGCTACAGAATCAGAGACCCTGTGTGGACAAGCCCAACAATCTGAATTCAACAAGCCTCTCAGGTGTTTCTGAGCATGCTCAAGATTGAGACCCATGACCTTAGAGGTAATATTTAATTTCATAATGGCAGTTTACAACCCTATAGCACTGCCTTGTGGGCGGATGGGTTTGGTCCTAATCTTCTTGACATGTAAAAATGTAGACTCACAGCAGGAAGTGATAATATCTGTTCTTTAAAGGTGGTATTCTTAGAGTAGGAAACTTTTCTGAGTTTTTTCCAGGAGTCACAAAGATACCTCACTAGGACCGCTAGTGCTTTGGACTAGAACACCTTACATCCAGAATCTTGCCACTGGGTCAGTGCTTCCCTTTGTCATATAATAAAAAACCAGCAAAACTGGTTTCTATAATATGCTAAGGAGTTTTGTAGCGTTGAAGACTTGTCTTACCCCCACAAAAGCATCATTGTTCCTTCTCATCCCTTGCCCCTCTGCCTTTAAAATTAATTTGATACCAGAATGGCAAATACTTCTGATGACTGTTAGCCACGCCATAATGGTGCTTGTATTTGGCAGGTTAAGGCAGAGTTCCCATACCTCTGAGCCTAATTGCCAGCCAGGGTTCAGCTCAGAGCAGTAGTTCTAAAGTTTTTCTGGACATTAGACTCCACTGGATAGCTTTTGAAAATTCAACTACCCGGGCCAAATCCATGTAACTAATTCTATATCTCAGGGGTGGAACCCAGGGATCAGGATTTTTTTTTATTACCCAGCCGATGACAATGTATATCGAAGTTAGTTTAAGAACAAAGGATGTGCGCACTTGTTTTAAAGTAGTTTTGGTTATGATAATAAGAATTATAAGAGGGACCAAATATCAAATGCAAGAAAATGGTCCTGAATGCCAATACAATCAGAATAAGAAATGCATAAATAGCGACTTGCTTGAAGCTGAAATCAACTCCTTTTTGGATGCCTTTCTTGTCTTTTGAAGAACACATGTTGTAGTATGTGTTTCTCTCCATATCCTGTGTGTTTCATTGTAATAGTCTTGCTGATTGATTTTGTTGGCTGCAAGCAAAGTGATAAAATGCCAGTGGGTGCCTGTGCCAGGGAGGTCAGGACTGGACTTTCCCACTTGGCTCTGTTTTGATGCATTTAGCAGATTGATTCCAACCCTCTTTGGAGACTCTGACCTACAAAAGTGTCTGTTATCTTTGAGAGCTCCAGGGAAAGCTATGGACCTTTCTAGATCTTTTCCCACCTTTTGGCCCATCAGATATTGCCTTGTCCACAGCAGAACTTGACGATTCATCATAGAAGCCTATGGTTTTATTTATTGACACTGCTGTACAATTTTCCCTGTAGCGAGTCATAGTTGGCTGAAGAGAGAGTCGAAGATTAAGTACAAAACTTTCTAAACATCCTGTTTTCCCTCAAGACAGGGCACTGTTCTTAATAAACTGAACATTCTTTTGCACTGGCCCTGGGGCAAGGGTGTCCCAAAAGCTTTGACAGGGGTGCCATTTGGTCATAAACAGTGTGGTAATAGGGTGGAGTCAGAAAGAAATTCTCTCATCCCTTTTACAACTCCAGGCAATTCTAGAACCAACCCTTGGGAACCCAGGGAAAGAACTCTGAAATGATACGCTGGCTGAGGTTTGCCGTGGCCACACCTCAGGGTTAAGCATTGAAGGAGCTAGGCAAAGAGTGTGTGTGTTTAGCTACAAACTAAGTCACAGATCAAGAGGCTTTTGGTATTCTTCCATTTTTGCTTAGAATTCTATGATGGTTTTTGAAATATATTGTCCTTACTTTATGTTCTTACCTGTAATCTCATAAGTTTCTGGTAAATTTAGCTTTTGCCAGGTTCCGGTGGGTCTTACCCAGAGATGGTCAGAGTAAATGAACAAAAGAAGGAATTGATTAGGATGTGAAACTTCAGATACGCTCACAGGCCTTCAAGCCCTAGAAAGTAGTATGCCAGTGAATTTTCTAGTCCTCTCTACACTTTGTACAGATGAAGAAACCGAGACCCAGGGAACTCAACCAAGGTTTCTTGCCATTCCTCCAGTCCCCCAGTTAAAAAAAAAAAAAAAATTAGGTTCTATTTTGCAAACTGACAAGGAGAATTATACAATGGAAATAACACTCATTTTAATGTATCTGTTCTTGTAGTTTCTTATTTTATTCACCTTTATAAACCATTCTGAGAACATTGTCATAAAGAGCATTCTCCTAAATTGGAATGTGATTCAAATAGTCCTGTCTCCTTTCCTCCTTGCTTTTTATGAAATGACTGCCTACACGCACTCGCGCACATATTTTAGTGAGCAATGCAATGTGCGAATACAAATAGAAATAGATTTTGTTAAAAAAAAATTAATGTCAGTCCACTAGTTAAAAAAGTACCAAAGTCATTACAAGATTCATTAACTATGTTTAAGAAAAGTATTGAGGGCTTTTTGGGGGATTAAATAATTTTAATTTATAAATAATGGCCTCAGATTCATAAACCTTAACTGATTGTAGAGATTATGAAGGTTTGTTTCTCACACAGTTAATTATTTGTTGCTTTTTAAATAACCAGATAATTACTTTGCATTTGTAATGATTAATTGCAAAAAGTTGGTTATAAGAATCCCTAGATGAATTCTCAGGTAAGATCTCATGCAGAATTCTTTGAAGTTCATTTGGGGTCATTTATCAAGAAAAGCAATGCATTTCAGGTTTATGAACTCACTTTGCCCACAGGTGAGGTTTCCAGGCTTCGAACCAGCAGGAGGAGAGTCAGTGGGAGGATCTGACGTAGGTATGGCTTCAGAGATGAAGAGAGTATTTCTCCTCCGCACCCCCTTTGCCTACACCTAGAAATAAGTTTAGCCTAGGGAAAAAATGTTCCCTGACTTGTCAGGTTCAGCTAGTGTACCCTTTGAGATCCTTCATTCTCTCTTTTTCTTTTTGAGAAGAAGTCTTACTCTGTTGCCCAGGCTGGAGTACAGTGGTCCCATCTTGGCTCACTGCACCCTCCGCACCCCAGGTTCAAGCGATTCTCCCGTCTCGGCCTCCCAAGTAGCTGGGATTACAAAAGCACACCATCATCCCTAGCTTATTTTTTCTTTTTTTTTTTTTTTTTTTTAGTAGAGATGGGGTTTCACCATGTTGGCCAGGCTGCTCGATCTCTTGACCTCAGGTAATCCGACCACCTCGGCCTCCCAAAGTGGTGGGATTACAGGTGTCAACCACTGCACCTAGCCCGTTCTCTCTTTAATCTCCCAATTAACGAACATCTACTGCGACAGCATCCATTACCTAGAATTGTAGGAAGGTATATAGGATAGACGTAGCAAAGAGGTAAGTGGGTAAGAAAATAAACACTCATAAAAAGGAGACAAACTGTCAGAGTGGTCCCCTAGCTACACCTGCCACAATTGCCTCCTGAGAAGTCCTTGTTCTGCACGAGCTAAAATTCCCATTCAAATAAATTGTTGCTCTTCCTATAATCATTGAGCTGCTGAATAGAGCCAGGGTCCTTGATAGACGTCATAGTTTGTTATTGACTTTATCACCAGTAAAAGTTAATACTGTCATCCCTTTCCTGCAGCAACACACTACCATTTTTTTTTCCAAAATTAATTTAGGTAAAGAACATTTTTCTTAGTATAATTTTCATTGAATTCAGTATTATCAAGTTTGTATATTTTTAGAGCTTTTGGATCGCTATTCCAGCCCACATTTTTCATAGCAATTTGTCTAGTATTTCTTCAAGATCTTTTTATGTTCATTTGAAAAATGAACATGACTTCATATGTATTCATTAGCAATCACTGCCGTAGGCCTTTCTGTTTGATTTTTCTTCTGAACCTCAGAGATAGTGGCTCATTATGAAGTAGAAAAAGGCTAACTAAGACCTTGTTCTGAACTTACAGTGGGTAAGCAAGAGGCTTCAGATCCATAATCTCTATCAAAATGTTTGCCCACATTACTGTAACAGGGAGTCATTCAGAATGAGAGTGGAGGAATTTGACTCCTTTTAAAGAATCGCGTGTGCTTTTTCTACTTTCATGGTTGTGTCGTTTTGCCGGGGAGATTTTGAAAGAGAAGACTCATATCTTGTCTTCCCCATACCGAGGGGTCTTTAACCCCTAATCTATAAATTAAATAGGTAGGTCAAGCAATACCTACCAGAGTTGGTTGCTCTGCCCACTGGCTCCTCTCTGCACCTCCCTCCCAGACCATTTCTCCACTTCCTCAGCCTTAGAAAAAACAGCTCACTCATGGTGGTGCTTGCCGGTGGACCTTGGAGATAAGCTTCTATTCTTGGTTGTTTTTAAGAAAACTGAATTCTCTTCTTAGAGCCAACCCATATCTTATCAGTGTAACTTTACTCACTCTCCAAGCCCTAATTCCATTCTGTCCTTTAAACATTAGGAGATTTCCCAAAAATAGGCTTGTCAGTAAAACTCTGGTGTGACAAAGGGGCAAAAGTGTTGCTTTTTTGTGTGGAGATTGCATTTTTAATATTCTGTTCCCCAGAAGTGGTTCCAGGATGCTTCCCTAGAAGTCTTTGGGAAGAACAATTAGAGTAAGAAAGGTTCTTCCATTATCTGCCCCAGGCTGGGTGTCTTCGGATGACTCTGTCACCTCACAAGTTGTTTAATCCTGTATTTAGCTTGTCAGGGATCATACGAAATGGGGTCTACATCAGATTTTCCACAGTTGTTTTTTTTCTTTAGTGATATAGCCTGGAAGGGCTGGGGGCGGTGGCTCACGCCTGTAATCCCAGCACTTTAGGAGGCCAAGGCGGCTGGATCACCTGAGGTCAGTATCACCTGAGACCAGTCTGGCCAACATGGTGAAACCCCGTCTCTACTAAAAATATAAAAGTTAGTCTTAGCCTAGCGTGGTGGCCGACACCTGTAATCCCAGCTACTCGGGAGGCTGAGGCAGGAGTCTCACTTGAACCCCAGAGGCAGAGGTTGCAGTGAGCCAACATCGTGCCACTGCACTCCAGCCTGGGTGACAGAGTGAAACTCCATCTGAAAACAAACAAAAAAAGGTCATATAGCCAGGAAGAGCTTCAGTGGGAAGAACAGCAGGAGGAATGAAGTCCCACGGGTTATCTGAAGAGATGTACTGATTTCAGAACAGTGATGCCAGCTATGAAAACTAACTACCACTTATATCATTAGATGAAGAGCCTGTTCTGAAACCTCCCGTTACCACTATATTATGTTTAAAAAGTATACATCTGAACAGTCAGTGTAGCTGAAAATTGATGTCACCGTTTACATTGATTTTTTTTAATACATAGAAAATTTTTTTATCTTAACAAATTAAAGGTTTGTTAGAGGATCCACTTTCCTTTAATTAAAATAATCGATATGGAAGTACACAGTAGGCATTGGATACATTTTTGTTTCCTTTTGAAAATCTGTGAGTTACAGCCAGACTCTTCGTCCCAGCACTTTAGGAGGCCTAGGCGGGCAGATCACTTGAGTCCAGGAGTTCGAGACCAGCCTGGGCAATGTGGTGAAACCCTGTCTCTCCAAAAATACACAAATTAGCCAGGTGTGGTGGCGTGCACCTGTAGTCCCAGCTACTTGGGGGGTCGAGGTGAGAAGATTGCTTGAGCCCATGAGATTGAAGCTACAGTGATTGCACCACTGCACTCCAGCCTGGGCAACAGAGCAAGACCCTGTCTCAAAAGAAAAAGAAAACTTGTGAGTTACCTACCTTTGGGGAAGTGGAGAACTGATGTTATAGAAATGGGCAATAATCCTAAAATCTGGGGGTTCCCATTGCTCACTTCTTTTCTCTCATCCGCTCATTCATTCTTTCACTAAATGTTATTCTTTGTCAGTGTTCATAGAGGCTTCCCACGACTTGTCTCCCAGAAGCCCAGCTGTCTCAGAACTTCTCACGGGCTGACTGGTTCCTCCAATTTCCCTAGACTTTTTTGTTTGTTTGTTTTTAACATGTGTATCCTTTGTTTTTATTCTATTTTCACCAATTTTACAAATGAATTACACAGATTATGTATTCCCACACACATTCTATCAGAAGTATATAGGATGTATTAGCGTCTTCAGCCCTTCCCCTTCTCCTCACTTATGGACTTCCTTCCAGGCCTTTTTCTATGTATTTTCAACAGTGGTTATTTTGGCTTTACATTGGAAACCATGCCTTATCTACAGTTCTGACTTGTTTTTTTCCTTACTTGTTAAAGGAAAGATGTACCTTGGCCATAGAATACTGCAGGTACATAATGTTCTATAATATGGGTATATAAGATAAAATGGTTTATTTAACCATTCCCTTTTAATGAACAATAGTCATTTAGATTTTTAACTTACCCCTGTTGATTATAGTGCTATAATAAACATCCTTATACATGCCTTCCTGTGCATGTTTTTCAGTATTTCTCTAAGATAAATTGATTCCCAGAAGTACACTTGTAGAGTCAAAAAGTCATGCATGTTTTGGCCAGGCATGGTGGCTCACGCCCGTAATCCCAGCACTTTGGGAGGCCGAGGAGGGCAGATCATCTGAGGTCAGGAGTTCGAGACCAGCCTGGCCAACATGGTGAAACCCTATCTCTACTAAAAATACAAAAATTAGCTGGGTGTGGTGGTGCACACCTGTAATCCCAGCTACATGGGAGGCTGAGGCAGGAGAATCACTTGAACCCAGGAGATGGAAGTTCCAGTGAGCCGAGATCACACCACTACACTCTAGCCTGGGAGACAGAGCAAGACTCTATCTCCAAAAAAAAAAAAAAAAAAAAAAAAAAAAGCCATGTATATTTTAAATATTAACACTGCCAGGTAATCCTCCAAAATAGTTATACTAAGTCTCATGCCCATTCTTCTGCCTCACTAATTGACACTTGTTTTTAATTTTTTAATTTACTATAAAACATTTCAGATGCAAAAGATAGAAAGAATAGCACCCATGAAATGACATTAACAATACATTTGAAGGTCGGGCACGGTGGCTCACTCCTGTAATCCCAGCACTTTGGGAGGCCGAGGTGAGTGGATCACAAGGTCAGGAGATCGAGACCATCCTGGCTAACATGGTGAAACCCCGTTTCTACTAAAAATACAAAAAACTTAGCCAGTTGTGGTGGTGGGCACCTGTAGTCCCAGCCACTTGGGAGGCTGAGGCGGGAGAATGGCGTGAACCCGGGAGGCAGAGCTTGCAGTGAGCCAAGATGGCACCACTGCACTCCAGCCTGGGCGACAGAGCGAGACAATACATTTGAAGTCTTGTTTCTCTCCCCAAATGCATTGTTTTTTCCACTACATTTCCCTTCATTTCTCATACTTTGCCTGTGTTGTGTATGTCTACTTTTACTACGTATTTATTAATCTAATGCTATTTAGTAATGTTTTCAATGTTTTTAAAATTTTATAAAAAGATGCCGTATACATTCTGAGGTTTTTTTGTTTGTTTTTTACTCACTACTATATTTGTGTGATTGGCCTGTGTTGATAACTATAGCCTGGTGCTAATGCTGCTCTACAAATTCTTGTGTACACATCCTTGTGCATATGCGCAAGAGTTTATGGTGCATATTGAGAAGTTGATGGTTTTCACTAAATATTGATAAAACTCTTCTCCCGAGGGGCCCTCCCCGTCAACCCCTGGCTTCAAGCATAGTATCAGTTTCTCGTATTTTCAGCACTTGGTATTTTTAGACTTTGTCATTTTTGCCAACCTTGTAAGTGTGAGAAGGCTATTTCATTTTAATTTATATTTCTCTGACTTCGTATTTTAATATTTTCAACCATTTAGTAGTCTCTTCTAGGAATCCCCTATTCCTGTCTTTTATCTAATTTTTCTCTTGGGTTATATGTTCTTTTCTTACTGGCTACTCCTAATTCTTTACCTATTCTGGATAATAATGCTGAGGTAGCTTACCTTTCCATTGTTTTACTGTGGCCTTTTGTTGACAGATAGCACGTGTGATTTGTGCTGCCCTCCCGTGCAGTCTCTTGTTTATACCTCAGTATGTCTGGAGTTGAGTTTTGTATGTAGTTTGAGGGATCCAATTTTATTTTTCCGATACACAGTTTATTAAATTGTCCATTCTTTGCAGTATCTGCAGTGTCCCATTTGTAATATATGACATCTTCATGTATGTGTGGAGCTGTGTCTCGGTTTTCTATACTATTCTTTTGGTCTATTTACCTATCGGTATGCCTGTACATATTTCACTAATTCTTTTTTTTTTTTTTTCTGAGACAGAGTCTCACTCTGTCACCCAGGCTGGAGTGCAGTGGCGTGATCTTGGCTCACTGCAACCTCCATCTCCCAGGTTCAAGCGATTCTCCCACCTCAGCCTCCTAAGTAACTGGGATTACAGGTGTCCGCCCTCTTACCTTGCAAATTTTTGTATTTTTAGTAGAGACAGGGTTTCACCAGGTTGGTGAGGCTGGTCTTGAACTCCTGACCTCAGGTAATCCGCCCACCTCGGCCTCCCAAAGTGCTGGGATTACAGGCGTGAGCCACCACACCCTGCCTAGTTCACTAATTCCTATAGTTACACAATAAAAACCTGGGTATCGGGCAGGGCAGGTCTCTCTATCTTGTTCTTTTTGTTTTGTTCTCTTTCTCTCTCTCTCTTTTTTTTTTTTTTTTTTTTTTTTTTTTTTTTTTTTTGAGACAGGGTCTCACTGTATCACCCAGCCTGGACTCAAACTCCTGAGCTCAAGCAATCCTTCCACCTCAGCCCCCATTCACTCTTTAGTGCAGTCATAGCTCACTGCAGCCTCAAATTCCTAGGCTCAAGTGATCCTCCCACTTTAACCTCTAAGTGGTGGGATTACAGGTGTGCACCACCAGACTTGGCTAATTTTTTTATTTTGGTAGAGACCGGGTCTTGCTGTTGCCCACGCTGTTCTTGAACTCCTGGTCTCAAGTGATTCTCCTGCCTCTGCCTCTCAAAATTCTGGGATTACAAGGCATGAGCCCCACTGCACCAGGCCAAATCTCTTTAAAAGATAATCAATTTTAAAAATTAGTAAATTGTGGCCAGGTGCAGTGGCACACACTTAAAATCCCAGTGCTTTGGGAGGCTGAGGTAGGAGGATAGCTTGAAGCCAGGAGTTCGAGACCAGCCTGGGCAACATAGTGAAGTCCCCTATCTGTAAAAACAAAGAGAGAGATTTAAATGTAACATATTTACCCACATAGTTACCATTTCTACTGCTCTTAATTCCTTCGCCTAGATCTGTTTTCCATTTGACATCATTTTATTCTGTTTGAGGCACTTCCTTTAATATTTTCTCTATTCTACTGGTGAAGAATTCTTTCGGCTTTCGTATCTCTGGGAAAAAGTCCCTATTTTGCCTTGAGATTTTAAAAGGTTTTCGCTGGGTATGTCTGAGAATATAGAGGAACTAAAAACCTCAGTTTCTCCTACTGTAGTTTCACATCACGCTTCTGACACCAGATGTGCTGAGTCAGGGGGTACTTTCCCTAGACATCAAGCAAGCAATTCATTCTGCAGTGGACACCAGCTGGGTGTCCCCCAGTTCAATTCTACTTCATCTACCCAGAGATAGCGTCAGATCCCACAGGTTGAAGGCTGAGCCCCGCACAACTGTCCCCCACTTCCAATGCCAGTCGCAAGCCCCAGATTGTCTTACCTGTTTTTTTCTGACTGAATAGCTATAAATTGGGGTTCCCACAACCCCCTTCTTGGGTTTGATTAATTTGCCAGAGCAGGTCACAGAACTCAGGGAAACAGCATTTACTGGTTTATTATAAAGGATATTACAAAGGGTACAGATAAAGGGATGCACAGGGCGAGGTATGGGGGCAGGAGTGTGGAGCTTCCATGCCCTCCCCAGGTGTGCCACCCTCTAGGAACCTCTGTGTGTTCAGTTATTCAGAAGCTCTCCAAACCCAGTCCTTCGGGGGCTTTTATGGAAGCTGCATTACATAGGCATGGTTGATTGCATCATTGGCCTTTGGTGATCAGATGGGCTGTTGTCTGTTCACCTTGAAACTGCCTTGAAATGCATCATAAACACAGCAGCTCTTTGTCAGTCAATCAGAGAGCTGTTTATCAGACACTGAAGAATCCAGCAGCTCCTCACACAGTTCCAGAGTCAGGCCTAAGGGGGAGGTTATCTCCTCCTTGCATTCCTCAGGTAGGTAGCATGATCTCTTATAAACCATTTCCATTTTATGATAGAACTCTTCTGGGCACTGCCATCCCCATTACAGTGTTCCTGTGACATCACCCCCAGACAGCATGGTTATTTCAGGTTTCAGGGTCATTTTGTGTTCTTCAGTCTAGGCTCCACACAGGACTATGCCTCCAGGATATGTCTCCACCAGCAGTCAGCTTCTGCTCTACGCCCTGTGGCCTTGGGCAACCTTGCTGGCTCCCATTTAGCACGTCCAATTAATATTGCTCAAAGGGTGGATTTGCATGCCTTCTGTTTTACAGTACTATGTAGGGGGAGCATTTCCCACTCAGATGTAATGTCCATTGCATGATAAAGAGACACAGCTATTTCTTATGAAGTGTGTTCAAATATACCACCTCTCTCTAAACTTTTACCTTAGTTCCATCAACCCTTACTTTCCTAACTGTAGCCTTCATTAGGCCTTTACCAACAGGTTTCGGTCGTACAATTCAGTACTAGCTAGGGGAAGTGTTCCCTGGACAGACATAATATCCATTCCTATAAATCATTTAGGTAAAGAGGCACAACTTCCTTATATAAAGCCTACTTAAACATCCCAGCTTTGATCATCCTAGCAATCCTTACATTTTTATGTTCTCACAATCTTAACTGTAGCCCAAGTCAGGGCTTGCCCAGTGGGTTTTGATAGCACAGTGCTTAAGGCTCCCATATCGAGGAGTCCCAGGAATTATTCTTCACCTCCCAGACGATTTTCCCACTTGTGTCCATAAGGCTGTGGGTACCCAGCAGGGGACTGGGCCAAGACACCTTTGCTGTCTGTCAGTCTTTTTCTTGATTAATCTGCCTGACTATTGCCCCAGGCAATTTCAGATCAGATCCTTCATTGTAATCTCTGCCTCTGACTTTTTAAATTTCTCCAAACTAGGGTAAATGTAGCAAACATTTTTCAAACCCCTTTATGTCGAGAGACCAGCAGGACTTCCCTTTGATCTATCCAGCCTTCCACAGTGTTGCATTAAAACATTTGTTTTAACCTCATTTTATTTCAGTTTCCATTTTATTCATCCCAATTTTTTTTATTTTCCATAGGTTATTGGGGAACAGGTGGTATTTGGTTACATGAGTAAGTTCTTTAGTGGTGATTTGTGAGATTTTGGTGCACTCATCACTCGAGCAGTGTACACTGCACCCAATTTGTAGTCTTTTATCCCTCACTCCCCTGCGTCCCCAAAGTCCATTGTGTCATTCTTATGCCTTTGCATCCTCATAGCTTAGCTCCCACCTATGAGTGAGAACATACGATGTTTGGTTTTCCATTCCTGAGTTACTTCACTTAGAATAATGGTCTCCAATCTCATCCAGGTAGCTGCAAATGCCATTAATTCATTTTTTATGGCTGAGTAGTATTCCATCATATATATATATACCACAGTTTCTTTATCCACTTGTTGATTGATGGGCATTTGGGTTGGTTCCAATTTTTGCAATTGTGAATCGTGCTGCTATAAACATGCGTGTGCAAATATTTTTTTTGAATAATGACTTCTTTTCCTCTGGGTAGGTACCCAGTAGTGGGATTGCTGGATCAAGTGGTAATTTCTACTTTTAGTTCTTTAAGGAATCCCCACACTGTTTTCCATAGGGGTTGTGCTAGTTTACATTCCCACCAGCAGTGTAGAAGTGCTCCCTGTTCACATCCACGCCAACATGTTTTTGGGGTGCGGGGCGGGGGGTGTGGGCAGAGTCTCGCTCTGTCACCCAGGCTGGAGTGCAGTGTCGTGATGTCAGCTCACTGCAATCTCCACCTCCTAGGTTCAAGCGATTCTCCTACCTCAGCCTCCTGAGTAGCTGGGACTACTCATGCACACCACCACGCCCGGCTACTTTTTGTATTTTTGGTAGAGATGGGGTTTCACCATGTTGGCCAGGCTGATCTTGAACTCTTGACCTCCAGTGATCTGCCTACCTCAGCCTCCCAAAATGCTGGCATTACAGGTGTGAGCCACCATGGCCAGCAATTATTTTTTGATGTTTTGATTATGGCCATTCTTGCAGAAGTAAGGTAGTATTGCATGGTGGTTTTGATTTGCATTTCCCTGATCATTAGTGATGCTGAGCACTTTTTCATGTTCTTAGCTGACTTTTTGGTGGGATTTTTTGGGTTTTTTCTTGCTAATTTGTTTTATTCATCCCATTTCTTAATAGCCATCTAAAGATTTCCACCATACTGGGAAAAGTCCCATGACTCTTCTCTTTGTTTTTCCTCTGTTTCATCCCTATCGGTGTGTTCTTTTTTTTTTTTTTTGAGACGGAGTCTGGCTCTGTCGCCCAGGCTCGAGTGCAGTGGCGCAATCTCTGCTCACTGCAATCTCCGCCTGCCGGGTTCAAGCAGTTCTCTGCCTCAGCCTCCCAAGTAGCTGGGATTTCAGCTGCCTGCCACCACGCCCAGCCAATTTTTGTATTTTTGGTAGAGATGGGGTTTCACCGTCTTGGCCAGGCTGGTCTTGAGCTCCTGACCTCGTGACCCACCTGCCTTGGCCTCCCAAAGTGCTGGGATTACAGGTGTGAACAACCGCGCCCGGCCCAGTGTGTTCTTATTCACCTTATTTCTTAACAACCATAAAAAATTTCCACCTTCCTGTGAGGAGTCCTGTGACTCTTCCCCCCTACCCTTCATCATTCTCTTGTTAATTAACCTAATGTTTGTATTAGCATCTGTAAGACTCATGAGGGGAAACTGAGCAAGTACATCTCATAAGGCTTCTTGAACTATCTCTCGATTTTGTGGCAACAAGGTTAAATGGGGCATCCACATTAAAGGGGCGCCCCTAATCGCATCATTTACCATGACTTGGGTAGCAAGGCATATTCAGTGCTTGAATAATCTGGTGGTCATAAACCCAGGCCCCACATGGCATGAATACAAAGTGTATCAGCTGTTTCAGCTTGACGTTTATAGGTGGAGTCAGGCAGTCCCCCTTCTTCCAACATTCAAAACCAAAGACACTGCTCCTAAATTACTCTCACAGTGCATTTTAGTAAAGCCTCCTCAGGAAGCTGATGATACCAATCTAAAAAATGAAACAATTCCTTCACACTATACCCTCTGCTTTCAATGGCTTCTTGATTTTGCCCTTTCCTGACACTGCCTTCTTGGTGCCCAAAGTCCTTAGGGGTGCTTTCTGATGTCGCTGCATAATTTTTCCCTTGTGGGAGCGAGGTTCTGTGAGTCTACTGGCTGAAGCATAGATTGACTGAAATCTGAACTTGGTCTGGCATCGAGGTTTGGCCCAGCACTTTCTTTTTACTTTCATTCTAGCTATTACAGATAACAATAACCAAAGGGTTGCATATTTTGTTTTTTTCTTATTAGTTCGCATTTCTTCATGCATTCAGCAAACCACCTTCCAGGGAGTTAGATTGATCCACCTCTAAATTCCATTGGTAACTTTTACCTTTAGTGACTGATGCCACTCCATACCATGGGTATGGAGCTGCCACTCCATACCATGGGTGACCACATGGGCACCCAGGAATCAAAGGTTTCTCACCCCCCAACCCCTTTATCTGTTTTCTTCCCAAACATGAGCTAGGGATGTTCTAGCAGTCCCGATTCTGACACCAATTCTGAAAATGCTGAGGAATGAACAAACTCGGTTTCTCCCACTATTTTCGCATATTACAGTTGTGACACCAGATGTGTGGGGGGTTTCCCCAGGCATCAAGCAAGCAATTCATTCTGCAGCGGACACTAGCTGGGCGTCCTCCAATTCAATTCTGACACCATCTACCCAGAGAAGTGTCACATCACACAGATTGAGGGTTCAGTCTCACAAGACCACCCCCAACTTCTGATGCCAGTTGCAAGCCCCAGGTTGTTTTACCTGTGCCTCTGGCCAACCTGCTGTAAATCGGGGTTCCCGCGGCCCATTCCTCAGATTCAGTTAATTTGCTAGAGCAGCTCACAGAACTCAGGAAACATTGAGGTTTACTGGTTTATTATAAACGATATCACAGAGGATGCAGATGAAGAGGTGCATAGGGCAAGGCATGTGAGAAGGAGCACGCAGCTTCCATGACCTCCTTGCATGCGTCACCCTCCAGGAACCTCCTTGTGTTCAGCTACCTGGAAGCTCTCCGTACCCTGTCCTCTTGGGTTTTTTGGGAAGCTTCATTATGTTGGCATGATTGATTAAATCACTGGCCATTGGGGATCAACTTAACCTTCAGCCCCTCTCCTCTCCTTGGAGGTTTAGAGATGGGTCTGAAAGTTCTGACCCTCTGATCCTGCCTTGGTTTTTCCAGTGACCATTGTCCATCCTGAAGCCACCTAAGGGCAGCCGGCCTTCATTCAAATCATCAGCACACAAAAAGATACTTCATCTTCTATAGTAAGTGGGCCTACCTTACACCAAGACTGATAAAGTGAGGGGTTTTCTAAACATAGGAGAGAAAGTTCAGGTGCTGGGCACTCAAATCAAGTGACAGATGTTCACCTCGGGCATCAGCACAGTGTATGCAGTGAAGGAAAACTGCAGAATGACAGCCATGCAGCAGACCTGGAGAACCCCTAGCTAGTCTCAGGTCTGGATATCAGGAGGCCAGAGAGCTTCAGGCAGGAGGAAAAGTGGAGATTTGGTAGAATATCTGATATGATGGAGAGTTGGAAAAAATTTGAGGATTTGGTGAGGGCAAATGGTGCCAACGAGCTAGAAAGACAATTGGAAACTCCAAAGAAAACAAACAAGCTTTACAAGAAAGGATATATAGTCTCAGTATATTATTTGATACTGCAGTGAATACTGTTTATACAGTCATGATGTATAGCACTGGTTTTTTATTTAACCAAAACTAATTATGTAACTATTGGGGGGAAATGGAAGAAGTGAGATGGGTATCGTATCATTGAAGGATGTCAGTACATTAGAACTAAAATGGCTAAACCAGAAATAGCTGTGTGAGCATATCACTTAGAGATACAGAGGTGACCACCAGGAGAAATAGTAAAGGTGGTTCCCCCAGCAAGGTAGCCATTATAGGCTCTCTGAGCTAGTGGGTTTTGAAAAACCATGTGCATCTATTTGTTTTTTAATTGTCTTAAATTATTCTTAAAAACAAAATAAGTTTCTATAGGAGGGACCGCAGTCACCAGTTCATAGGTTAAATGGCTTTTATTCCAAAAGTTCTAAGTCAGTGAGATTGCTTTTCCTTTAGAAACATTCATATATATGTGGTTAGATCCCCAAACTAGTCCACAAATACAGGTTATAGTGAAATTAAAATATCCTAGTTTAGAAATCAAAAGAAGAAAAATGACCAACTTTGGAGTCCATTCTAGTAATCCAAGTGAGAAAGGATGGGGATACGGTTGGAGTTTTCTGCACACCTGTTCAGTTCACCAGTTATTCTTCTCTGAGATAGTCTGGTTTGTGATTAGGCTTCTCACCCAGCGGCTCACAGAGGATGCTACTCTCATTAGATTCTGCACTTACCTCTCACTGTAAAAAGCTGGAGAAGACTTTGGAGCCCTTCATCTTAGGTAACCTCGTCAATGACAGGTTGACACTAGGAGTGCATTTAGCTTGGCATGAAAGGGACCATAAGCTGTCCCCCTTCCTCATCATTCTGTACTCAAAGCCCCTCACTACTCACAAGCACCTCCGAACCAGGACTTTTCAAAATCTCTGCTTCTGTTCTTATTTGGACAGCCCATTCAACTCCTCTGACTTCACTCCCTTATCTGCATAACACAGCTCAAGAGCTGTCACCTCTTAACAATCTCTCCAGACCTCTACCCACTTCTCCATGCACCCCTCTTCATGCCCTCCTGGACCCACCCTGGGCTCACTGCAGTATTCATTCATAATAAATTTCCCATTGTTTCCCATTGTTTGCTTGCCTGTATACTTGTTGATAGCAGGGACCACCATGTTGCCTTTATAATCATATGCCCATGCAGGGCTTGGTACATAGCAGGCACTCAATAAATATTTGAATGGATTCAAAAATGATGAGCCAGATTGAGTTAATACATAGTTACAGCTGAAAACTAACTTTTCTTAAAATCCTCATGCCCTGACCCACTAACCTAATGGCCAGAGTCCAAGTGAGGTTCAGCTGTGGTCTGCTATGAAGCTGGAAATTCCCTCCTTTGGGTTATTTCACTGATGTACTTAACTTGGTCTTCATTCTTTTTATTTCTATTTTATTTCATTTTCCTTCTTCCTTTGTTCAAAATACCTGTCTCGTCTTTGGTTTTGAGACAAAAGGTATCATCTATCAAGTTCTATCCCTTTCCTGATCTCCTATTAACTAGGGAGAAGGGAGTTTATTTTAGCATTCACAGTTTGTTAACATACAGCAGGCCATGCCTTGTGCTTGATTTAATTTTTCCTGTGGCTCAGTGGCATGGTGGATAAGAACATCCCTTCCCTCCCCACCACGAAGCTGGATGCCCTTTCTGGTGGCATATCCCATTTCTGTTTTGAACCCGTACATATTGAATGGTACATAAGACATTCAACAGTCTAGAAAATAAGCCACCAGATTTCTGTTTAACCCCAAATGGAAATGATATTGCTTTTCTTGTTATGCAAGTAACCCACGCTCACTTTAAAATGATTTTCAAATATAAAAAAGCTAAAAAGAAGAAAGTAAAATCACCATAAGCCTACTATCCAAAGATTAATGCTTTTCAACTATTTGGTGTGTGGTATGTATCCTTAGATACTTGCTTTCTATGCATATAATTTTCTTACAAAAATAGTTTTACTATTCACACCTGCTTTTTTTAAGTTACATATGTCGCTGTACATCATTATTAATTACATAACATTTCAAGATATAAATGTATAATAACTTACTGAATTTTTCTTCTGAGGTTGGGCATTTATGTTGCACATATAGGCCGGGCACGGTGGCTCACACCTGTAATGCCAGCACTTTGGGAGGCCGAAGCGGGTGCATCACCTGAGGTCAGGAGTTCGAGACTAGCCTGGCCAACATGGTGAAACCTTGTGTCTATTAAAAATACAAAATTAGCCGGGTGTGGTGGTGCACGCCTGTAATCCCAGCTACTTGGGAGCTGAGGCAGGAGAATCACTTGAACCCAGGAGGCAGAGGTTGCAGTGAGTGGAGACTGCACCATTGCACTCTAGCCTGGGCAAAAAGAGCGAAACTCCACTCAAAAAAATAAAATAAAAATATGTTGGACATATGTGGAAAAATCAAATATTCAAGAAACAGGCTGTGCTGTTTTTAATAGACAAACCCTAGAAACAACCTAAATGTTGAGGATGTACTCCAAGAAGTAGAAGTGCCAGTTAGTATGGTAATAATGTATATGTAGACACATTGCTTTTTCAAATAAGATTAAAAATTGCAGAAATGTAAACATGAAGTCATTACTCATTTAATTTGACTTCCCAGAGATAACCACCATTAACATTTGGTGTGGATCTATTTTCAGGCCTTTTTCTCTATGGATTTAGGAAAAATTTTAGTGAAGTCTGTGGTTTCATATTTTTTTATATTACACATATCTCTGCAACTTTAATTTTTCTCCTTTATATTTCTTGAAAGTCTTTTGAAGTCATCTATAGAGATTAAACTCCAGCCTGCCCCCCCTCCAACACACACACACACACACACACACACACACACACACACACACACTCACATCTATCCCTTCTGCAGGTTGGTAACATTGGAGCTTTGTAATTTACCTGCCAAGGGACTTTGGGAATTTATTCCTTGGTTCATTCAAAATAAATAAGTCAATTTGACTGAGTGCATGCCATATGCAAGGCTCTGGGGAAACTAAGCTGCTTATGACCTGAGCTTAGAGTCCAGTGAGGAAGCCTGGAGTATGCATTTGTCATGGTGGTAAAATCGTGCAGTGGCAGCATGGATGTTGCTATGGAAGCAGAGGAAGGAATCTCAATAAGGCCAAGGGTGTCATGGTCACTGACAAATTATTGCATAGACTGAGGTTCAAATCCTGGTATCTGTGCTGAACGTGGAGGCTCACATCTGTAATCTCAACACTTTGGGAGGCTGAGGTAGGAGGGTCATTTGAGCATAGGAGTTCAAGATTGGCTTGGACAAAATAGCAAGACCTCATCTCTACCAAAAAAAAAATTAGCCACTCATGGTAGTGCTACTCAGGAGGCTGAGGTGGGAGGCTTGCTTGAGCCAGGAGTTTGAGGCTTCAGTGAACCATGATCACACCACCGCCCTCCAGCTTGGGTAACAAAGCTAGACCCTGTCTCTAAAAAAATAAAAAATAAGAATTCTAGTATCTGTCCCTTGTTAACTGAGACCTCGGGTAAATCCTTAACTTCTGTCTCAGTGCAAGCTGGGTGTAATAATACCTACCCCACAATGCCAGCATGATTATTCATTGGAAAAATGATTATAGGAGAGGAGTATTGAATGTCCATTAGTATATGTCTGCTTAAGTAAATAAATCGTGGCATATTAATTAATACAATATTATGCAGCTATGAGAAATGAGATCATTCCATGTGTTCTGATAAGGTCTAACTCGGACATATGTTATTAATAGAAAAGTGTGTGTTTTGCTACGATTTATGGGAAAAACTTTTTAAAGATGGGATGGTAGATAGTCTAGGTAAATACAAGTATGTATATAGCTATCTGAAAGGATATCCAAGTAACTTCATAGTGCTTGCCTTTGAGGAAGGGAACTGGGATCAGGAGTAGGGAGAAAGTTTGCTTTCCATTTATACTCATTTATGCTGCTTAAATTACCATATACATTTATTATATGTAAAGAAGAGTTTTTAAATCAGGAATAAAATAAAGTGTGTCATTAAGGCAATATCAACTTAATCTAGCTATTCAAATATTTTTACATGGGACTTTTCACAATCTTTTCATGAAGTAGTTATAAGCATGGACTTGTAGGTGTGCTTACTGGCTATAGAATCTTGGAAAAGTCAGTTAATCACACTAGACCTCCCTTTTCTTCTATAAAATAAGAATTAATAATAGCCACCTTATTAAGGGTGTTGTGAAAATAAGATAACAAAATTGAGTGGAAAACAGTTAACATGGTGCGTAGCATATTATAAGCACTCAAATATTTGTTGTGTAATAATTAATACTAAAGGTCTGTATCTATCAGTGGTATTAATAATAATCTAATTCAGCTGCCTTATACCAAAAAGGGATATTTGTGGGCTCACACAAATGAAAGTCTGTGGCATGTGTGCCTTTGGGTATGGCTGTATCTAGCACCTCCCTTGAAGGGATTGGGACTCAGCCTTTCCCCAGCTCTTCTGTGTTGGCTCACTTCCCAAGTAGCTCCAGGCTCGCACCCTACTGGCCTAATAATGCCCAGTGAAAAGAACCCAGTACTTTCCCAGTGGTTCCCAAGAAAAATCCCAGGATTGACTGACCCTTCCTGCATTGGTCATGGTCTCATCTTTACCCCAGACACTTGAGCCTTGGGATTGAGGCCAGGATTCAGTACTCACCTCTGCAACTTTGATGGGAAGAGTCGTCCTAATGTTGATCAGTCTCAAGTCTTGTCTTTTCATGCTTGGAGACTAATAGAAACTAAGAACATCAGTAGAGCTCCTTCCCCAGTGGAAAAAAAATAGGGGCAACAAATATCAGGCAGGCAGACTATAGATGTTCCCCACTGGCTCCAGTGGTAATTCTTTTGGGGTTTTGTGGTTTTTTTTCGTTTTGAGAGAGAGAGATGGGAGACTTGCTGTGCTGCCCAGGTTGGTCTCAAACTCCTGGGCCCAAGTGATCCTCTTGCCTCAGTCTCCCAAGTACCTGGGACTACAGGCGCATTACCATTGCACCCAGCTCTAACTACATACATTTTCCTACATAGATTTTCAGAACTGCTTACCAGTACAACTGTTTCTTTGCAGAGGCATGTTAACGTCCATGGGGCTGAGGTTTTAACGTTAGCACATACCTTGTTTATAGTACAAGTTACCCTTGAAAGTACTGCCGGAAGGTGCCACATGGAGTTCCACACAGAATCTCACAGAGCCAGGCTTTACCACTGCTTGGAACCAAATGGCCCATCCTTCTGTTGATTACTGGATAAGTTGGCTGTTTTACTGGTAGGGGCCATGTAATGTAAAGATCTGTGCATAAACAATGAATACCTCTCCAATCAGTACGATGCTCACGCTGTGAACTAACAAAAATTGAGATGACCAAGAGAAGAGATTTCCATCTACCCTGGTGCTCAGCCCAGGGCAGGGTGGTGTAGACAGAGCTCACCCGCACTATTTAAATCCTGTCATATAGTTTTTTGTTTTACCAGGCATGTGTGCTTGAATTTGCTAAGTTAAGCATTAAAATAATGCTGCTCCATCAAATATCAAAATTCTTAGCCCTTTTTCAAGAGATTCTAATTATTGCACCCATGTTCAGATCTGAGACCAAACAGGTAATATGTGGTCCCCACAAATCCAGTTCCGCCCTCCCTGTTCACTCAACAGGGGAGGAAAAATAACAGGATAACCCAACGGGAACCTCCCTTCTGAAAAGGGGAAATGACATAAAGTGCTCACCTCCTGCTTCTTGTCATGTCCTCCACAGGGACAGCAGTTTGTAGAGCCTATAAGTCCACCCCAAGTTCCACCTCCTGGGAGGAATTCTGGGGCTGCCCCTTCTTCACACCTCACTTATTTCTGGCGTGGCTTTTGGACCTAGTGATTGATTTCCTTAGAGGTTCAACATCATGGACCTTCACTTTCTAGACTTAGTGATTCTTTCGCAATAAAAGTGCCTTGCAATTTTAGTAGCTTGTCCATCTAGCATTCAAATTTGGTCAATTTATGGTTTGGTGCTTAGTAACGAGAGTTACACATGAAGACTAGTCCCGGTCTTTCGAAGTTAAGTCTCAGTCACTTAGCAGCAGACATGGAAATTTCCCTAACCTACAGTTTAATGGTTCCATAGGCCTTTGCCTCATGGCAGTCTGAAACAGCAGCCTGGGAGGGAGAGATAAAACTAGTATGCCCCCAGCCTGCTGACCAGTGGGTGGTTCTTTACTGCTGAGGCACGGCCCTAGGTCCCTAGGAGTTCTGGGTCCCAGACTCTTTTCCAAGTTTGCCTTCTTTCTGTTCACTTTATTTTCATTTTTTGAGACAAGAGTCTTTCTCTGTCATCCAGGCTGGATTGCGGAGGCACCAACCTCCACCTCCCAGGTTCAAGCAATTCTCATGCCCCAGCCTCCCAAGTAACTGGAACTACAGGTGCATGCTACCATGCTGGGCTACTTTTTGTATTTTTAGTAGAGTTAGGGTTTCACCAGGCTGGTCTCAAACTCCTGACCTCAGGTGATCTGCCTACCTCGGCCTCTCAAAGTGCTGGGATTACAGGCGTGAGCCATTGTGCCCAGCCCATTTGTTGACTTTAATTTGGGCAGAGAATACAGCTCTATGTCTCCTTAGATTGCTTTCTGTAGAGAAGGCCTCCATAGCAAAGCTGTTTTCTTTGAGGCGGGCCAGCCTCAGATGAAGTTTCTCTCTATCTGTAGTATCTTCCTGGCGGTCACAAGAAGTGACCAACACACTCTGCCACTCTCTAACAAGGCCTGCCAACTCCCTGTCACACCATAGCCATCTTGACTCAGCCAGTTCCATAAGCTGTCACTGGCAACAGCACAATTCTAGGTTCCCGACTCAAAACACTTGAAGCAGCTGGGCACGGTGGCTCACGCCTGTAATCCCAGCACTTGAGGAGGCCGAGGAAGGCGGATCACGAGGTCAGGAGATCAAGAAGATCCTGGCTAACATGGTGAAACCCCGTCTCTACTAAAACTACAAAAAATTAGCCGGGCGTGGTGGCGGACGCCTGTAGTCCCAGCTACTCGAGAGGCTGAGGCAGGAGAATGGCATGAACCCGGGAGGCGGAGCTTGCAATAAGTTGAAATTGCACCACTGCACTCCAGCCTGGGTGACAGAGCGAGACTCCGGGTCTCAAAAAAAAAAAATGCTTTAAGCAAAAAGGAGAGTTTATTGGCTAATGTAACTGGAAAGTCTGGGAAAGACCAACAGTTGCCCCCAGGGCATGACCAGAGCCAGAGTTTTGAGTGGTGGTCTCAGACCCCTCTCTCTCCTTCTCTCCACTCTGCTTTCCCCTGGGAAGGCCCCATTCTCAGGCAGCTTTAGGCTCCTCACTTACCAACCTTACTGGAAAGACATACCTGCTTCTTGCCAGATAGTTCCAGAAACATTCCTGGGGTTAGCCTTTGCTCCTCCAGCCTTGGTCATAAGCCATTCAACCTGTTCGCGGTGGGGGCGGGGAGGGCAGGATGGGCCACAATGATTAGCCAGGCCTGGATCACCTGTGTGCACAGATGCGCTTAGACCAGGAAAGGGATGGCTCCCCAAGGAACAAACAGGGAGCTTCTGCCTGATAAAGAGTGAATGTTTGCTGGACCAACCACAGCAGGCCCACACAAGGACTTGACAGAATGGCTGGGAGGGGAAGATGAAGTCCAGCAAGCAGATTGTCCTTCCGGAGCCATTAGAATGATGTTTAACTTAGCACTGCAGTAGAAAGATAAGGTGTGCCACTGAGGCAAGCCACATCGTAAAATATATATATAAAGAAACAGATGAAATAATTTTAATGCTACATCTGACCCATTAACAACATTGGGGTTAGAGGTGCCCTGACACAGTCAAAAATTTAGATAGATCTTTTGACTCCCCTAAACTTAACTAATAGCCTGTTGTTTGGGGTTTTCATTATTATTTTAGTGATGGGGGGTCTTGCTACGTTGATCAGGCTGGTCTTGAACTCTTGGCCTCAAGTCATCCTCCTGAGTAGCTGGGATTACAGGTGTGATCCATGCACCCAGCCCTAATAGCCTACTGTTGACTAGAAGCCTTACCAATAACATAAACAGTCATTAACACATTTCATATGGTATATGTATTATATACTGTATTCTTACAATGAAGTTAGAGAGGAAATGTTATCAATAAAAGAAAGTTTGGAATGAATGAAAGTGGAATCCACAGGATAGATTTCCCTCATCAGCCAAGCAGGACTAGAGGTGAGGGTGTGTGAAATAGGCCGTGCTGGGCAGAGCTGGGCTTTGCCTGAGTGTCTTACTCTTTTCCCTTATGATCTAAAGCCAGGTTTCTCCAACTTTAAGGTGTATCAGAATCACCTGGAAGGCCTGTTAGATTGCTCAGCCCCATTCCCAGAGTTTCTGATCCAATGCATCTTAGGTATGCTCTGGAATTTGCGTTTCCTAGCAGCTGAACTTGGTCCAGGGTTCAAAGTGTAGAAGGCATATGGGCATATAAAGCAGCTGGATGAAAAAAAAATCATAAGGAAGAGAAAATAGATTTACTATTCATTACTGGAAGTGGATCATCATAAAATTCATCCTCGTTATCTTCACATTGAGGAAGGTGTGGTGAAAGAAAAGAGGAGGGGTTGGTCTTACTGTCTCAGGGATGACAGAGGAAGAAGAAAACCCACATATAGGTGGACACACTCATGGCCGGGTGCAGTGGCTCACGGCTGTAATCCCAGCACTTTGGGAGGATGAGGCAGGAGGATCACTTGAGCCCAAGAGTTCAACACCAGCCTGGGCAACATACAGAGGCCCCATCTCTACCCAAAAAAAAAAAAATTTAAATTAGCCAGACATCATGGTGTGCACCTGTGGTCCCATCTACTCAGGAGGCTGAGATGGGAGGATTCCTTGAGCCTGGGAGGACAAGGTTGCAGTGAGCTGAGATCACACCACTGCACTCCAGCCTGGGCGGCAGAGCAAGACCCTGTCTCTAAAAAAATAAAATCAGTGGAAACGGACAGTCCAAACCCATGTTGTTCAAGGGTCAGTTGTATTTTATTTATTTCATTTAACATGTGATCACTACTAAAATTGTTGAGATATTTTACCCTGTTTTGTACTAAGTCTTCGAAATTCAGTGTGTATTTTACAATTATAGCACATGTCAGTTTGGATGAGCTAGTAACCAGTGGCTATCGTAGTAGACGGTGCAGGGTTAGCTGGTAACTTTCCATAGAGGGGCTGAATATCTAGCTTCCGCTGATAAGTTATTACTTACGTTTTCACATCACGGGGAGTTGTTTTGAAATTGCAACTCTCGGCTGGGTACAGTGGCTCACGCCTGTAATCCCATCACTTTGGGAGGCCAAGGTGGGCAGATCACCAAAGATCAGGACTTCGAGACCAGCCTGGCCAACATGGCGAAACCCCGTCTCTACTAAAAATACAAAAATTAGCTGGGAGTGGTGGCGTGCACCTGCAGTCCCAGCTACTTGGGGAGGGCTGAGGCAGGAGAATCACTTGAACTCAGAGGCAGAGGTTGCAGTGAGCCAAGATCGCGCCACTCCACTCCAGCCTGGGCGACAGAGCAAGACTCTGTCTTAAAAAAAAGAAACTGCAAATCTCCTCATTAGAAGAATCTGCCTGAAAATGAGCCTAAATACATATTTTTGTGCTGAGTGTCCAGTTGGTGCCATTTATTTTCTAAAACACCTGTCATACCCATACAATTAGTACTTAACAACTGCTTAACCATCTATCTTTTCTCTTGGACTCGAAGCCCCTTATCTATCTTGCTTACTAAGCCCAATGCCTAGGTACCTAGAAGACGCTATGTGGATATTTTAAAATTTAATTGGAGTTAAATTAAAAACTTAGATAAGGGCTTCTCATTTGCTAGGCTTGATAAGAAAATGGAGAAAGTAATAGTGGTTGAAGCCCAAGATTGCATGTTTGCAGTATTTGTTTTCCCGATGAAGGGCCGTTTGTAGTCTGTGACTAGTTGTGTTACGATCCAATCACCCTTTCTCTCATTGAATATACAGTATATAGAGAGAGTGATTGAAAATCTACAGAAACCCAGGCTCTGTGCCAAGCACTGGGTATACAAAGATAAATGGGAAACAGTCCCTGCCTTAAAGGAAATGAGAAACAGATAAGTCTTACAGTAATACCGAATAAGTGTCATGATACAAATAAACACAGAGTGTTTGGGGAGCACAAGGAAGGGGGTCCAACCCAGGTCGGAGAATGGGAGATGGGCAGGAAAGACTCACTGTGGAAAGGGAATTTAAGCCCCACGGCGCCTGTGATATTCTTAGCATCCAACCCCATGCCAGGCACATGATGTGTTGAATCAATGAACAAAGTGACTCCTGAACCTAATGCTGAAGGATCGCTGTGTTTGTCCATCTGGGTGTGGACGGATGATCACGGCAGGTGAAGAGAGTGTGCATGACAACCCAGCCTACAACGCTAGAATCCTGGCTCTAGGGAATGACAAGATGCTGAGTGGGGTGGAGCAGAGGGGTGAGAGCTGGCATGAGCCTGCAGCATTTGGCAGGCCAGCCCACAAACTGCCTCCCTTCTTGTTCTTGTCCATATGACCGGTGACGAGAGATCGCACTTTCTTATTACAGGCAAAGCGAAGGCTGGAGCTAGGAGAAAGCGGTCATCAGTACCTCTCAGATGGTTTAAAAACCCCCAAGGGCAAAGGAAGAGCTGCACTACGAAGTCCAGATAGTCCAAAAAGTAAGGATCTTTTCATCTCTTTCCTTATTCTCCTTGGTATGGCATTTCCAAGTTTCAAAGCTTATGGCCGGAAGGATGCCAAGGTGTGAATAATTCTGGCATGTTTTGTTCTTTTTCATTTCTTTCTGTGCTTATCCAAAAAAATAAATACAATGTCAGCAGACAACCAGTGAAAGGCTACAGAGTCACACTGGTACCATAAGGGAAGACTTCTTTTAACTGTATGTAGTTTCATTTTTCAACTCGGAATACGAACTTTTGGCACCATTCTATATCAAATTTAATTTTAACTTCCCTTAATGGACATTGCTTCAGAGTCTGAGGCAAACTGGATGTCCACGAACTATGCCAGAGTCACCAGTGTCTGTGCCGACCTCAATCTCCAGCTCAGCATATGATAGCGTAAGAATTGATTGAGCCCGATAAATTGCAGGCTGTTTCTCTTTCTATCAAATACTATTACCGTTTCTTGTGGGAGAGAGAGAAACGTAGGTTAGAAATAGCCAACTAGTCCCATTATGTATGTGTTTGCATTTAACATAAGGGCTAAATTAGACTTTGTTCTCTCTCTTCCTTTAGTTCATGCATTAGGCAATCCACAAATTGTGTGACACTAAATTAAAACCTTGACCTGTGCACCTATGGGGGAACAAGTACAATATTAAGTAAGGAAATTTCCTTTAAGAGAGATGGGGAGATTTGGCAGAAGACTTTTCCAGGTAATTATTTATCAAAATGAAGCATTGTTTGGAAAATTGGTGAACAGGTGATACACGCACACACAGATACCAGAGCCTGAAAGGCCATTTGAGATGGGTCTGTTTAAGACCTTGTCCTGCAGTGCTAGTGAGACTCATAGCCTGGCTCCATCACCGTAGGCCTCGTGTGTGCTGGTCCCCTGAGGCCACAGCACTCTTTCATTCATTTGACAGATATTTTTTAGCGCCCGCTATATGTAAATTCTTCATTGGAGCCAGGGAATGGTGTAAGTCAAGGTAGAAACTCTTGAGAAATTCAAGGTGAAATGCTTTAATCAAACCCTGGAATTTTTACCTTCCCTTCCTGCTCTAATAAAAAACTTTCATAGCTTTCTATGACTTGCCAACACCAACAGCAACGACAGCCTTGCTTCAGATACTAATACTTTGGCTGCAGTGGGAAAGAGAGCTTGCTTGACTGCAAAGACACCCTTCATTTCTTTACCTTTCCCCCTATCCCCCACCCGCTCGGTTTTTGTTTTTCTTTAAGCTCCAAAATCTCCCTCAGAAAAAACGCGGTATGATACGTCTCTTGGTCTGCTCACCAAGAAGTTCATTCAGCTCCTGAGCCAGTCACCCGATGGGGTATTGGATTTGAACAAGGCAGCAGAAGTGCTAAAAGTGCAAAAGAGAAGGATTTATGATATCACCAACGTTCTGGAAGGCATCCACCTCATTAAGAAGAAGTCTAAAAACAACGTCCAATGGATGTGAGTAGGAGTCCTCCCCATGCCCCGGCTCTGAGGGGGTCGTTTCAAACTGCCTGGTTTCTTAGTTCCTCACTTTCACATCCACGCCCACACGTTCTTTTCTTTTCTCTCCTACTGTTTTCTTCTCTCTCATTCTCTCTTCCCTCCTCAGCTTCTAAGCCAGAAGTTTGAAGTCTCTTTACAAAGAGACTTTGTTTAGATACTGTCAGAGATAAAAGGATTTATATTTGATGAGCATCCAGCAACGGCATCCTTAAAGAGGTCCCTGCAGTTGGAAAGTGGACTGCTGTTCATCTGTTACATAGATGTCTGTGTGCACCCACGTGTGTATCTGACAGATGTGTACACGTCTTCAGCTTGTTTCTAATAAGAATCTGGAAATGATGGCTTATGGGTTATCTATGTGTATACGTACAACTGCATAGTTACAGAATATCTTTATCCATGGTTCTAATAGCAGATTAACTCACTTTCTGGGTAAATTAAGGCAAGACTTAAATGCCTCCATTTCGTCTGTAGAGCAGGGATGGTAGCATGATACTTATACAGCCACACGTATGATTACATATGTAATATATTTTGTGAATTTTAGAGCATCTAAATAGCCACTATAAGCACAGTATTGAATTATTAAAGCATTTTGGAAGGAATAATTCTGTTACAGGAGGGCTTTGAAAAGATACTAATTCAGATGGAAGATGAATACATACCTTTTTTTGCACATTTTGGAATTTTGTTGACAGTTTGGTAACCCGTTTTGGCCTCTGGTTTAGAGAAACATATTGTGCACTAGTCTCAGTTCTTGCATACATCACATACATCTGTTTCCTTTACTTTCTTTTCTTTTTAGTTGTTGATATAAGACCCTCAGTAATTACCTGAGTTTTTGATGCTTTTTTGGATGGGTTGTTTTTTTGTTTTTTTTTTTTTTTAATTTTGAACCATTCCATCTTCTCTGTCTTTCTCTATCTTTTTATCCTTTTTCGCCTTTCTTCCCCCACCACCTGGGAGCCATGAGGCAAGGGAGGAAGGTGGTTGCCTTCTTTTGCCCTCTGAATTTGAACCTTCTGAAGAAGTAGACCTCCCCTGGAGGAAAGAATCCTGAAAATAGCAGTGCGCTTTCACTAAATTTCTATGCTGTGAAAAGTGCAGAACTGTATTTATGAAAAAAAAAATATATATATATATATATATATGTGTAAATGTTCTAATTTTAACACTTGGCTAACAAGCAATGTGACCTCCTATGTCAAGAGGAGACATTTACCCAAAGGATCATTTCTCCTTCCCCTCCCTCCCATGAGTAGCCATGAAGAGTCTGTGTTTGGGTTTCTAGGGGCTGCAGTCTGTCTGAGGATGGGGGCATGCTGGCCCAGTGTCAAGGCCTGTCAAAAGAAGTGACCGAGCTCAGTCAGGAAGAGAAGAAATTAGATGAACTGATCCAAAGCTGCACCCTGGACCTCAAACTGTTAACCGAGGATTCAGAGAATCAAAGATATCCTTTGTGCCGCCAGTTCTCTGGGGGTTAGTGCTTCCTAGACTATTTCCAGAGTTGACAATCTGACTTATGCACAAGGTAGATTATTATTCTGATGTCATGCAAATGAGTACCTGTGTGCCTGTGTGTGTATGTGTGTGTGTGTGCACGTGTGTGTGTAAACCCAGTTAGCTTTGCCTAAAAAGTCAGTATTTATGGTAAGATAGTCACCAACTCGATCCTATTATTATCTATTTTGATACCAGGTGGGAACTGTTTTTTAAAGCATTTTTTCATGTGTGGTTGAGACATGGGTATACTCGTAGCGTAAGGCCACACTATTAAAAGATACATAAGGTGTCGGTATTAATATTAATGACAACACTAAGCAGATTCGTCTTTGGCTTCCCAGATTTTTGGTGGGTGTTAGCTGTCACTGTTGGGGTTCTCACATTCTATTTTCTTCTCACCAGATATCGTAGCAATTGAAATTGGTTGAATCTATCTGATTGGGCTATAGTTGAAGGGTTTGAAAGAGTAGAGAAAAATCATACTATAACTCTTAAAGTGCATTCTGCTGATTCCCAATGAAAAAACTGATTTCAAAAGCACCCCAAGACCTGAGAAACCCCTCTCAATTCCTCTGTTCCACTACAAACATTAGTCCTCGCAAATAAAAATACAAAAGGTCAGTTCTTGTTCTCAACTTCCTGACAATCTATTGACGATCTCAGGAAAACTTGCTCTTCATCATCTCACTACAGACAAAGTAAGAGAGAGATTGCCTCATTATGTCAAACAAGACTTGCCAATATTCTCAGTTATTAGAAGACAAAAAACAGTACTGTAAGTTATCCCATCTCTAGTTTTAGTTCCAAACTTCTGATGATTGCACATTTACCATTATTTGACAAAAACTAAAAAGTGTTCTGCCCAGATTCTTCTAGTGTCTCATCTTTAACAGGCTCCCCCTTGGAGAATATGGAGATATTTATTTTCTTCCAATGTTGGCAGTTTTTCAAACCTGCAATTGTTCATTTCCTGTTGACCAAAGAATTAACCTTGTCAGCCGATAATTAGTGAGATGGAAGAGAGGCGTAGTGATTTGGACCCCCAGTGGTTGGCAGAGTGGGTTTACAGGGGAAGAAACCAACAGTTGGGCTGTTTCATTCATTGTTTGGTTGGGAGCCCCATTGTGGAAGAGATGGGTGGTTACATGTGATTGGCAGCCTTCCGGGACATGTGGCTTATGGCATTGTCACCTATATTAGCTCTCTCTGGGGCCTTTGTTGCAGAAAATGAAAGCTTCCTTGCAGGGAACTTCGAACCCAAGGAGTAAATTCAGGAGGGAGCCACAAAGGAAGCACTTTTAAGTTTGTAAGATTAGAAAATACATTTGCACAATTTATTTCAGTTCACCATTCAGTTCCCAAATTGGTACAGCTTGTTCACAAATGTGTTGAAATTTTCCTTCCTGCAGCATGTTGAGTAATCGTAGATGAGTTTTTCTTTTACACTTGATCTTAGCCAAAAGGCCAAGAAGTGATGAGTTTTTATTTTAATAAGTTCTTGTCATACAGCTTTTTGACAGTGAGCTGTAGTGTAAGTACCTGGTTGTCAGTTTTTTCCAGTGTTCTCAGTAAAAAATCAGAACTGCCTGGCCCTCTATAAAGGCATCCGTTGACTTCTTTGATGGGTTATGTAGTGACCTAAAACCCAGAATCCTGCAAGAGCAGCCACTACAAGCTCAACACTGAATTAGCCATCATCTCAACTGTAAAGATTTGAAGGAGATAGTCTGTGATAGATCCCCTACATGTGTATGCAGATTTCGTGTGAATGTGCTTTCTTTCTGGAGTAGTAGTTCCATAGCTGCATTCAGTTTCTAATAAGAAGCTACTACAGCCAGGCACGGTGGCTCATGCCTGTAATCCCAGCTACTCGGGAGGCTGAGGCAGGAGAATCACTTGAACCTGGGAGACAGAGGTGGCAGTGAGCTGAAATCGTGCCACTGCACTCCAGCCTTAGTGACAGAGTGGGAGTCCGTCTCAAAAAAAAAAAAAAAAAGAAGCTACTATCGTAAGGGACATGATTTATTCTAGGGTCTCTAAGCCCCCCCTTTTTTTTATATTAAACATATTAGATCACGGACTCTATTAGCCATTAAATACGTTATACTACCTGCTGAAATGCCTTCATTGGTTTGTTACTTGCTGTTTTATCCTAGGAATTTTTTGTGGGTACATATAAAAAATAATAACGGGCTAAAGACATTGTACATTAATTGAATACTTTTGTCATATCGTAAGTACCATATTCTTTCATGATAGCCTTTTAGGCTTGGCTGTCAGGACATTTAAAAGAATGGTTCAGTGCTTAGAAAAAATGACCAAGGCCGGGCGCCGTGGCTCACACCTGTAATCCCAGCACTTTGGGAGGCCGGAGGCAGGCAGATCACTTGAGTCCAGGAGTTCAAGACCAGCCTGGGCAACAGGGTAAAACCCCATCTCTACTAAAAATAAAAAAAATTAGCCGGGTGTGGTGGTGCACGCCTGTAGTCCCATCTGTTTGGGAGGCTGAGGCACGAGAATCATTTAACCCCAGAGACGGAGGTTGCAGTGAGCTGAGATTGGGCCACTGAACTCCAGCCTGGGTGACAGAGCAAGATTCTGTCTCAAAAAGAAAAAGGAAATAACTACCAAGAGTACTGAGATATTATACTTTTCTCTTTTCCTAAATCAGTGTTTCTCAAATTCATTCAAGTCGCAGAGCACCTGGAAACTGCTTTCTTCCTCATGAACACTGAAATATTGATAGAGTTAATATAGTATCACGCAAAGCATAATTTTTCTAACAGAAATAATGACACTCTTTTCTGTAGGCAGTACATAATCACAACCAGCCCAGGTGCACTTAAGAAAACAAGCTGTCTGCCTGAGCAGTATTCTGAGTTCCTCCACTAATGTATTTGTTACTTATTTATTTACTTGGTGGCTGCTGACACTTGCTTGTAGATAGAAGTAACTGGAGTTTCAAAAAAATTATGGCTAATAGAGATTACATTTTTTTTTCCTGCAAATTGGAATCTGCCATCATTCAGTTTGAGTGACAGAACACTTTATTGGAGTTCATGGAATGCCTGTGCTGCAAAGGACCCTGGCTTCAAGATAAAATTTCTGACCACTTAGTTTTTTATTTTCTTATGATCATTTATTTTAACTGTTCTGTTTCTATGTTTAATATTTTAAATAGCCATAGTCTTTTTAGAAATGGGCGGGATAAAGCTATTCATTTCTTTAGTTGTTTAGAGTGTCAACCAGAAATGAAGATTCATGGGAGACCCTAAACATTTGCACATCCAGAAGGGGAGACATACACATACTTTTTTGAGAAGGAGTCTCGCTCTGTCGCCCAGGCTGGAGTGCAGTGGCGCGATCTCGTCTCACTGCAAGCTCCACCTCCCGGGTTCATGCCATTCTCCGGCCTCAGCCTCCCGAGTAGCTGGGACTACAGGCGCCCGCCACCACGCCTGGCTAACTTTTTGTATTTTTAGTAGAGACGGGGTTTCACCGTGTTAGCCAGGTTGGTCTCCATCTCCTGACCTCATGATCCACCCGCCTCGGCCTCCCAAAGTGCTGGGATTACAGGTGTGAGCCACCGCGCCCGGCCACATATGCATACTTCTAAGTCATAAAATACTTTAAAATATTCCATGCATCTATTTTGTCATTTTCATCATACTTATATCTGAGGTAATTAGATGGAAGATTCCTTGACACTCTTTACGTTAGCTTATGTTACATATCAAGATATTCGAAAAATTAGTGGCCTTAAAGACCAAACTGTTATAGTTGTGAAAGCCCCTCCAGAAACAAGACTTGAAGTGCCTGACTCAATAGAGGTAAGGAGACAGCGTCTTTGTTCATCTGCAAAGATCTTTGTGGAATGCCTGAAATTGAATGACTCATTGACTCATAGTTAAAGTCTGTCCCCCTCCTATGAACTTGATGGTTCTTTCCCATTTATTTTACTTAACCATACATTTGAAAACATTTCAATGGTTTGATGTTCATTGAGTATTCAAACAACCTAACTTTGACCTAGCAGGATGTTCAGTTCAAAGTGGTATATGATGCGCTGTCCCTCTCATACTTTCTCTTTTTCATAATTTGTCATCAACGGTTTTGATCAATTTGAATCACTTTGGAAAGTTTATATTGATTATCCTGTATATGGTCCCCACCACGAACAGATATATAAATGTTTTAAAGTCTCTCCCTAACTTATAACATTTTGAGAGATCACATGGGGCTTTGGGTTAGCTGATAGACTAGAATATTGCAAGAAAGTAGGGGGCATATTTTTGTAATTTTCAGATATACTTGGATAATAGAGGCCTAGACTACAACTATAACATAAAGAGTTGTAGTAAAAAGAAAATGCATAGGAGATAAAAAGAGAATGAAAGTTACACGCTTCCATCTAGGGTAGACTTCTTACCTTAAAAGATAATAATAGCTCTTTGACCTAGATGAAAAAGATTTTTAAATGTTGGTATGCTGCATTCTCTTAATAGATGCAGTTCCTAGCACTTAAGAATACTATTCATCAGTATACAGTTCAACATGAAAAAGTCCTACCATAAAGGAACAATAACATGGAGATACTGAATTTGGAACACTTAAAGGACCTTGTAATAATTTGCAGAAAAAGAATATATCCAAAGAACACAATTCACCTCACCCATTGTGCTATTTTCAGAATGACTCCCCTCTCCCCCAAGCCCCACTAAAATAGTTTTCTTTCTCTAGGGCAGGACTCAGCAAACTTTTTCATTGAAGTGCCAGGTAGATAGTAAATATTTTTGGCTTTGCGAGCCGTACAGCCTGTGTCTAGACTATTCAACTGTGCACCTCTGACATTGTGATACGAAAACAGCCAGAGGCAATAATAAACAATGGGAATGGATGTGACTCTCTTCCAATAAAACTTTATTTACAAAGCCACTTGGTGAACTGGATTTGGCCCTTAGGCTGTGGTTTGCTGACCCCTGCTCTAGAGGATGACAGTCTTTCATAGAGTTGGACTAGTAGGGAAAAAGCAAGTGAAAAACGAACATTGTTCTTACTTTCCATTTTTAGACAAGAATTACTATGGCTTTTATTTCTAAAAGAACTTCTGATTCGAACTTCTCCCACTTCTGTTCATAGAGCCTACAAATACATTTGGCAAGTACCCAAGGGCCCATTGAGGTTTACTTATGTCCAGAAGAGACTGAAACACACAGTCCAATGAAAACAAACAACCAAGACCACAATGGGAATATCCCTAAACCCGCTTCCAAAGGTAAAAACTCCACTTTTGTCTTTTAGAAACTATGTTAAAAATGAGGGTGACTAGAACCATCTGTATTGGAACCACAAGCCTAGGCAAGAAACACAAACTTCTATTGGTATTAGGTAACATGTTTTAAAAGACATTCTGACTGGTTTGCAGAAGAAAATAATGATTTGGGAAAAACGGCTCCTTCACCCACTTATGGAGTCGCTTCAGGCTTTTGCTATTGGCAGAGAATGTTTCCTTACAGCATTTTTGAAAACCAGCTAAAGTGAGGAGCAAAGCTGTGAACTGTCTTGTTGGATCATCAGAGACACTTGGCCACACACCTTTGAATCACACTGCAGAGCTCATCAGAGAGGGAAATGAAAAAGGTTTGAGGAGAAAAGCCTTTGTTGGAGAATTTTTGTCTTATTTTCCCCCCCAATGAGATGGGGAGAGGATATGGGAGGAGAACGCTAGGAAAGTAAGTCTTGCCGGGTGCGGTGGCTCACACCTGTAATCCCAGCACTTTGGGAGGCCGAGGCAGGCAGATCACGAGGTCAGGAGATCGAGACTGTCCTGGCCAACACAGTGAAACCCTGTCTCTACTAAAAATACAAAAATTAGCTGTGCGTGGTGGCACGTGCCTGTAATCCCTGCTACTCGGGAGGCTGAGGCAGGAGAATCACTTGAACCAGGGAGTCGGAGGTTGCAGTGAGCCGAGATCCGCCACTGCACTCCAGCCTGGTGACAGAGTGAGACTCCATCTCAAAAAAAGAAAAGAAAAGAAAAGAAATCTAACTTCTCCTTCCCGCTCTGCAAAGAGCAAAGGAAGCTCTTTGCAGTATATATTTTTCCATTTCCTAACTTGAGGAGATATATATGCAATTGTTTCCCTTAGTGTCTCCCTATATAGCAGCAAGAATAAGGGTGATTTAAGTGAATAAGTCTGATTTAATACTGAGCAAAAGTACATCACCTGAAATGGTAAAACAAAAGGCCATCTTTCTTCACCACAGAAATCCAAAGTGGATCTGTCTTATTGTATGTATTTTTAGAGATCTTTTTAATAAGCTGGTTGTTCAAAAAAGACTGAGTTAAAATCAGTGAATTCTGCATGTAGTCCCAGCTATAGGGAGGCTGGGGTGGCAGGATCGCTTGAGCCCAGGAGTTCGAGGTTAGAGTGAGCTATGCTTGCCTGTGAATAGCCACTACACTCCAGCGTAGACAACATAGCAAGACGCCGTCTCTTAAAAAAAAAAGTTCTTTTTTCAGTTGGTGAGTTTCTACTAGGAAGCCAACTTTTCAGTATGTATATATTGTTTTGTTTTGATTTTCTTAAAACAATGACTAGATAGCAGAGAGAAGTTTTTGAACTTGTTATCCTCTCATCATTGAAGTTATTTGCATTCTTGTTTATTGACAGTAGTTATTTGAAAAATGAGTGAGTAGACTAGGGCCAAAGAAAGATGGCCAGGCATGGTGGCTCACACCTGTAATTTCAGCACTTTGGGAGGCCAAGGAAGACAGATCACTTGAGCCCAGGAGTTCGAGACCAGACTGGGCAACATGGCAAAACCCTGTCTCTACAAAAAAAGATTAACCAGGCATGGTGGCTCACACCTGGAGTCCCAGCTACTTGGGAGGCTGAGGTGGGAGGGTCCCTTGAACCCAGAAGTTCAAGACTGCAGTGAGTCATGATCACACCACTGCACTCCAGCCAAGAGAATAAGACCCTGTCTCAAAAATTAAAAGGGGGACGGGGGTGGCAAGGAACTTTTTTGTACCTGTTAGCATAAAAGGTGATCTGCATCATAAAGTCGTCTCATTGTCATTATTTGCGGAAGGTACATGCTTTTTTCTAACAGCAACATATACATTCTTCCAGAAAAATTCATTTGATTTTTCTAACTTATTTTTTGTTTCCATCAATGTTTTCTTTTCAGACTTGGCTTCAACCAACTCAGGACATAGCGATTGCTCAGTTTCTATGGGAAACCTTTCTCCTCTGGCCTCCCCAGCCAACCTCTTACAGCAGACTGAGGACCAAATTCCTTCCAACCTAGAAGGACCGTTTGTGAACTTACTGCCTCCCCTGCTGCAAGAGGACTATCTCCTGAGCCTCGGGGAGGAGGAAGGCATCAGCGATCTCTTCGATGCTTACGATTTGGAAAAGCTCCCACTGGTGGAAGACTTCATGTGTAGTTGATTATGCTTCGTGTGAACTCTCCTTAAAAACCGATATTTTTTTATCATGGAACCAGAACATCTGTCATGCAGTGTTGTCCCTTCCTACCTTCTTCCTCCAAGAGAGTATCATGAAGTAAACTACAAACTTCAGAAGAAAGCTGACATTTTAATGAATTTTTTAAAAAATTAATAAACAAATTGTCTAAACGCACAGTTGCAGGCTCCCTTGGGAAAGCCCTGCTTTGCTCCAGGCTCCAAGATCTCCTGGCTAAGTCAGCAAGTGAGAAAATGTGCAATCAGGTGTCTCTCACCCCGAATTGTCCTTCCTCCTTCCTCCCCGGATTGGCTTGCTGTGCCTGACGGATGGGCTGTAGAATGGGGTCTGGCCACCTGGCCTGCTGGGAAACAGCAATCTTCCTTAATAGCATTTCAAGCCGTGCCTTCTCCGCAGAATGCATGTCTTTGAGGTCTGCTAATATGGAATGGAACTGCAGCAAATGCAAACTTGAAGTCATGCAAAAGTATGAAATGGATTTCTTCAGCTCTTCTTAGGAATATTTAAATTACTGTCATAATTCAGTTTAAGCTATGAACTGTGTGTCCCAGTAGGAGGTCAAGAAAACCTCCACAGCCTTCTGGATGAAGAACCTGTTTTCAAATATACTTGTTGCAGATACAGAAGACTAGTAGAGTTCTGCCACTCTAAGCTGTTGTGGATTTTCCTGTCTCCATGAACCACTCCCATTCCCCCGTCCCCAATGTGTTTGTGAGTTTCCAGTTGATTTGTAGCAAATGCCTACTTAGTTCTTTGTGGATTGTTCTAGACTTTTAATTTTTTTAGCTGCCATTTAAGCATTCCTGTGGCACCCATCACCATTTCAATTTAATTGTTTACTTTGAAGCGGTTTTTGCAAATTCATATTACTTAAGCAGAGGGAGAGAACCTCTACTGATCAGAGCATCTAAACCTGTGTGATCTAAGGTTTATCAGCCTCTGCAAGGAGCTTTGTCCCATCGTGCTTCCATTCCCAGGAGGGGGAGCTTGGAGCGAGTCAGTCCTGGGGCTTGCTGACATGGGTGGCCCATTGGAAAGGAGAACCAGGTCAGATGATGTAACAGCCCCAAGGAGCAGCAGGCATGGGTCCCTCCATCCTTGGGCTTCCCGGGCCCCTGTGACAGGGGAAAGGGCTCTCTTACACCGCACTCAGGGAGACCACTTCTCAGGATGGGGTCAGATGGAGAGACCTCTAGGGAGAAAGACATCCCCATTGTGTGAGTGGCATTTCCTTAAGCTGGCAGGAACAGGGAGCAGCCCTGTGTCGGGGGCTGGAATAGTTCTGGCCAGACCCCGTTCCCCTTCCTCTATGAAGGAATAAGTTGGACCAAGGGAAGTCGGGGACGTAAAAAATGAAGCAAAACAATGCCAGGGTGTCTCCCGCTTTACTCTTCAGGAATGGTGTCCCAAGTTGGAGGCTTTGTGTCAGCTGCAAATCCTACCAGTTATGTCCAAGAATGGCTTTCCCTCGGGCAGGTGGCAGCGGCCATCTCCCACTGGGAATATGGCGTAGTATCTCCGGTCCATTCCTTGGATGCTAAGGACTGCGGGAATGAGGGAGTCAGATAAAGAACAAACCTCGAAACGAACAGTTAAATTGAAATGCTATGTGCCTGACCCAATGGTAGGCACATAGTAGGCACTCAACTCATATGTTTAATTGAATTGAAAATATCCCTTAGGAAAAAAAAAAAACACACAAAAAACCACAAGAGCCCCAGCCAGTTTACTCCAGGTAGATTTCCACAATATGCAAAGTGGTGGTGGGGTCAAGACAGATGACACCAGCACTTTAAACTCTTTGTGTGGGTATGCGTGGGTGTATGTTTGGGAAGAAAAACAAAGGTGCAGACTATCTTCCTTTTTTTCTTCTTCAGCCTCCATCCCTGGCCTCCTCCCCTCACACACACTGGACTTGGTACAAAATGTCGGTGTGGTCCTAGATGAAGCATTGGGGTGGGGGAGGGAGAGGGAGCTTTGTGTTAAGTGCCTACTGGAAATGCACTGTGGGGTTTTTTCCTGTATGGGAAACCATTTATGCCAAGCTTTTCCCCATTTCCCATATTTATCTCATCTGGTTAGCTGCCTCTGCTTCCAGCTTTGTGTAATTCTCTTTGCCAGCTGCACAAAGCTGATTTTTTCCAAAGTCTAAAGACTGAGCTCACCTGGCTAGATTGTTGTGTGTTTTGTTGAATTTTTTCATAATGTAATGCCGTATTTATTGTTTTTAAAATGAAAGGAATACTAATAAGTCTTAAAAGTTCCTTCATGCATAAGATTTTTTTCCAGTTACTGGGTTTAACTGGTGTACATTAATTAGATGTCCATACTGTATTTTGTTTGCATTAAGTAATTTTCTTTTTGACTTAGTATCCGGCACACAAAGTGGGTTAGTACTACAGTATTTGCGTTACTTTAAGTACTAAGTATGCAGGTTTCCTGGTACCATTGAGTTGCTGCTATTAAAGCTCACACACGAAATGGCTAAAAGTTACAAGTGTGCAAATTATGACTGCGTGAGCCTTAGAAAATAAAATGTATAAAGGGCAACACATGAGCTGTCAAACAGTGTTAGGAGTGTGTTTATATGTACAGAGTTGTGCATAGCAATCGTTTTATTTAAGTTGATATGTAGTCTACTCACATTTTCATTATTTAGCAATTTTGTACAAAAATAGCAATTAATTTGTAAACACTGCCAGAATACTTTCTAGCTGCTTTGTAATTTTTTAAGAGTGTTATTTTGTTTTTGTTTTTCTGTTCTTTGTTGTGGCTCTTGTTTTCATTTTTGTTGTACGTGTAGATCTGTAAATAAAATTGCAGTATTTAAAGCTTAAGCTTTCAGGAAAAAGAAAATAAGAATTCAGTGTGTGCATGACAACTCGTGTGTATGAGAAGGAGGGATATGAAGGAAGATGGCTTGCAGAGTAAGTCGGGTGGCAATTGTCAGGGTGTGGGAATTTCTTTTCCTACGGGGTACGTGATTTTGTAAAAAGGAAGTATTTCTCCCAAAATTGGGAGTAGGCAAACTACTAATCAGTTTAGCTTTGTGTTGTATGCTAGTTTAAAAAAGAAAATATGTAATATAATGTAAAAAAAAACAAAAAAAAGCTTTTATGATGGATTTTGTAAATAGATTTGTTACAGGGTGACCTGTTCTCTAGCTGTGATCTTACCACTTCAAATGGGTGTAATTTGAATAAATTTTGTATGGTAAAGGATCAATAAAATGATTTTTTTTAAGAGTTCAGGCTTGTGGATGGGTTTTCTTTAATATTATCTTGTGCTCCTCTATTAATTGAATTTTTTTCATTTTCTTTTTCTTTTTTTTTTTTTTGTTTTGTTTTTTGAGGCAGAGTCAATCACTCTCACCCAGGCTGGAGTGCAGTGGCACAATCTTGGTTCACTGCAACCTCCACCTCCCGGGATCAAGTGATTCACCTGCCTCAGCCTCCTGAGTAGCTGGGACTACAGACACCCGCCACCACGACTGGCTAATTTTTGTATTTTGAGTAGAGACGGAGTTTCACCATGTTGGCCAGGCTGGTCTCGAACTCCTGACCTCAAGTGATCCGCCTGCCTCGGCCTCCCAAAGTGCTGGGATTACAGGCATGAGCCACCGCGCCCAGCCTATTAATTGAATTTTTTAAAACATTCTTAAACAAGTTAAGGAGAAAGGCTAAACAAAAGCTTAAAACATCGTTTGCCTTAGACGGTATTTGGGACTCAGAACACTCAGCAAATATTTGGTGACCACTTCCGGTGTGCTCTGCACCCTGTGAAGTAGAACTTACCTTGTCCCTTTGACCATGTGCAGAAACCACTCGGACACTGAGTAATTGTTACACTGAGAAAGTGACAAATTTGACTCCTCGTAAGGGTTATAAAGCCAATACATTTTAATTCTGAAATCTGGTAATTACCTCCCATGTTCTAGATTGTGTATTTCTAGTAATGCCATCTAGGAGCAGATTTGAATTTTTTGACTGCCATGTCACACTGTTAACTCTGAACTTATCATTGAAAAACCTCAAAGTGCTATATATTGTACACACACAAAATCAATATAAAAGGGTATGAAGTTTAAAAAAAAAGGGCAGGGGGGGACGTTACCTGCCCCTCTATGCTATTCATGCCAGAGATAACCACTGTTCGCATTTTTCTTGTATTATCCTTCCAGTCATTTTCTAGGCACATATCTGTGCATGAACATGTGTATTTTATTTTATTTTGTTTGTATTTATTTATTTGTATGAGACAGAGCCTTGCTCTGTCGCCCAGGCTGCAGTGCAGTGGTGCAATCTCAGCTCACTGCAACCTCCGCCTCCTGGGTTCAAGTGATTCTCTTGCCTCAGCCTCCCGAGTAGCTGGGATTACAGGCATGCACCACCACGCCCAGCTAATTTTGTATTTTTAGTAGAGACGGAGTTTCACCATGTTGGCCAGGCTGGTCTCGAACTCTGGACCTCAGGTGATCCACCCGCCTTGGCCTCCCAAAGTGGTGGGATTATAGGGGTGAGCCACCAAGCCCGACCTATTTTGTTTTGTTTTTTGTTTTTTGTTTTTGTTTTTGTTTAGAGACAGGATCTCACTCTGTTGCCCAGGCTTGAGTACAGTGGCACCATCATGGCTCACTGCAGCCTCAGACTCCTGGGCTCTGGTGGTCCTTCCCGCCTCAGTCTCCTGAGTAGGTGGGAATAGTAGGCGTGCACCACCAAGCCTGGCTATTTTTTTTTTTATTATTTTTGTGGAGATGGGGTCTTGTAATGTTGCCCAGGCTGGCCTCAAACTCCTGTCCTTAAGCAATCCTCCCCCATCAGCCCCCAAAAGTACTGGGATTACAGTAAGCATGTGTGTTTTAACATGACTTAACATAAGTCATACCATATATGCTGATCTGAAGCTTTTTATTGCTATGTCACATTTTTCCATGTGAGTACTTGTAGATCGTGTTCATGCTCTTCAAAGGCTGCATACCATTCCAGTGATTTAAAAAAAAAATTTTTTTTTTTTTTTGAGATGAGTCTCACTCTGCTGCCCAGGCTGGAGTGGAGTGGAGTGATCTTGGCTCACTGCAGCCTCTGCCTCCCAGGTTCAGGCAATTCTCATGCCTCAGCCTCCCAAGTAGCTGGGATTACAGGTGCCTGCCACCATGCCCAGCTAATTTTTGTATTTTTAGTAGAGACGGGGTTTCACTATCTTGGCCAAGTTGGTCTTGAGCTCCTGACCTCAAGTGATTCACCCTCCTCGGCCTCCGAAAGTGCTGGGATTACAGGGGTGAGCCATCACGCCTGGCCTAAAAATGTATTTAATAATATACTTAGGTGATTTCCTGTTTGAGAGATAGTTTTGCTCATTTTGCTATTAAAAAAATGTAAAGTTTTTAGAATGCTTGTATGTCAGGTACTATATATTTGATGTGGTATAATTCTCGTAACAAAATTTATCATTAGTAACATTTGATAACATTCACAGTGCTGTATAACCATCACTTCTGTCTAGTTCCAGAAGACATTTTCATCACTCCAAAAGGAAACCTGTGTCCATAAATTAGTTACTCCCTATCCCCGACACCTTGCAGTCCCTGTTTTCTGCTTTTTTGCCCCTATGGATTCACCTGTTCTCTATGTTTCCTATAAATTGAATCATGCAACATGTGGCTTTTTGTGTTTAACTTCTTTTTTTTTTTTTTTTTTTTTGAGATGGAGTCTCTGTCGCCCAGATGGGAGTGCAGTGGCGTGATCTCGGCTCACTGCAACCTCCTCCTCCCAGGTTCAAGTGATTCTCCTGCCTCAGCCTCCTGAGTAGCTGGGACCACAGGCACCCGCCATTGCATCTGGCTAATTTTGTATTTTTAGTAGAGACGGGGTTTTGCCATGTTGGCTGGGCTGGTCTCGAACTGCTGACCTCAGGTAATGTAGACAAGATGAATTTGCATTAACCTCATAAAAGTTGATATAGGCTGGGTGTGGTGGCTCGCATCTTTAATCCCAGCATATGGGAGGCCGAGGCAGGTGGATCACCTGAGGTCAGGAGACCAGCCTGGCAAACATGGCGAAACCCCGTCTCTACTAAAAATAAAAAAATAAAAATAAAATTAGCCGGGTGTGGTGGCAGGCGCCTATAATGCCAGCCACTTGGGAGACTGAGGCAGGATGATTGCTTGAACCCAGGAGGCGGAGGTTGCAATGAGCCAAGATCGCGCCATTTCACTCCAGCCTGGGCAACAGAGCAAGACTCTGTCTCAAAAACCAAAAAAAGAAAGGCCAGGCACAGTGGCTCACGCCTGTAATCCTAGCACTTTGGGAGGCCGAGGCGGGCGAATCACAAGGTCAAGAGATCGAGACCATCCTGGCCAACATGCTGAAACCCTGTCTCCACTAAAAATACAAAAATTAGCTGGGTGTGGTGGCGCGCGCCTGTAGTCCTAGCCACTCAGGAGGCTGAGGCAGGAGAATCGCTTGAACCCAGGAGGCGGAGGTTGCAGTGATCCGAGATCACACCACTGCACTCCAGTCTGGTGACAGAACAAGAATCTGTCTCAAAAAAAAAAAATTAAAAAAAGTTGATACAGAACTAGGATGTTTGAATATTTTATAATTTAGAACCTTACCCAAAGTACTGTTTTAGAAATGGGTTTCACTCTGGGGAAAATTTATAAATCAGTTTCAGTAGGGAGATCCCAAGGAAGGGAGGAAGGGAGGGGAGGGAAGGAGGGAGGGAGGACTGAAGGGAGGGAGAGAAGAAGAAATCAGATCAGTCGTAGTAATATTGCGAGACAGAATATAAAACAATACAGAAAAGTGAATTGTATTCAGTGATTCAGTAACCATTAAGGGAAACAGGGTCAGTCACCCTTTGAATGAATATAAAGTGATTGCTGGATGCCAGGAACTGTTCTAGGCGCTGGAGTCCACATTTAAAAAGGCCTAGGTCCTGTCAGGAAGAGGAAGTTTGCAGTCTAGTGTTCAGGGAGAAACGAGTTTTAGCTAGGAGAAGCAAACCGGAAGGCCGGATGTCAAATGAGCTATTTTTCTGACTGAAGCCATTTTTGGAAGAATTGGAAGGACAGATGGTTAGAGGCAGGAATGGAAATGGAAGGCAGATGTAGCCTTGCCACTGGAAAGCTCTACAAAGCCACAGAGGTCCTGATCTAGGGTGGTTTGGAGCTATTCCCAGCCCAAGCCTGTGCATCTGAATGCAAGAGTGCTTGGAGATGACTCTCCAAGTAGGCATGACTCAAAATAAACCAATGGATTCCCTTTCTAGGATCAAGGAACTGGGGAGCCCCAATCTAGATCTAATCTATAACCATGATATGAAAGAAAATGTCAAAATTAAATTGTAGGTCATACACCGGGATATTAAGAAGAATTTCTGCACTGACTACATAGACTTCATCAGCCTGGAGTCAATCAAACATTAAGGAAGTGACACTCATAGCAGGAAGTTACAGTGTTCCATAGAATACAAACGGCAAGTCTTTCTCATTGTGCCCCTAAATCTGGGACTTGAAGACTGAGAGATAAACAGAATTTATTAAATGTATTCTGAAATGTTTAGAACACCAGGCATTACTCTTATGCTTTTTGTGTGTGAAGAGCACTATCAAAAAGTTCTGGAGTTCCTGATGCTGAAGTGCTTGGCAAGTGCTGTGGAAAAGAGAGAAGGGACAAAGTTGCATATAATCAGGGACTTGCCTCAGAAGCAACATTGGAAACTCCAGCCTTGCTTCTATCATGCTGTTTCAGGACTTCGGCGTTTCTCATATCACAGAATAGAGTTAGTGCCTTGGTGAAAGACAGGCTGCCCTACATCAACTACAGTGGTTGACTTCACATAAATACAGAGACACAGATATTAAAACCCAGGGAATTGAGATAAGCCAACCAACCAAAAACATTAACCAAGAGCTGGCTTTTCAACTCAGACAAAACCATGTCAACTGGTCCTGATCAGAGAATCACAGTGTCTGAGTTGGAAGGCCACCTCACAGCCAGAAAGGAGCTGGTTTCATCAAGGGACAATTCTGTGATCCATTTTTCTTTTGTCAACAACAGTCTTCAGATTCTTAGTCCAGTGTTCTTTCTGCTGTGTCTATAAGGTCTCTTAGTTCTCTACATAGATATGCACATTGGAAACCTGCCTCTTCCCACTCTTATCCCTGGAACCGTAGGTTGGCTGTCATGATTAATTAATTATTTTGAATTAACATGAACTTCTGGGAGATCCCTGTTTATATTCTCTACCAGCCCTGTAATTCCTTCTACTCTTCCAAACCATGCTTCATGGGTGTATGGCGGTCATTACACTCTTAGCCTATGGCACAACAGCAAATTGGGAGAGATGGAAACAACTAAGAAACATAAGTTTGGAAGACTTCTCAGTGTTTCTTTTGTCTTTAGTAGTGGATTAAAATGGATTTGCTTATTCAAATGTAGGAAGAATCAAATTGACAGCAACTTCTAAACTGGGTGCTCTACTTCCTCCTGAAAGACTTCTCTTTCTGTATAGACCACTTTTCAGCTTCAGAAGCCTTTAAGAAGCATTTTTTTCTACACAATCAAAGTCAGGGGCATTTGCCTCTGCTGAAGCCTAAATTATAGTGTATATCTTATGCCTGAATAGCCCTTAGCATTGTAGATGGCTTTACAATTTGCAAAGTATTTTCATATGCCTATCTCTTCGTCTAAAGCCATTTGTAACTGATGGCAACAGCTGCAGAAGTAACTAATCAATCTGCAAATGATGGAACAGTGTGTGGGCAGTGCTGTAAATGGAGGAAGAAAAGAATTTAGCTCTGAGCCATACCCTGGAATCCCAAGGAACAAAAAAGAGTATTGCAATTCCATAGGAGAGAGAGCTGAAATAGTGATGTCAGTGAATAAAAATTTAAACATGCCAACAAAGAGAACATGTTTAAATGGGTAGGAAGAAGAGTGTGTGTGTGTGTGTGTGTGTGTGTGTGTGTGTGTGTGTTCAGAAATGGGAGGAAGCAGAAGGAGACCCAAGATGTTTAAAAAGAGACACAAACTAAATTCTGTCCTTGGCAAGAAACCAAAGAATGAGTGTTCCTTTAGTCGAAAAGGAACTATCATCACCATTGACTGAGAGGTGGGGTATCGTTTAAGGGAATAGAGTGAGTGCTATAGAACAGAGTAAGCATAAAAGTATAACAAAGGACAGGGGAAGGTACAAAGTGTAGAAGCAATTCCCACATCTGGTTCTGGGAAGGAGAAAATCCAGCAAGTAGGGAACAAACATAGTTGTAAGTACAGAAAATATAATTGGATGGGACTTTTGCTTCCATCAGTATGGCAGATTAGATAGCCAGGGTTCAGAATGAACCATTAAAAACAAAGAAAAAAAAAGAAGAAAAGAAGGGGATAACCAAGAAACCCCCTGTTACAGAACATCTAGATTCAACCGAAAACATAAGTTAGAGATCTTGCCTCACTTCAACCTCCACCTCCCGGGTTCAAGCGATTCTCCTGCCTCAGCCTCCCAAGTAACTGGGACTACAGGCATGCGCCACCACACCTGGCTATTTTTTGTATTTTTAGTAGAGACAGGGTTTCACCATGTTGGCCAGGCTGGTCTTGTACTCCTGTCCTCAACTGATCCTCCTACCTCGGCCTCCTAAAGTGCTGGGATTATAGGCATGCATACAATGAAATATTATTCACCTTAAAAAAGGAAGGAAATCTAAGCTGGTCCAAGTGCAGTGATATTTCCAACTAACTGGTCACAACCAGTTACAGATTTCTTTGTTCCTTTTCCCCTCCCAGTGGTTCACTTGACTAGCCTTAAAAAAGATTTTTTTTAAAATCCTGCCCTATGTGAAAACATAGATGAACCTTGGGGACGTAATTCTAAGTGAAATAAGCCAGTCACAGAAAGACAAGTACTGTGTAATTCTATTTACATGAGTGTCTAAAACAATGAAACACATAGAACCCAGGGAGAGAGTAGAGTAGTGGTTTCCAGGAGCTAGGGAAGGGAGAAATGGGAAGTAGCTAGTCAACAGGTCTAAAGTTTCAGTTATACAAGATTACTAAGTTCTGCCATACAACACCGTGCCTATCATTCACAACATGGTGTTGTACACTTCTAAATTTGTTAAGAGGGTAGACCTCATGTTAAGTGTTCTTACCACAATAAAATTTTTTTAAAATGTAAGGGGATGGAGAAAGCTATACTATGTGAACACTAATCAAAAGAAAGCTGAAGGATCTGTATTAATTTCAGACAAAGCGTACTACAGAGTAAGTAAAATTATCAGGGATAACGATGGGCATTACATAATGATAAAGGGGTCAATTCTCCAAGAAGACGTAACAATCCTTAGTGTGTATGCACCTAAAAACACAGTGTCAAGAGGCGGGGCGTGGTGGTTCACGCTGTAATCCCAGCACTTTGGGAGACCGAGGCGGGCGGATCACGAGGTCAGGAGATCGAGACCATCCTGGCTAACGTGATGCAACCCTGTCTCTGCTAAAAATAAAGAAAAAAATTAGCCAGGCGTGGTGGCGGGCGCCTGTAGTCCCAGCTACTTGGGAGGCTGAGGCAGGAGAATGGCGTGAACCTAGGAGGCGGAGCTTGCAGTGAGCAGAGTTCGTGCCACTGCACTCCAGCCTGGGCGACAGAGTGAGACTCCGTCTCAAAAATAAAAATAAAAACATAGTGTCAAAATACAGGAGGCAAAAATTTATAGAACTATAAGGAGAAACAGACAAATCCACTATTATAATTGAAGACTTTAACACACCTCAAATAGTCATTAACAGACCTGGCCGGGCGTGGTGGCTCACGCCCGTCACCCCAGCACTTTGGGAGGCAGAGGCGGGTGGATCCCTTGAGGTCAGGAGTTCAAGACCAGCCTGGTCAACATGGTGAAATCCCATCTCTATTAAAAATACAAAAAATTAGCCTGGCATGGTGGTGCACGCCTGTGGTCCCAGCTACTTGGGAGGCTGAGGCAGGAGAATAGCTTGAACCCAGGAGGTGGAGGTTGCAGTGAGCCGAGATCATGCCACTGCACTCCAGCCTGGGTGACAGAGTGAAACTCTGTCTAAAAAAAAAAAAAAGAAAGAAAAAAAGTATTAACAGGCCCATTAAGCAGAAAATCAGCAAGGACATAGTTGAACTGAATCAATCAACTAAGTCTAATTGACATCTATAGAATACTTCATGCAACAGATGAATACACATTCTTCTCAAACTAACATAGAACATTCACAAGACAAATCACTTTCTGAATCACAAAACACACCTTAACAAATTTGAAAGAATAGAAGTCAAACGAAGTATGTTCTTAGGCCACAATAGAAGTAAACTAGAAATCAGTGACAGAAAGATACCTGGAAAACTCCCAAAACACACTTCCAAATAACACATGGATCAGAGAAGTCTCAAGAGAAATTTAAAAATGTTTTGAACTAAATGAAAATGAAAATACAACTTGCCAACATTTGTGGGATGCAGTGGAAGCATTGCTTAGAGCATTGTATGCATATATTAGAAAAGAAAAAAGATCTAAAAATCAATCATCTAAGCTTCCACCTTAGGAGACTAGAAAAACAGCAAATTAAATCAAAAGTAAGCAGAAGAAAATAATGAAAATTAGAACAGAAATCAATGAAATTCGAAACAGGAACTCAATAGAGAAAATCAATAAAGCCAAAAGCTGGTTTATCGAAAAGACCAATAAAATTAATAAACTCCTTGCCAGGTTACTAAAAAAGGGGGAGAAAAGAAAAATTGCCAACAGAAATGAAAGAGTGGGCATCACTACAGATCTCATGGACATTAAAAACATAATAAAGGCATATTATTAACAACTCAATGGCCACAAATTTAGTAACCTAGATGAAATGGAGCAATTTCTTGATAACGCAATCAACCAGACTTATACAAGGAGAAATAGATTATGTGCATAAGCCTGTACCTATTAAAGATACTGAATCATTTGTTGGTAATCACCCAAAATGGAAAGCACACCATCACAAATGGATTGACTGTAAAATTCTGCCAAACATTTAAGGGAGAAGTTATACCAATTGTCTGTAATATTTTCCAGAAAATAAAGCAGAGTGAAAACTTTCCAATTTATTCTATGAAGCCAGCATTATCCTAACATCAAAATCAGACAAAGAAACTATAAGAATGGAAAACTATAGACAAATATCTTTTGTGAATATAGATGCCAACATCCTCAACAAAATATTAGCTAATAAAATGCAATAATCTATAAAAAGAATAGACACCATGACCGAGTGGAATTTAGTCCAGTTATGCAAGGCTGGTTCAACACTCAAAAACCAATTAATGTGATTCATCATATCAATAGGCCAAAGAAGGAAAATAGTATAATCCTATCAATAGATGCAGAAAGAACATTTCATACAATCTAACCCTCATCCATGATAAAAACTTTCACAAACTAGAAATAGAAAGGAACTTCCTCAACTTAATAAAGAACATCTACAGAAACCCGATAGCTAACATTAGACTTAATGGTGAAAAACTGGATGCTTTCCCTTTAAAACTGGGAACACGACAAGGATACTCCCTCTCACCCATTTTATTCAACAACATACTGGAAGTTCTAACTAATGCAATAAGACAAGAAAGTAAATAAAATGTATATTGATTGGGAAGGAAGAAATAAAACTGTGTTTGCAGATTGATATGACTATCTATGTAGAAAATTCCAAATAATTGGCCGGGCACAGTGGCTTACACCTGTAATCCCAGCACTTTGGGAGGCTGAGGCGGGTGGATCACGAGGTCAGGAGATCAAGACCATCCTGGCTAACATGGTGAAACCCCATCTCTACTAAAAATACAAAAAAAATTAGCCAGGCGTGATAGTGGGCACCTGTAATCCCAGCTACTGGGGAGGCTGAGGCAGGAGAATGGTGTGAACCTGGGAGGCGGAGCTTGCGCCACTGCACTCCAGCCTGGGCTACACAGGCAGACTCTGTCTCAAAAAAAAGAAAAAAGAAAAAACAGAAAATTCCAAATAATCAACAAAAAGCCTCCTATAATTTAAGTGATTATAGCAATGACGCAGGATACAAGGTTAATACACAACATCAATTGTATTTCTATATACCAAAAATTAACAATTGAAATTTGAAATTTAAAACACAACACTATTTACATTACCATCAAAAAAGAGGGCCAGGCCTGGTGGCTCATGCCTGTAATCCCAGCACTTTGGGAGGCTGAGGCAGGCAGATCACTTGAGGTCAGGAGTTCGAGACCAGCCTGGCCAACATAGTGAAACCCCGTCTCTACTAAAAGTACAAAAATTAGCTGGGTGTGGTAGTGTACACCTGTAATCCCGGCTACCGGGGAGGCTGAGGCAGGAGAATAGCTTGAACCCAGGAAGCAGAGGTTGCAGTGAGCCGAGATTGCGCCACTGCACTCCAGCCTGGGCAACAGAGCGAGACTCTGTCTCAAAAAAAAAAAAAAAAGAGAAATACTTAGGTATAAACCTAGCAAAATATGTACAAGCTCTACATGAGTAAAACTATAAACCTCTCATGAAAGAAATCCAAGATCTGGATAAATGGAGAGATAGTCCATGTTCATGGATAGAAAGATTTAATATTTTGAAGATGTCAGCTTTCCTCAAGTTGATCTCTAGATTCAACTCAATCCCAATAAAAATTCCAGCAAGCTATTTTTTGTGTATCAACATGCTCTTTCTAAAATTTATGTAGAAAGACAGAAGACCCAGAATAGCTAACACAAATATTGAAATAGAAGAACAAAGTTAGAGGACTGACACTTGAAGACTTATTCTAATGCTACAGTGATTGAAACAACCTGACACTGGTGAAAGAATAGACAGATGCATCTGTGGACTAGACCCACAAATGTATAGTCAACTGATCTTTGATAAGGGAGCAAACACAATTCAATGGAGAAAGGATCACTTTTTCAATGAATGGTGCTGGAATAACTAGATATCCACATGAAACAAAATAAATCTAGACACAGTCTCTACATTTTTCGGATCATAGGCCTAAACATAAAATGCAAATCTATAAAACTTCTAGAAGATAACATAGAAGAAAATCTAGATGACCTTCAGTTTGCTGATAACTTCTGAGATACATTACCAAAAGAACTAGCTATGAAAAAAAGTTGATAAGTTGGAAATAGTTTGACACAATGGTATTGTTGCCTTGTTCTTAAATTAGGCAGTGAATTCACAGGTATTCATTTTATTACTAAGCATCACAATTTACATTTGTTACATATACAGTTTTTGTATGTGAAATTATTACAAAATTAAAAATAATTTTTTAAAGGTTGGATCCCAAAATTTCAGAAGGATAAAGGTAGGTGATTGACAAGTTCTTTAACAACCAACTAGCCTTTAGAGGGCCAAATGTGATGTTTGACTACACAATGTAGAGCTAATCTAATTATGGTGGAGATCTAAATTAGTTATAGAAGAATAACACACTATGGATTGAGTTAATCTCTTTGTATTGCTGTGCACTGCAATAAAGTGTTCTGATAAAAGGAGATAAAAATAGGCTGGGTGCAGTGGCTCACTCCTGTAATCCCAACACTTTGGGAGACCAAGGCGGGCGGATCACTGGATGTCAGGAGTTTGAGACCAGCCTGACCAAAATGGTGAAACTCCATCTCTACTAAAAATACAAAAATTAGCCGGGCACAGTGGCTCACACCTGTAATCCCAACACTTTGGGAGGCTGAGGCGGGTGGATCACTGGAGGTCAGGAGTTCGAGAACAGCCTGGCCAATATGGTGAAAGCCTGTCTCTACTAAAAATACAAAAATTAGCCAGCCGCAGTGGCTGCTAATCCCAGCACTTGGGCAGCTGAGGCAGGAAGCTCACTTGAGTTCAGGAGTTCAAAACCAGCCTGGCCAACACAGTGAAACATCATCTCTACTAAAATTACAAAACTTAGCCAGACATGGTGGCATACACCTATAATCCCAGCTACTCAGGAGGCTGAAGAAGGAGAATCGCTTGAATCCGGGAGGCAGAGATTGCGGTGAGCTGAGATCACACCATTGCACCCCAGCCTGGGCAACAGAGCAAGTCTCCATCTCAAAAAAAAAGAAAAAAAAAAGAAAAGAAAAGAAAAAAGGAGATAAATATAGAAAATTGAGTTGAATTAAGAGAAAGGCAAAACTTTAAAGTTCTTTTTAAAACCAAGAATTAAATTAAAACCTAGAAGAGAAGCAAGGAGACAGAAAAAGATAGAGTTTTATTTCACCAGGACTATTGAGCACTTTGCTTAGTCCTTATGTGCAGGTGGCATCAAGAATTGCCCTTGATAAAAACTGCTTTTCCTCCAGGCCCTTTGTCCAGCTGTTTTCAGTTACCTTCTCTTCAAAAGCCCCAGGCATGGCTGGCTTATAGATAGGTTCCAACAGGGGAGGCTAGTAAGAGCAGGAGGAGCTGAGAAGCAAGAGATGCTACTGAGACTGTGCTATGTGCCCTGCCCCTTTCTTGATAACTTTATGAAAATAGTAGGGAAAAAAACTGGTGTTAGAAAGGCCTTCCTGAGCCATTCTTCTTCTTGCCTCTGTCTCACCTTCAAATTTCACTATGTATTTCATATCTTCTTTGCTTTCCCTCACTTTGTTACTCTCTCAGGTTCATTTGGACACACCTGCCCAGCACCAATACCTTTACCTCCCCTGCTCCCCTGCAAGCCTAAATGCCCTCTTGCCCCCCCAGTGTTAGTATTTGACATCTTAGACTTTATTATTTCAGCTCTGGCTTTCACAGCATGCAGCTCATGGAAGAGCAGAGGCAATAAAGTAATACTCTCATCAAGTATTTTCTCAAAATAGCCTCTCGGCTCAGCTTAGGGTCTTCTTGAGACCTCTGCTAGTTTTCCCCATTTTTTGTCCTTTGGGGGAAGATGTCACGTAATCCATATACTATTTTCATCTTTTAATTATTTCACTCCTTCAGGAATAATTACAAAAGTATTCATTTCATGCTGAAATTACCAATTTTTTCCCTCTCATATTTCTTCAGGTGACTATTTGTTATATCTGAAATACACAGTGCTAACCTTTTAATGAAATTCTGTATCATGTTTAGAAACTTCTGTTTAGGACTACTATTTTTTTTTCTTTTTTTGAGACAGTCTCACTCTGCTGCCCAAGCTGGAGTGCAGAGGTACGATCTAGGCTCACTGCAGCCTCCGCCTCCCAGGTTCAAGCAATTCTCCTGCCTCAGCATCCCGAGTAGCTGAGACTACAGGGCTGAGCCACCACAACTGGCTAATTTTTGTATTTTTAGTAGAGATGGGGTTTTGCCATGTTGGTCAGCCTGGTCTCAAACTCCTGACCTCAAGTGATCCACCTGCCTCAGCCTCCCAAAGTACTGGGATTACGGGCATGAGCCACCACACCTGGCCAGGACTACTTTTTTTTTTTAAATCAGGGCAAGGGAGTAACATGATAACAGAAGTAAAAATGGAGATGATGCTCTGGCCTCCTCCTTTTTGGCATGTACTTTGTAAAGCTGCTGCACTCAAGGACTGCTTCAGGGACACCAAATGGACAACATGGAAAACCTCAACTCATAGTGAATATCCTATTGCTGCATTTACCAAAAATATAGTGGTTGCAATGTAATCTCCTACACTTAATTATATAGAGCTATTATTATTATTATTATTATTATTATTATTATTATTATGTTAAGACAGAGTTTTGCTCTTGTCACCCAGGCTGGAGTACAGTGGTATGATCTTGGCTCACTGCAAACTCCACTCCCGGGCTCAACTGATTCTCCTGCCTCAGCCTCCCAAGTAGCTAGGATTACAGGCATGTGCCACCACGCCTAGCTAATTTTTGTATTTTTAGTAGAGATGGGGTTTCGCCATGTTGGCCATGCTGGTCTCGAACTCCTGACCTCAGGTGATCCACCCACCTCGGCCTCCCAAAGTGCTAGGATTACAGGCCTGAGCCACCGCGCCCAGCTATGCCAGCCATGTTTATTGAACAGATTCAGATGTCATCTCAAAGACCCTCTTCTCTTGGCTCTGTTTTTGCTCTCAGCTCTTCTCTTATTTTTGCCTCGATTTTCAGCTCTACCACCCCAGAACAAAGGCCCACTTTTAGAAGTCAACATTTTTGAAGATCTGAGGAAAAGAGCATATGTTTTAAGATGGTAAAAGAAGAGCAATTTAAGCTGGTAAAAAAAAATGTCTGGAGGTGTTTAACAGCTCAATGTTTTGCAGCATTGAGCACTTGACTTTCATTATGCTTCGAATGGTAAGAGATTGATGATACATGCTGGGCTTCTTTTAAACCCGTAAACAGGACTACTGAAATGGAAGGGCTGTGGGAATCGTGTCATATGAGGACTTTTGAAAGACTACAAACTGCTCATTTTAGAATCATTAAAAATGAAAGACATTGGTCTTGGCTCAAGGAAAAGGAGATCAAGAATTTTGACAAGCGCTTTCTTTATTAACTCACACTCTTCCCATAAAGTCCTGTTAAATAAACTTAAAAACAAATTAGTGAGGCAATTAAGAAATGAAAAATGAGAATTGTTTTGAAGGTAATATGTACACAGGAATGAGGTTAGTGTATAAAATGCATCTGTAAGGTACTGCACATTTGCTAGAAAAGAAACACTAATTAAAGTCCAACCTCTCTAGAACCAAAAGAGAGAAATATGATATATTACATGATTCAGAGTTTATGGGATAAAACAAACCAAGGCTCAGAAGAAGGCCTAACTATTCTTGGTTCTGAGATTCTGAGATCACAATTTATCTGAGGTTCTTCACAGAGCAACACTGTTTAAATGTAGTAGGCAACAAAAGTAGTTCAATTCCACAAATGTTTGAGTATCTGGATGTTTCAATGAGGGTGTTTTTCGTTGAGATTAACATTTACATCAGCGGATTTTGAGTAAAGCAGACTTCCCTCCCTGATGTGAGTGGGTCTCACATGATCAGATGAAGGCAAGTAGAACAAAAGACTGACCTTGGAACAGGAGCGGATTCTGCCAGCAGACAGCCTTTGGACTTGAACTGCAATATCCACTCTCCCCTGGGTCTCCAGTCTGCCAGCCCAACCTAAATATTTGCATTTACCAGCCTCTATAATCTCAATCTCTCAATCTCTCTCTCTCTCTCTCTCTCTCACACACACACACACCACACACACACACACAAACACACACACGTATACTATGGGCTTTGTTGTCTGGAGAACCCTGACTAATACAGCATCTATGCAGTAGAAACCTTCTCAGTGTCTGTTCTTCCTCCACTATCAAACCACAGGGTGAGGCCAGGGCACAGTGGCTCATGCCTATAATCCCAGTGCTTTGGGAGGCCAAGGCTGGAAGATTGCTTGAGGCCAGGAGTTTGAGACCAGCCTGGGCAACATATAGCAAGACCCCATCTCTAAAAAAAGTTGTTTTTTAATTAGCCTGGCATGGTGGTGTGCACCTGTAATCCCAGCAACTTGGGAGGCTGAGGCAGGAGGAGCCCTCGGGCCCAGGAGTTTGAGGATACAGTGAGCTATGAGGACACCACTGCACTCCAGCCTAGGCGACAGAGTAAGATCTTGTCCCCCCAAAAAACATTAAAAACCAAAAAAATACTCTACACAGTCACAGGCGAGCCCTGTTATTACACAACCCTCCCTTCCTAGACTCAACTGACTGAACCCAGTACCCTCCCCAGAGATTGGAATTGGGGTTAAGAGATATTAGTGTCTATCTCAAATGAAGGAGATGTAGCCATCAGGAGGGCTGCTCAGCTATCTTCCAAGTGAATTGAATAGCAGAGAAACGCCTGGCAATTAGAGAAGAAGGGAGCTCAGGCATTGAGAGAAACAGATGAGAGAAGAGAGAGCAATGGGTTCCTGGGCTTCCTGAAGCCAGCTGCACTCTGGCTCTGGAATTCTCATTACCATAAATCCTTCATTGCTTAATTGGGCTTGAGTTTGTTTCTACTACTTGCAACCAGAAGATTCTAACTAATGTATCCGGTGTGTCAGATAATTTGCCAGCCACTAGGGAATCAGAGATTTAAAAAATAAATAAATAAATAAATAAATCATTAAAAAAGACCTGGTTCCTTCCTGCAAGAGATTTCCACTAAGTCCCTTTCTTGCAAGTCCTTCCAAGGGAGGGATATATATGTAAGAGATAAAATCTATACAATATATAATAGAAAGTGAGGAGACAGTGTTGCCAGATTCAGAAAACAAAAACAGGGTGCCTAGTTGAATTTGAATTTCAGAAAAACAATGAGTAATTTTTTGGTATAAGGGTGTCCCGAATATTTTACCTGGACCTCAGATATATATTGTACATTAAAGAAAGGAGACTTAACCCAAACTAAGCCATCTGAGAAATCTTATTAATTTATTTAGTTATTTGGTTAGTTCTCTCCTGGAGAAAAGAAGGCTTGGGTCGAATTTTGAAGCATAAGTAAGAATCCACAGCGGGCTGGGCATGGTGGCTCATGCCTGTAATCCTAGCACTTTGGGAGGTCGAGGCAGGCAGATCACCTGAGGTCAGGAGTTTGCGACCAGCCTGGCTAACATGGTGAAACTCTGTCTCTACTAAAAATACAAAAATTAGCCGGGTGTGGTGGCACATGCCTGTAATCCCAGCTATCCAGGAAGCTGAAGCAGGAGAATCACTGGAACCTGGGAGGCGAGTGAGCAGTGTGAGCAACTGCCTTCTGCAGTTGTCAGAGGACCAGGGAAATGTTTTCACCAGGGGAATGGTTTTATTATATTTGTATTGTAGATAGATCACTGGCTGCAGTGTGAAAAACAATTTGGGGGAAACAAGATTAGAGGCAGGGAACCATTTAGGAATCTGTTTAATAGTCCAGATAGGAGTTGATGGGGACCTGAGCTAAGGCAGTGGGAGTAGGAATAAAGGAAATACTCTGAAAGTCTTTAGAAGATATAGTCATTGGAACTTAATGATTGATTGGATGTGAAGAGTGAAAAGTAAAATCAGTCAAGGATAATGTCCAGGTTTCTGATGTGTTTGACTGTTGTTGTTTTAACTGTGTGGGTTGTGTTAGTAATGGATTTTGAAAAACAGAAGGAGAAGCAGATTTGGTTAAAATTAACATTAAAAAAGAAAAAATAATAGTAATAAGAATAACAGCAGGCTGGGCGTGGTGACTCATGCCTGTAATCTCACACTTTGGGAGGCTGAGCTAGGAGGATAACTTGCGGCCAGCAATTTGAGACCAGCTTGGGCAACATACTGAGAACCTGTCTCAAAAAAAGAAAAGAAAAAAATAGCTGGATGCCATGAGGCGTGCCTGTAGCCCCAGGAGGCTACTCAGGAGGCTGAGGTAGGCGGATTCCTTGAGCCCAGGATTTCAAGGCTGCAGTGAGCTGTGGTCAGGCCACTGCATTCCAGCCTGGGCAACAGAGTGAGACCTTGTTTCAAAAACATTTTTTAAAATTAAAAAAAGAACAGCAGCTGGGCGTGGTGGCTCACACCTGTAATCCCAGCACTTTGGGAGGCCGAGGTGGGCGGATCATGAGGTCAGGAGTTCGAGACCAGCCTGGCCAACATGGTGAAACCCCATCTCTACTAAAAATACAAGAATTAGCTGGATGTTGTGGCATACGCCTGTAATCCTAGCTACTCAGGAGGCTGAGGCAGGAGAATTGCTTGAACCCAGGAGGCGGAGGTTGCAGTGAGCTCAGATCACACCATTGCACTCCAGCCTGGGCAACAGAGTGAGATTCCATCTCAGAAAAAAAAAAAAAAAAAAAAAAAGAACAGCAAATAATAATGGATGACATTTATTTTCTATTATATGCTATCTATGATTTTATTTTATTCTTTAAAATATCTATATCTATTATATAATTTAATGTTATAGACATTCTGAGACATGGATTTTTTTTGAGACAGAGTCTTACTTTTGTCACCCAGGCTGGAATGCAATGGCTCAATCACAGCTCACTGCACCCTCGACTTCCCAAGCTCAGGTGATGCTCCCACCTCAGCCTCCTGAGTAGCTGGGACTATAGGCACATGCCACCACACCAGGCCAGTTTTTTGTATTTTTAGTAAAGATGGGGTTTTGCTATGTTGCTCAGGCTGGGCTCAAGCGATCCACTCACCTTGGCCTCCCAAAGTGCTGGGATTACAGGCATGAGCCACCTGACCAAGCCTTATTAGACCCTTTTGACAGATGAGAAAACTGAAGTATAGCAAGGTTAAGTCACTTGTCCAAACTCACAGACAATACCCTTAATGAACAGTGTTATTGTTATTACAGCAAATTAGGATTCTTATAATGTCTGCTTTAATCTACTACTGCATGACTACATACCTCAAAACTTATTGTCTTAAAACAGAAGTAAACATTTATTTTTTCATACAGTTTCTGTAGTCAGCAATTCAGGAGCAGCTTAGTTGGGGTGGTTCTGGTTTGGGTATTTCATGAGGTGGCAGTCAGGGTGGCAGCCAGGGTGGTAGTTATTTGAAGGCTTGTCTAGGGATGGAGGATTTACTACAAGCTGGCTCATTCTGATAGTTGGCAAGTTGTACTGGCTGTTGGCAGGAGGCTCAGATCCGCCCCATGTGGACTTCTTCATAGGGCTACTTAAGTGAGTGTCCTCATGACATGGCCATCGACTTCCCCAGAGCAAATGATCCAAGAGAGAATCACTGGGACCTGGGAGGTAAGTGAGCAGTGAGCTACAACAAGGCATATGCTACAATGTCTTCTGTGATGTAGCCTCAGAAATCACACAGTGTCATTTTGTCAATATCCTGTTGGTGATACTAGTCTGCCATATTCAATGTGGGATGGGAATATATAAATACAAAGGTAGACCAGGAGCGGTGGCTTACGCCTGTACTCCCAACACTTTGGGAGGCCGAGGCGGGTGGATCACAAGGTCAGGAGATGGAGACATCCTGGCTAACACGGTGAAATCCCATCTCTACTAAAAATAAAAATGAATTAGCTGGGCATGGTGGCGGGTGCCTGTAGTCCCAGCTACCCAGGAGGCTGAGGCAGAAGAATCACTTCAACCCAGGAGGCGGAGGTTGCAGTGAGCCAAGATCGTGCCACTGCACTCCAGCCTGGGTGACAGAGCGAGACTCCATCTCAAAAAAAAAAAAAAAAAAGAACTATGCCATAAATACAAAGGTAGGGACCATTGGGGTCATCTTGGACACTGGCTGCCACATATCCCTTTATCTGACTGTGTGACATTGAGTCACAGCATCTGTCAACAGTGCAGTCCAGCTCTCAGCTCATCTGACTTAACCCACAGACAGATTTTTAGAGACAAGCATGCACTCCATACCCTTAAGGCAACCCTCTATTAATATCGTATCTATCAACCAAGCTTTAGTCAATGTTGAGCATCGGGACAATTGACATTATATTTCCTGACAAGCTCCTTGAGGGCATTAAATATCTCTTGCTGATTAAGAGTATAGCAGACCCGGTGTAGCTGATCTCTGCCTACTTCTAAACCTCATCTCATTCCACTCTTACCTCCTTCATACATTCTGGTCTCACTGGACTTTTTCCCCCCACAGAGCCTTTGAATTTACAGTTCCCTTTGCCTGGAATGCTTTCCCTTGCTTCCTCACACTCTTCCCCTCCTTGGCTGCTTCTTATTCTAGGCTTTTCCTTAAATGTCACCTCCTCGGAGAGAATGTCCCAGCTCACTTGGGACTCAAAAGGGGCAATGGCTTCTCATAATTGGGGGCCCTGAGCTATGTCCTGCCAAGAAGCAGGTGAAGAAGAATGTGTTCTGGCCAAGGAAAGCAACCCCAATAGCAGCCTCATGGGGAAGAAAAGGAACCATTTGTTATTTTTTAAATGAATAATACTAATAAAGACAATTATTGCTACCATTTGTCAGTACTTAGATAGCAGTTGCACTCTTGTCCTCATCTCTCTCAAGAATTCACCTGCAGGCTGGGCACAGTGGCTCACCCCTATAATCCCAGCACTTTGGGAGGCCGAGGTGGGTGGGTCACTTCAGGTCAGAAGTTCGAGACGAGCCTGGCCAACATGGTGAAACTTTGTCTCTATCAAAAAATACAAAAATTAGCTGGGTGTGGTGGTGCACACCTGTACTCCCAGCTACTCAAGAGGCTGAGGCTAGAGAATCCCTTGAACCTGGGAGGCAGAGGTTGCAATGAGCTGAGATCACGCCACTGCACTCCAGCCTGGGCGACAGCGACAGAGCAAGACTCCATCTCAAAAAAAAAAAAAAAAAGAATTCACCTGCATAAAACATTCGCGAATAAGAGGGAATTTCTAAAGACATCAAGGGAAGAATGAGAAACAAAAAAATCTGAAGAAAAATAAAAAATAAAAAATAAAAAACCTCTTCTTCAGATAGCCCTGTTTTCCAAAGCAACTTTTTTCACTGTTCAGACACAGAGGTGTTTTATCTACCGTTGTGCTAGTAAATATTTACTAGTTAGCTCTTTGGGAGTGGGAAGGGCTGATGTGCAGACTTGCCAATTTCTGTAGTATAAATAATCCCACCATAACTGATTTCACACTGCCAGCATGATGCCTCTGAACATGAAGTTGGGAAGAAATGCCAAAAACCAGCCCTTGAAAGCCCATAGCTGCCAGCTCCATCACACCCGAGTACCCCTTCAGCCCCAACGTCATTTATTTTTTTTTTCTCCCCTCACAGATTTACCCAGCTTCCAGCTCTCCCAGTGGAACTTTGCATATGCAAACCTTATTCAACTCTCAGAAAAACAAAAAGACTTCAGTTAACAGGATTCATCCTCCCTAGAAGATATTTTGATACCAGAACTTGACTCTTAAGGCCTTAGCTCCAAGAAGTACATTCAAGTATTTCTTCTAAACTCATTTCTTAGATCGTAAGAGGAATTCAAGAAAATGTTATTTCCTCTCTTTCCTTATACATGTATCTTCTAATTTATAATCCTCATGACTGTCATTTGGGATATAATTTTAGTTTCAGTTTTCTGATAAGGAGCCAAAGTTCAAGCTGGACACAGCGGCGCACACCTGTAGTCCCAGCTACACGGGATGCTGAGGCAGGAGAATCACTTGAGCCCAGATGTTTGAGGCTGTACTGTGCTATAATCATGCCTGGGAATAGCCACTGCACTCCAGCCTGGGCAACACAGTGAGATCCCGTCTCTTAAAAAATATATGTACAAACCGAAGTTCAGGGAGTTCAAGTGACTTGCCAAAATTTACTGTTTTTTGTTTTTTTTTTTTTTTTTTTTGAGCTGGAGTCCCACTCTGCTGTCCAGGCTGGAGTGCAATGGCATGATCTCTACTCACTGCAACCTCTGCCTTCTGGGTTCAAGCGATTCTCCTGCCTCAGCCTCTTAAGTAGCTGAGACTACAGGCATGCACCACCACGCCTGGCTGATTTTTTTGTATTTTTAGTAGAGATAGGGTTTTACCATGTTGGCCAGGCTGGTCTTGAACTCCTGACCTCAGGTGATCCACACACCTCAGACTCCCAAAGTGCTGGGATTACAGGCACGAACCACTGCACCCAGCCTAATTTACCAAATGATTATTATTATTTTATTTATTTATTTATTGAGATGGAGTCCCACTCTGTCGCCCAGGCTGGAGTGCAGTGGAACGATCTTGGCTCACTGCAAGCTCCGCCTCCCGGGTTCACGCCATTCTCCTGCCTCAGCCTCCCTAGTAGCTGGGACTACAAGTTCCTGCCACCACGCCCAGCTAATTTTTTGTATTTTTTAGTAGAGACAGGGTTTCACCTTGTTAGCCAGGATGGTCTCGATTTCCCGACCTCGTGATCCACCAGCCTCGGCCTCCCAAAGTGTTGGGATTACAGGCGTGAGCCACCACGCCTGGCCTAATTTACTGAATTATTAAGTGGTATCTGATTCCATCTGATGACCAGTCTGGGCTCTTAACCTTTACCCTACATTAAGTGAGCCTGTGTACCATGCTATGGCTTAGAGAGCTCATTGGGAAGCCCTAATATAGGTATTTCTCAATCAACCATACAGCCTTCCCAGGCTATTGCTAGAGAATTAATGCTATGACTGAACAAAGAAAGTGATTTTTAAATAAGGAAATTCAGAAAACTTTGATTTTACTATACACAAACACAGAGCCAGGTACGGAAGTGAATATAAGTCTGGGAACTAAGACTTTTTCTTTTTTTAGAGAAAGGCTCTCCCTCTGTCGCCCAGGCTGGAGTGCAGTGGCCTGATAATAGCTCGCTGCAGCCTCAAACTCCTGGGCTCAAGCAATCCTCCTGAGTAGCTGGGATACAGGCGTGTGCCACTATGCTTGGCTAATTGTTAAAATTTTTTTGTAGAGACAGAGTCTTGCCATGCTTCCCAGGCTGGTCTCTAACTCCTGGCCTCAAGTGATCCTCCCACCTCGGTCTCCCAACGTGATAGGATTACAGGCATGAGACACTGTGCCTGGCTGAACTAAGACTTTGCAACATTTGTAGAAAAAAAAATGAATATGGAGGATAATAGAATAAGAAAAGCAAAGCAATGAGTAATTTGTTTTAAACTGCACCTCACAGGGAGGCAACACAGGGAGTAATTGCTAAACTCTACAAATCCACAGTATACAGTTCCCTTCAGGTAAGATCCTTAGAAATTCAGTTTTGGGGGCCAGTATCCATTCACCCTTTCTTTAATAATATCGGTGCCCATTCTGCTCTGGGAAACCTCACCTCCTCAACTTCCATTCCAAGTGCTTATTTATTTATTTTTTCTTTTGAGATGGAGTCTCACTCTGTCGCCCAGGCTGGAGTGCAGTGGTGCCATCTCAGCTCACTGCAACCTCTGCCCCCCAGGTTCAAGCTATTCTGCCTCAGCCTCCCTAGCAGCTGGGATTACAGGCATGCGCTATCATACCTGGCTAATTTTTGTATTTTTAGTAGAGATGGGTTTTTACCATGTTAGCCAAGCTGGTCTCAAACTCCTGACCTCAGATGACTCACCCACCTCAGCTTCCCAAAGTGCTCGGATTACAGGCGTGAGCCACCGCGCCCAGCCAGTCCAAGTGCTTTAGGTGGTGTCACTCCATATCCTACTTTCGAAGAGTTCATACGGGGTAGATTTTATGGTATGTGAATTACATCTCAATGAAACTGTCATCTAAAGAAAAAAAATAGTTCCTGTGACTTAGTCCAGCTAATTAGAATATTACACTCTTCTGGCCACATGAATCTGTTCAGGAACAATTATGTAACCCAATCAAATGAATAAAACAAAATTAGACTTTTGCTGGGATTGTTGAAAGGCATCTTTCAAAATGTTTTTATTGAATTGAATCCGGGAAGATGCTGCTGCAGGCAGCCATCTTGTTTCGCTATGGAGCCAGAGAATAACTCCGATCTTCCCGAAACAAGGAATAGAGACACTTCCTGATGATATTTTTATTTAACCTTCTTCCCAATTCAGTGAAGGGGAGAAAATGTAATTTCTTTTCTCAACCTTTATAAGTTCATAGCTGGGACATCTCTGTAGCAAAAGACAGATCAACAAGAGAAAAACAAGCATTTTTTTATTTTTAATGCCTGCTGTGCCCACCGTGCAGGAGAAATCCCGATTTGAAGGTATCTCTCAAAATGGTGGCTAAGAGTCCTGGTTTAGAAAGCATACCTAACAAAGAGCAATAATTTAGAAGTGACAAGACAAAGGAATAAGCAGCTTTAGGCTCCCAAAAGGTGGGGAAATTATGGGAAGGTAATAAAGTCAGCTCCAAGATTCCTCTGGCCCACTGGTGCCAGTCTCCGAGCTAAGTGGATGATAATCTGCATGTCTGTCTTTAGGCAGAAAGGACAGGCAGGATCCCTTCTGCATCTTTTTCACGGGAATTTTTATGGCCAGCCATAGGTAAGAAGGAGCAGCTCAAACAGACCTTTTCTATAAACTATTGCTTCCCAATTGTCTCTAGCTTAAAAATATTTATGCCAGGATGGCTGTGGTGGCTCATGCTTGTAATCCCAGCATTTCGGGAGGCTAAGGCAGGAGTATAGCTTGAGCCCAGGAGTTCGAGACCAGCCTCGGCAATAAAGCAAGACCTTGTCTTTACAAAAAATTCTACTGAAGCAGCCTGGATTGCTTGAGCCTAAGAGGTTGAGCCTGCAGTGAGCCATGATCTTGCCACTGCATTCTAGCCTGGGTGACACTGCAAGATCCTGTCTCAAAAAATAAAATAAAATAAAATAACAACAACAACAACAAATATGTATGCCAAAAGGCATATCTTGGGGGTGAAATATTCTGGTTTCCTTCACCAGCCTTGATTGAAGTGAAATCTGGACCAAGATCATAAGACCAAGCTACACAAGCTAATAACATATATATTTTTTAATATAAGCCAATTTGGTAGTGTTTTCTGTTATTTGTAACTAAAAAGAAGTTTGAGGCTGGGCACAGTGGCACATGCCTGTAATTCCATACTTTGTGAGGCGGAGGTGAGTGGATCACTTGAAGTCAGGAGTTCGAGACCAGCCTAGCCAACATAGTGAAACCCCGTCTCTACTAAAAAATACTAAAATTAGGCCTGGTGTGGTGGCACATGCCTGTAGTCCCAGCAACTTGGGAGGCTGAGGCGGGAGGATCAGTTGAACCCAGGAAGCAGAGGTTGCAGTGAACTGAGATTGCGTGACTACACTCCAGCCTGGGTGACAGAGTGAGACTCCATCTCAAAAAAACAAAAAGAAGTTTGAAAAATGATAAGAAATTCATATCAGAATTTGGTATAAAAGACACTAAATTGTAGAATCATCTAAGTTAAAGGTAGTTTTAAGAAAAGTAGGCCAGGCGTGGTAGCTCACCCCGGTAATCCCAGCACTTTGGGAGACCAAGGCAGGCGGATCGCTTGAGGTCAGGAGTTTGAGACCAGCCTGGCCAACATGGTCAAACACCATCTCTACCAAAAATATAAAAAGTTAGCTGGGCATGGTGGTGCGCACCTGTAATCCCAGCTACTCGGGAGGCTGATGCAGGAGAATCGCTTGAACCTGGGAAGTGGAGGTTGTAGTGAGCGGAGATCATGCCACTGCACTCCAGCCTGGGTGACAGAGTAAGACTCTGTCTCAAAAAAAGAAAAAAGAAAAGAAAAGAAACGTAAACACCCCTCAGGCCTAGGCTGAATGTTGGTAATCTTACTAACCCTTCACATGAAATGGAAACACTCAGTCAAATGACTATGGCTATCGTGTATTTTATCTTGGGACGTGGACCATTTCTTGACAAAGGATGGAATGTTAGAGAACATAGTACAACAATGCCAGAATTTTAGAGTGTGTTGGCTGTTTCCTATGGCCTATGTCATGGTGCCCCAAAAAGGAGTGTTAAATTGAAAGTAGCTCATCAGAAATCTAAGAGCTAGCATCAATTTTCTTTTTTTTTTTTTTTGAGATGAGGTTTCCTTCTTGTTACCCAGGCTGGAGTGCAATGGCGTGATCTTGGCTCACCGCAACCTCCACCTCCCAGATTCGAGTGATTCTCCTGCCTCAGCCTCCCAAATAGCTAGGATTACAGGCATGTACCACCATGCCCAGCTAATTTTGTATTTTTATTAGAGACAGGGTTTCTCCATGTTGGTCAGGCTGGTATCGAACTCCCGACCTCAGGTGATCCTCCCACCTCGGCCTCCCAAAGTGCTGGGATTACAGGCGTGAGCCACCACGCCCAGCATAATATTTTTAAATTATTCCTGATCCCATAGGTCCCATTCAGCTACCTCCTGAAGGCACTTATGGCTGACAAAGTAGGCAATTATCATTTACAGAAATGTGGCTGGACTGCAGGCCTGGAGCCGATTAGCCTCACCTGTATACCTACCCTAGAACATCTAAATTGCCTCAAGACAGATGCAGAGATGAATTTCATTAGCTAACTGTTCGAAAAGTAGGATGGAACTTTAGAGTCTGCTGCTAAGAAACAGAGGCCCAGAGGTCCAGTTCTAGACTCAACCTGGTGATTGTTTCACCTCTAAACCTCTAATGCACTTGCCACACTCTTGGTGCTCAAGAGATGTAACCTCAGGAAAAGAAATCATTACCAATGTCTACTTTAAATCTACCCACTGGAGGAAAAGGGACCATTTTAGCTGATTAAGAAGTTCACTCTGGGCCGGGTGCGGTGGCTCACACCTTTAATCCCAGCACTTTGGGAGGCCAAAGCGGATGGATCACCTGAGGTCAGGAGTTCGAGGCCAGCCTGGCCAACATGGTGAAACCCTGTCTCTACTAAAATTACAAAAATTAGCCAGGTGTGGTGGTGCGTTCCCATAATTTCAGCTACTCGGGAGGCTGAGGCAGGAGAATTGCTGGAACCTGGGAGGCAGTGGGCGCGGTGAGCTGAGATCGCAGCACTGCACTCCAGCCTGGGAGACAGAATGAGACTCCGTCTCAATCAATCAATCAATTAAAAAAAAATCACTCTCTGGCCAGGCATGATGAGTCACAGCTGTAGCCCTAGCTACTAGGGAGATTGGGGCAGGAGGAGACTTGAGCCCAGGAGGTCGAGGCTACAGTGAGCCATGTTTATACCACTGCACTCCAGCCTGGGTGACAGAGTGAGATGCTGTCTCAGAAAAAAAAAAAGAAAAAAGAAATTCACTCTATTGGTAGCAAGTTGCAAGATTGTGCATACAGTGTTACATATAGTAATTGGAGTAAATATATATATTAGCTCTGGTAGGTAACAGGGTTGTCTCTGGGAACTGGGTAGATCAAGGGGAGATTTACTCTTCCTGATGCATTGTTTTGTACCATGTAAATCTATTATTTATTCAAAAATAGATACATTGTATACAACTAAATAGCATTTGATAATTTATAATTTCTCTATTACATTGTTGTAACAATATTAGTTGTTCAAGGATTAAACTAAACTCATTTAATTTTATATTAATATTTAAATTTTAAATCTTTTTTATTTTGGTAAGATATGCACAACTTGAATTTTACCATTTTAACTATTTTTAACTGTACATTTCAGTGGCATTAAGTACTTTTTTTTTTTTTTTGAGACAGAGTCTCACTCTGTTGCTGAGGCTGGAGTGCAGTGGCGCTATCTCAGATCACTGCAACCTCTGCCTCCCGGGTTCAAGCGATTCTCCTGCCTCAGTCTCCCTAGTAGCTGGGACTACAGGTACCTGCCACAACACCTGGCTAATTTTTTGTATTTTTAGTAGAGACGGGGTTTTACCATATTGGTCAGGCTGGTCACGAACTCCTGACCTTAGGTGATCTGCCCACCTCGGCATCCCAAAGTGCTGGGATTACAGGCGTGACCCACCGCCCCCAGCCAGATAAGTCTATTTTTTAGAAGAATGAACTTTTCATGTAAGTAATTAGTTTTTATTTTATTTTTAAAATTAATTTCTGTTTTTAATCACAACTGAGTAATTTAAATTTAAAATCTAAATTTAAAATTGATATATAATAGTTGTACAGATTTTTGGGGTACATGTGATATTTTGATACCTGTTTACAATGTATAATGATAAGCAGGGTAATTGGGATATATACCACCATAAACGTTTATCTTTTCTTCATGTTGGAAACATATTTTTTTCTTCTAGCTATTTTTAAATATACAATGAATTATTTTTAACTATAATCTTCCAACTGTACTATTGAATAATATAACTTATTCCTTCTATCTAACTGTATTTTTTATTTTTTGAGACAGGGTCTCACTCTTTCACCCAGGCTGGAGTGCGGTGGCACAATCTTGGGTCACTGCAACCTCTGCCTCCCAAGCTCAGGCGATTCTCCTGCCTCAGCCTCCCAAGTAGTTGGGATTATAGGTGTATACCACTACCATCCAGCCGGCTAATTTTAGTATTTTTAGTAGAGACAGGGGTCTCACCATGCTGGCCAGGCTGGTCTCAAACTCCTGATCTCAAATGATCCACCTGCCTCGGCCTCCCAAAATGTTGGGTTTGCAGGCGTAAGCCACTGCGCCTAGCCCTAACTGTATTCTTGTGCTACCCATTAACCGGCTCCTCATCATCCCCTGCAACCTCCTCCTCTTCCCAGCCTCTGGTAACAATCATTCTACTCTCTACCTCCAAAAGATCCACTTTTTTAGCTCTCATATATGAGTGAGAACATTTGTCTTTCTGTGCTGAGCTTATTTCACTTACCATGGTGACTACTAGTTCCATCTATGTTGCTGCAAATAACAGGATTTCATTCTTTTTTTTAATGGCTAAATAATATTCCATTTTATATATGGACCACATTTTCTTTACCTATCCATCTTCTGATCGACACTTAGATTGATTTCATACCTTAGATATTGCGAAGAGTGGTGCAGTAAACATGGGAGTACCAACAAATGTCTATTTGATATACCGATTTCCTTTCTTTTGGATATATACCCAGCAGTGGGATTGCTGGATTATATGGTAGTTCTATATTTAGTTTTCTGAGGAACCTCCATACTGTATTCCATAATCTCTATACTACTTTACAGAGCACATTTTGTATGCATTATAAATACAATATAAATCTACCTTATTTAATTTATTCTGAATATCAATTAAGTCTATATTTGAACATGTCAGGACCTTTTACACAATACTTTATCCACTCAGATTCTCATTATTGACACTGAAGAATTAAAATCTCCAATATAATTTTGATTGTATCAATAGCTTACATTTCTAACAAACACATATCCACTGAGGTTTTGACATCTGGTTCACATTCTTCTCTGCCTAACTTCTACCACTTTCCTAGGTAACTTATACATTCCACTTCTTAGCCTGAGAGTTCCCTAACCTGTATTCCAATTATTACTTTCTTTCAACAGGCCACTCTCCCAGCCACATCCTCGACCTTGTTATAATTCAGGACTCCTCTACTTTTGACAACTTACTCTCAGAACACAGCCTCCTTTCCTTCCCGTCATTCTGACTCACAAGGCAGCAGATTCACCTAACCTTCTCCAGCCTCAGCGCTGTCCTTTCTTCTAGTTGGGTTTATCCCATTTTGGGTTCTCTTTCTTTTTTTTTGAGACAGGGTCTTGCTCTATGTCACCCAAGCTGGAGTGCAGTGGTGCAATCATGGCTCACGCTAACCTCAATGTCCCAGGCTCAAGTGATCCTCCTGCCTCAGCCTCCCAAGTAGCTGGAATTACAGGTGTGTGCCACCACACCCGGCTAATTTAATTTTTTAATTTTTTTTTATAGAGTCAGGGTCCCCTGTGTTGCCCAGGCTTGTCTTTAACTCCTGGGTTCAAGTAAATCACTTGAGCCTCAGCCTCCCAAAGTGCTGGGATTACAGGCATGAGTGAGTCACCATGCCTGGCTGATTTTCTTTCTTCTCAATCCAACTTGACCTTCATTTCTAGCCGCTTCAACTGTGTTCCCACCCATACCTTCAGTTGCCTTCCCCTCCTCTCTTTCTACTCTACCTGCCCTACAAATTCCCACCCCTGGATTAATACATTCATCGCCTTCCCTGCTACTATCTCTAGGGAATGCAGAATTAGTAAAGACTCTTGATTGACAATGAGAATCCAACAGGAGCTAGCTTCAAAAAAATTAATATGAAAATTCAAATTTGTACCCTTAGGGAACCAAGGATTAAGAATGTAGGCTGGCCTTTAAAGGATCAGAATCAGTACTTCTGTCTTCAGTTTTCGTCTCTATTTCTCTCTGTCTGACTGCTTCTTTCTTGTCTTTTTCTCCCTCTCTAGAATAACTTTCTGTTCTCACACAGTAACGTGGAAGCTTCCTAACTTGCAACTCCTGTTAAAGTGATGTCAAAGGTGATACTGGAATCTCTTAGCCTTAGTTTCTAATTCATGGGGGAAAGAGCTATGATTGGCTTGATTTGGTGGAGATCTACTCTAGATAGATCAACTAGGGCCAGAAAGGCATGACCGTATTTTGTAAAATGATAGCTGGAGACTCACAGCTGTTACCATGTACTCTTCCATGAAACTATTGCCAGGGAAGATACAATATCCTGTCCATGAGTAAATGTACAAGGTTACAGGTACTCATGAAATCTATAACTGTAGCCAGAGGAGTACCAGGCTCTGATTCAGCTAGACTTAGTCACATGCCCACTAGCAGAGGCTGAGATAGCCTGTGCCCATTAGCATAGGTAAGAAGAGGGTCTCCTGAATGAGGAAAAATGACTGGCACAGTTGCTAGAAGATAGATAAGGAAGCTATGAAACTCTCTGGCTATTAATTACCGTGTATTTATTGCCAGTTTAATATGTGCAGGGCCAGGCTATGAGCTGAATATATTTTTACTCAGTATGTTTTCATTGCTTTATTTGAAGATATAAAAAATCTTAGAATGTTAAAAATACCCAATTTGTTGCTAAATGTAAAGCAATTTTTTTTCAAAATCAAATCAAAATGACTTTAGATTATTTTGGATTAACCACACCATTGTTTCCCTCCATTAGCTAAGATAATCAGCAATCAATTAAATATACTTCCATATGTCATTTATCTAATAATACATCATAATTATATGAAAACAAATCGACTTCAGGGAGTCGTTTTGCTCCAAGCAAATTCATTTTGGATATGAATTCTGCCCATATTTATACCTAACATAATTAAATACATGCTTTGAAAAGAAATGCTGTAACAATTCACTGAGTGCCTTTTTACTAAACTAAACATTTTTTTCTGTCTCCCTACCAATCATCATTGAGAAATTATAGAGGGCAAATATAAGAACACAACAAAGCATAAGACAAAAAGCCTTGCTTCCTTTATTCTGTTCTGGCTTGCTTTGACTTTTGATCTCTGCTTTTACTTTCCTGTTGAATAGACAACAACCCCCAAGGAGGCCTTCGAGAAATTTAGAATAAGCAAACAAACCAAATGGAATACTTCCTTCTACTTCCTCCCCTCCCAGCTGTTACAATTTAAATCTGCCTTTTCTGTAGGTTCAGGGAATAAATTCTCATAAAACTGACTGCTGCAGGAGTTCTGTTCTGTTCTTTGACAGTTTCTCACTAGCAAAACCCTCCTTGGCCTTTGGTATTCTCACCACTCACTCTCTCTCTCTGTTTTTTTTTTTTTTTTTTTTTTTTTTTTTTTTTTTTTTGAGACGGAGTCTCACTCTGTCTATTGCCCAGGCTGGAGTGCAGTGGCATAATCTCGGCTCATGGCAACCTCTGCCCCCCAGGTTCAAGCGATTCTCCTGCCTCAGCCTCCTGAGTAGCTGGGCTTACAGGTGCCGGCTACCACGCCCAGCTCATTTTTGTATTTTTAGTAGAGACGGGGTTTCACCGTGTTGGCCAGGCTGGTCTTGAACTCCCAACCTCAGGTGATCCGCCCGCCTTGGCCTCCCAAAGCACTGGGATTACAGGCATGAGCCACTGTGCCCAGCCTCACCACTCACTCTCAAAGAGAGTTGCTGTTAGTGGAACTGCAAGTCCCTGAATTTCTTCTACAGATTTATCACTTGTAAGAAAATAATTGGAAAAATTCCAGGGAGAGATGTAGCTAACAGAGAGCATGAAAGACAAAGCCCAAGTAGTATCATGTCAATGTTAATTTCTTGGTATTGATAATTGTAATTTGGTTCTATAAAGTGTTAGCACCTGGGTGCTGGAGAGGATGTGGACAAACAGGAACACTTTTACACTGTTGGTGGGAGTGTAAACTAGTTCAACCATTGTGGAAGACAGTGCGGTGATTCCTCAAGGATCTAAAACTAGAAATACCATTTGACCCAGCTATCCCATTACTAGGTGTACACCCAAAGGATTATAAATCATGCTACTATAAAGACACATGCACACGTATGTATAAAGGCACTATTCACGATAGCAAAGACTTGGAACCAACCCAAATGTCCATCAATGATAGGCTGGATTAAGAAAATGTGGCACATATACACCACGGAATACTATGCAGCCATAAAAAAGGATGAGTTCATGTCTTTTGTAGGGACATGGATGAAGCTGCAAACCATCATTCTGAGCAAACTATCTCAAGGACAGAAAACCAAACACCACATGTTCTCACTCACAGGTGGGAACTGAACAATGAGAACACTTGGACATGGGGTGGGGAACATCACACACTGGGGCCTGTAGTGGGGTGAGGGGAGGGGGAGGGATAGCATTAGGAGAAATACCTAATGTAAATGATGATTTGATGGGTGCAGCACACCAACACGGCACATGTATACATATATAACAAACCTGCACATTGTGTACATGTACCCTAGAACTTAAAGTATAATAATAAAAAAAAAATTAGCACCTGGGGAAGGTGGGTGAAGGCTATACATGAATTAATTGGAATACTTTTGCCACTTAAAATCTGAAATTATTTCAAAATGAAAGGTTAAAGAAAATTTAAAACTTAAAAACACTGAACTCCTGATCACCTCCATTTCTACTCCCAAACCTGCTCCACCTGCAATCTTTTCCATCTCCATGGATGGCAATTTCATTCTTCTTGTCCAGGCCAGAACATTTAAAGTCATCTTTTATGTCTTTTTTGCCCTCCTACCTCAATTCCAATCTACAAGACATTTTATGGGCTTTGTCTTTCCATATGTCCAGTATCAAATCACTTCTCATCACCTCTCTTGCTGCCTCCCAGTCCAGGACATTGTCAGTGCTTGCCTGGATTATTGCAACAGCTTTCTAATCAGCCTCCTTGATCTACTTCTCTTCTCCTAATGCTCTAATGGTTCTCATTTTATTCAGAGTAAAAGTCAAAGTTCTGACTATAGCCTATGAGGCCCTACATGTTTCCTTCACTTTCTACGCGATCTAGTTTTGATCTCCTCTTTTACTACTCACTCACTCACTTGATTCAAACCACTCTGATCTACATTTTTAGAGACATAGTCTTGCTCTGTCACCCAGGCTGGAGTGCAGTGGTGCGATCATAGCTCACTGCAGCCTTGACTTCCCCGGGCTCAAGGGATCCTTCTGCCTCAGCCTCCTGAGTAGCTGGGAATATAGGCACATACCACCATGCCCAGCTAATTTTTAAATTGTTTGTAGAGGTGGGGTCTTGCTGTGTTGCCCAGGCTGGTCATGTAACCTGCTGTTTTTCAAACAGGTCAGGTATGCTCCTACCTGAAGGCTTTTCCACTAGGTGGCCCCTTTTCCTTGAATGCTCTTCCCCCATACATTCTTTGGCTGACCCCGTCACATTTTTTGAGCCTTTACTTAAACGTCTTTTTCTCAATAAGCCTACTCTGACCACCATCTTTAAAAACTGCAAGGCCTGATTCTGCTTTTTCTTAATCTGCTGTAATTTTGTGGCCATCTTTATCACCTTTCAATGCACAATACAATCTTCATATGATATTTCTTGTGTTTTGTCTATCTCTACCTATTAGTATATAAACTTTTTTCTTTCTTTCTTTTTTTTTTGTTTTTGAGACAGTCTCGCTCTGTTGCCCAGGCTGGAGTGCAGTGGCACGATCTCCGCTCACTGCAGCCTCTGCCTCCTGGGTTCAAGCAATTCTCTGCCTCAGCCTCTTGAGTAGCTGGGATTACAGGCATGCACCACCACGCCTGGCTAATTTTTGTATTTTTGGTAGAGACGGGGTTTCACCATGTTGGCCAGGCTGGTCTTGAATTCCTGACCTCGTGATCCACCCGCCTCAGCCTCCCAAAGTGTTGGGATTACAGGCGTGAGCCACTGTGCTCGGCCGCATATAAATTCTTAAAAGGGGAATGATATTGTCTGTTTTATTTTTTGAGCATTTAGAACAGTACTTGGTATACTGTATATACTCAATAAATACATTATTATGTAACTCAATAAGTTTGCAATGTATGAGTCATATATTACTGAAGGACAGAGAAAACAACGCATGTCTTCTACCCACAGATAATTATAAGCAATCAGGGAGTTAGACAACAGATGCGAATTCTTATTTTTTTAATCATTAAGAGAATATGTAACAGCAAGAAGTTTAGCCAGCACTCTTCTGGTTGCAAGTCATAGAAATCCACTCAAATTAGTTTAAGAAAAGAAGAGAAGGATTTACTTGTTAACATAACTGAATAGCACAAAAAGAAAGCTAGCTCCAGGCGTGCTGGGTATAGGGGCCTTACAATTGTCCTTGGAACTTATTGATTTCTCCCTTCATCTCTCAACTCTGCTTTCCTCTGAAAGAGCTTTGGTAGGCCGGGCGTGGTGGCTCACATCTGTAATCCCGGCATTTTGGGAGTCCGAGGCGGGTGGATCATGAGGTCAGGAGATCGAGACCATCCTGGCTAACACGGTGAAACCCCGTCTCTACTAAAAATACAAAAAATTAGCCAGGCGTGGTGATGCATACCTGTAGTCCCAGCTACTCGGGAGGCTGAGGCAGGAGAATTGCTTGAACCTGTGAGACGGAGGTTGCAGTGAGCCGAGATTGTGCCACTGCACTCCAGCCTGGGCAACAGAGCGTGACTCTGTCTCAAAAAAAAAAAAAAAAAATAGCTTCAATCTCAGGCCGGTGCTCTCCTTGTGGTAGTCCTGGAAGCTTCTGCCTCAGAATTTCACAGTTGACCGACAACCCCGAATTCACGCTGGCCTGGTGTTGGTTGCATTCCCTGTGATGTTCTCATTTCTCTGGCTTGGGCTACAGGGCACTTGTACAACCCCCAAAACACTTGTACTGAGAGTGGGAGAGTGAACAGATAAAATTAATTATAGAATTGAACCAAACATATCTGTGTAAGTTGATAGAGTAGAATAGATGATAGTAAAGCTGAAAGAGGAGGTTCAAGCCTGTAATCCCAATATTTTGGGAGACTGAGGCGGGAGGATCACTTGAGCTAGGAGTTTGAGACCAGCCTGGGTAACAGCAAGACTTTGTCTCTACCAAAAATTAAGAAAATTAGCTAGGATTGGCGGTGTGCACACCTATAGTCCCAGCTACTTGACAGGCTGAGGTGGGCAGGCCGCTGGAGCCTGGGAGGTCGAGGCTGCAGCAAGCCGTGACAGCACTACTGCATGCCAGCCTGGGTGACAGAGCCAGACCCTGTCTCAGAAAAAAAAAAAAAAAAAAAAAAGTTAATAGAAGTATAGCACTCTGACCCCTAGTGGTTAAATTATGCAGAGAAAAATTCAGGACTTGTCCAAAGACAACAGGAGGTTGATTTATTTCACATTATGTTCCTGTATGATCTTTTTATCAGTTTATTTAAGAGCATCAGCTTTCTTCCCTTTTATTCTCCACATTGAAGTATCCATCCATTTGGGGCAATTTTTCCTTTCACATATATCTAGTATTTCTCTCGCCGCCCGCCCCCCCCAATTCCTCTGCTGTTACCATATTTCTTCTTGGGTTCATCCAACACCTGAAAAATCTTCCTAAAAAACTGTTCAGTTGGCCAGGCACAGTGGTTCAGGGCTGTAATCCCAGCACTTTGGGAGGCCGAGGCGGGCGGATCACCTGAGGTCAGCAGTTGGAGACCAGCCTGGCCAACGTGGCAAAACCCTGTCTCTACTAAAAATACAAAAATGGGCCAGGCGCGGTGGCTCAGGCCTGTAATCCTAGCACTTTGGGAGGCCGAGGCAAGTGGATCACCTGAGGTCAGGAATTTGAGATCACCCTGGCCCATGTGGGGAAACCGCGTCTCTACTTAAAAAAAAAAAAAAAAAATAGGCGGGTGTGGTGGTGGGCGCCTGTAATCCCAGGTACTCAGGAGGCTGAGGCAGGAGAATCACTTGAACCTGGGAGGTGGAGGTTGTAGTGAGCCGAGATCACACCACTGCACTCCAACCTGGGTGACAGAGCAAGACTCCATCTCAAAGAAAAAAAAAAAAAAGATAGTAGAAGTATAGCACTCTGACCCCTAGTGGTTAAATTATGCAGAGAAAATTCAGCATTTGTCCAAAGACAATAGGAGGTTATTTCACATCATGTTCCTATATGATCTTTTTATCAGTTTATTAAAGAACATCAGCATTCTTCCCTTTTATTCTCTACATTGAAGCACCCATCCATCCGGGGCAATTTTTCGTTTCTCATAGATCTAGTATTTCTCTTTTTGCCCCCCTCTATTCCTCTGCTGTTACCATCTTTCTTCTTGGGTTCATCCAACACCTGCAAAACTTTCCTGAAAAACTGTTTAGTTGGCCAGGCACAGTGGTTCAGTCCTGTAATCCCAGCACTTTGGGAGGCCAAGATAGGCGGATCACCTGAGGTCAGGAGTTCGAGACCAGCCTGGCCAACATGGTGAAACCCCGTCCCTACTGAAATTACAAAAATTGGCTGGGCACGGTGGCATGCTCCTGTAAAAAAAAAAATTAAGAGCACTTAATAGTCATACTTTTCACTTTGCTTATATGTAGCTTATATATATATAAATATAAAAATCTGTTTTAACTCTCATTCTACTAAATTCACCTAATGTTCTACATAGAAAATTTCATGTATATTGTTTATCATCTTTCAAGAGTGAATTAAGCACATGAATATTTTCTCATGAAAAGGGATATTGATTGGTACAGATGTGTATGTATAATGGCTAGTTGCTCAGATCATCAACTAAATCTAAAACATGTGTTCCAGCTGGGCTGGTGGCTCATGCATGCAATCCCAGCGCTTTGGGAGGTTGAGGTGGAGGACTGCTTGAGGCCAGGAGTTCAAGACCAGTCTGGGCAACATAGTGAGACTCTGTTGCTGCAAAAAGAGTTTTAAAATTAGTCGAGCGTGGTGGCATGCCCCTGTAGTTTCAGCTACTTGGGAGGCAGAGGTGGGGGGACTGCTTGAGCCCAGGAGTTCAAGTTTCCAGTGAGCTCTGATGGTGCCACTGTTCTCCAGCCTGGGTGACAAAGCCAGACCCTGTCTCCAAAACATAATCTTAAAAAGCAGTTCCCAATTCTTAATTTTAATTTTATTTATTTATTTTTGAGAGAGGGTCTCATTCTGCTGCCTGGACTGGAGTGCAGCGGTGTGATTTCGGCTCACTGCAAACTGGACCTTCTGAGCTCAAGTGATTCTCCCACCTCAGCCTCCCGAGTAGCTGGAACCACCATGTCCGGCTACTTTTTTGTTTGTTTTGTAGAGACAGGGTCTGGTCATGTTGCCCAGGCTGGTCTCAAACTCTTGGGCTCAAGTGAAACAACTGCCTGTGCCTCCCAAAGTGCTAGGATTACAGGCATGAGCCACCGTGCCTGGCCCCAGATTTTTATAATTTTCATATTTTATTCTTTATTGATTAGTCACTGAGAGGGTAAGAATTGTGTAACTTCTTTCTTGTCCATATTTTCTCTTCAATTTTTACTGTGAAGGCCAACATAAAATATTTAAGGCAAACAGATTTTTTTTTTTTTTTTGAGATGGAGTCTCACTGTGTCACCCAGGCTGGAGTGCAGTGGCGCGATCTCGGCTTACTGCAACCTCCACCTTCCAGGTTCAAGCGATTCTCCTGCCTCAGCCTCCCGAGTACCTGGGACTACAGGTGCCTGCCACCGCGCCCGGCTAAGTTTTGTATTTTTAGTAGAGACGGGATTTCACCATCTTGGCCAGGCTGGTCTTGAATTTGTGACCTCGTGATCCACCTGTCTCGGCCCCCTAAAGTGCTGGGATTACAGGCATGAGCCACTGTGCCCGGTCCAGGCAAACAGATTTTATTCCACTTTTCCTTGATCACTCTTTTGTTTTTTCTCTCCAATGCTTTTTCTCTATTTGAAATTTTGCACTATTGTTGCTTTCTTCTGAAGTATTCATATAGAGTTGTTAAAACAACTGAAGTCAGACTGCCTAAGCTTTAGGTTTCTTCTCTGTTAAAAGAGATAACAAGATAATAATAGCACTCCTCATTTATAGGGTTACTTATGGGTGGTTATTGGCACACATTTATAAGTGTTTGAAAAAATCTTAGCTTTACTATTATTTTATAGATTTACTTGCATTTTTAATGTTCTTGGTATACACCAATTGGTTTGTTTACTTATTACCAAATATTTATAAAGCATTTAGTGTTATATTGTTGGCTGAAAAAACAGGAACAAAATAGGATGGTGTATATTTATGAAGCTTAACTCTAATTTAAGAAACAAAGCATTATTTTTTTTTTTCTTTGAGACGGAGTCTCACTGTGTTGCCCAGGCTGGAGTGCAGTGGCGCGATCTCAGCTCACTGCAATCTCCGCCTTCCAGGTTCAAGCGATTCTCCTGCCTCAGCCTCCCGAGTAGTTGGGACTACAGGCTCATGCCACCATGCCTGGCTAATTTTTTGTATTTTTAGTAGAGACAGCGTTTTACCATGTTAGCCAGTATGGTCTTGATCTCCTGACCTCGTGATCCGCCCACCTTAGCCTTCCAAAGTGCTGGGATTACAGCCGTAAGCCATCGTGCCTGGCCTTTTTTTTTTTTTTTTAATCTTTTTGAGATGGAGTTTCGCTCTTGTTGTCCAGGCTGGAGTGCAATGGTGTAATCTCCGCTCACTGCAACCTCCACCTCCTGGGTTCAAGAGATTCTCCTGCCTCAGCCTCCTGAGTAGCTGGGATTACAGGCATATGCCACCACACCCAGCTAATTTTGTATTTTTAGTAGAGACAGGGTTTCACCATGTTGGTCAGTCTGGTCTTGAACTCTTGGCCTCAGGCGATCCACCCGCCTCGGCTTCCCAAAGTGCTAGGATTACAGGCGTGATCCACTGCACCCGGACTTACTGGTTGCTTTTCAAAGGTTGTACAGATACTATAAATATATTTAACCAATACTCTATTGAGGAGGAGCCGGAGAGGGTTTCCAGTCTTTTGCTATTGTAAGCAATGCTTAAAAAAATACTCTGGAACATAGGTCATTGTAAGCAATGCTTCAAAAAATACTCTGGAACATAGGTCATTGTAAGCAATGCTTCAAAAAATACTCTGGAACATAGGTCATTATGTATATTTCTGTAAGATAAATTCCTAGAGGTAGGGTTACTGACTTCAAAGGATTTAGACTAAAGGTGCTTAAAGAGAGAGGTTTCACCTGTTAGTTAGTTTTTGTAGCCAAAACTTGAAAACATCCTTTCTTCCTCTTTTTTCGTACCTATCAATCACCAAGTCTTGCTGCTGTTACCTCCTCAATTTGTTTAAATCTGTCCTTCCTTCCCATTCCTCCCAGCCAACAACTCAATTTAGGCTTTTACTATTTCTTCATGTCTGAAATATCGTCCTCAAACCCATTGTCCTGAGAGAATAATCTGCTCGAACACATTCATGTTGCCTACTACATACATCCAGGATTAAGTCTAATGCCTTTGAATACACAAGGTTCACCTTGATCTAGTCCCTGTGCTTCCCTTTCTCTGGTAGACTTCTCCCATCACCAGCTTCACTCTCTTTGCTTTTACACTGTGGAATAATTCATCATTTCAGGCCTCCTTGCTTTTGCTCTGGCTGACTCTCCAGCTTGGAATGCCTTCATCCATTTCCCTTACTTCACCTTTGTGTTCCTGTGCATTCATCTTTCATAGTGATTGCTATTCTCTACTGAAATGAATTTTTTCAAAATAGCCTGCAATTGCAATAGGCAGTACTTTTTTTCTTTCTTTTTAGCTCTAGCATCTATCACAGTGCTTGTGGTCATGGGGTACATACTCAGTAAAATATCTTTTACTGAACTCAACTAGATCTTGGGGGAAAAGGGGTGGAGTCATTCATTCATTCATTCATTCATTCAACATATGTTTATTGAGAAGCTATAAACATAGGCACAAGGTTATGTGCTAGGTAGTGCGATTACAACCAAGAAGATAACCCAGGGCCTACTTTTGGTCTAGTGAAAGAGATGGAATTAGATGGGTATGGTGGTGTGCACCTGTAGTCCCAGCTACTTGGGAGGCTAAGGCATGAGAATCTCTTGAGGCTAGGAGGGAGAGGTTGCAGTGAGCTGTGATGGTAACACTGTACTCCAGCCTGGGTGACAGAAGAAGACCCTATCTAAAAAAAAAAAAAAAAAAAAAAAAAAAGTAGGGCAACATAAATACACAATTTTAATTTAGGTGGGTAAAGACAACAGTGGACCCCAGGGCACAGTTTAGATTATTTTATGGATATGGATAAACAGAGAAAAGGGTGGTTTTTTTTTTTTTTTTTAAATCTATTTTAGAGACTGGGTCTCACTGTGTTGCCCAGGCTGTTTTCAAACTTCTGAGCTCAAGTGATCCTCCCACATCAGCCTCTTGAGTAGATGGATGGCATTTTAATTAGATGAAATTGTACTAGGAAAGGCATTTGCAAAACAAAGTAATTGCCCCAAATCACTATGAAACCCTAAGTCAGGCATAAAACTCACGATTTCTGACCCTTCTTCATGGCCTATTGCCTCCTATTACCTTTACTTTTTCAAGTAAAGATATTCTTCTGGTAAACACATGGTCAAATACAGTGTCTTGGGTAACGAATAGTAAAGTGAGATAACATATGTAGAGAAAGCGGGTGAGAATCCGTACTCCATAAAAGTATTTTCTTTCCATAGGTGTCTGCTAAACTGCCATCTAAGTTTTCCAAAACAAAAAACAAAAACACTTGTGTGGTGCTCAATGATGTATATTAAGTGAAACCTACCAACTGACCTTTATCCTTTCCTTCCTGTTTTTTTAATATTAAAGAAGAGACCTCTTTTCACAAATGATTGAGGAGGCTAGTAAAATGCAGTGAAAAGAGCAAGTTCTTTGGGAGTCAGACAGCATCGGATCCAGCCCAGAGCGCAGCACGACTAGTAGAGTAACTTAGATTAAGTCCTTAAACTTCCAGTGTCCTCTTTTGTAAACTGGGAATAATAATAATAATAAATAAATAGTGAATAATATTTATGCAAAGTACTTAGCACAGTGTCTAACACATAAAAGCTTAGGAGAAGTTGGCTATTAAGCATTTCTAGGAACCCGAGGACTCAGGGTTGTTATTTTAGTTCTTGGAATCAAAGGAACTTGAAGCGTAGTCATTCCTAAACTAAGTTAAACCAGAACTAGCGCTTTCAGCAATGATGTAATTTGATCTCTTCGGGCCACCGTCGCTGAGCATGCGCAAATAAACGTGGCGGGACGTATGTGTCATGGCGCTCTCCATCTAAAGTCTGTGCAGCTTCCGGAGAGTGGCGGGTTGATTTTCTCACTTTGGACTGGTTTTTACTTCCCGACTTCTGGGTAAGGGTGGCCGATGGGTCCATGTGGGGCAGAGTGTGGCCACAGCTCCTTTTATGGCCAAGCCTTGTTTCTCCAGTTTCAGTTTTTCTTGGGCTGTTTGCAAATTTGTTTCGCAGTTAAAAGGGGATTTGCCAGCTGGGATGGGGGAATTGGGAGGCAGATGGGGCTTCCAGGAGCGAGGATAGGGTCGTTGGCCTCAGGTGCCGCTCTCCAGTTAGGAGTATTTTAGGCACCTCGTTCCTTATTGTCAGGTTTAACTTCATTTGTTCTCCCACTTTATACCTTAGTGAATTTGTAGATGTGACAAGGCTTTCGCAGTTATATAGCTTTCCCAGATCAGTATGTTAAGAATTTAAGCAGAAGTTATTGAGAAAAGCAGGTGTCTTGCTTTTTCACTTTTCGTTCTTCTTTGCTCATAAAACCTTTTTCTGAATCTCGGGACGACAGTTATCTTTCGGATGGAACGTGATCTGGATGTCTATCTACCTTATTGACTTAATCCTGTTTTGTAGTGGTTGGTTACTCGCACTATGCAGACGTGTTGCGGTGCTGAATACAACATTTATTACTAAAGCCAGACACTGGATCACCGTCACGGCAGATGTCAGCACACCTGTTGTAATCAGTAAGAAGTTACAAGTAGTATGGAGCATCATTAATCCTGCTGTATAAAGCAGTCTTTTATGGAGTCTGATTCCTTTTAAGTAAAGAATCCTTACAGTGGTTTTGTGAACTTTTTGGGTGCTTACTTTTCCTAATCAATTTTTATTTTCCAGACTCATCTTTCAAGAGGACTTTAGACTAATTGCAGATAATTAAGGTACTGATTTATTTTAAACCTTTTATGTTTGAGTGCTGTGCGTATTTCTGCATGTTAGAAAATGCAGAGAGGTAGCCTAATGTTTTAGCTATTTGCCACTATCATGTTATGGAAACATTGTGCTTTACATAGCATTAAATCGAAGAGATATTTTCATTTATTTTACTTAACCTTTCATTTTCATTCACCAGCATTGACCATGTCCACTTTTTTGAGATGCCCTTTTCATTTGCCTTCCATGGCCCATGGATTTTTTTCCTTGTCTGGTGGCTGCTTCTTGGAATCCATTATAAGCTGATTTTCCTTTATCTGGCAGTTAAATTTGGAGTCTCTCAAGTCGTGGTCTTGTACCTTCTCCTACCTCTGTTCTCTTTTTCTTCCCCTCTGGGTGATGTAATCCACATGCCTGTCAACAGTTATTTGTCTTTTTGATTCTACCCATCCTAATGGGTATGAAGTGGTGTATTATTGTGGTTTGGATTTCCATTTCCCTGATGGCTCATGATGTTGACATCTTTTCATGTGCTTATCAGCCATTTGTATGTGTGTGTTTTTGAGACACGGCTTCCCTATGCCACCCAGGCCAGAGTGCAGTGGCTCGATTACGGCTCACTGCAGCCTTGACCACCTGGTCTCAAGTGATCCCACTTCAGCCTCCCAAGTAGCTGGGACTACAGGTGCATGCCACCATGCCCGGCTAAATTTTACTTTTTTTTTTTTTTTTGTAGCGATAGGGTCCGTGTTGCCTAGGCTCTGGCCTTGTACTCCTGGCCTGAAGTGATCCTGCCACCTTGGCTTCCCAGTGTTGGGATTATAGGCATGAGCCTCTGCACCTGGCCCATTTCTGTATCTTCTTCATCTAATCTGTTTTTCCTTTTGTTGCTTGTGCTTTTCATTTCTTAGCTAAGAAAGAAGGGCCTACTCTAACATCATAAAGATTTGTGCTTATGTTTTTTTCTAAGAGTTTCATAATGTTAGCTCCTAAATTTAGGTCTATGATCCATTTTCGGTTAATTTTTGTATATGATGTGAAATGTGAAATAGGGCTCCAACTTTATTTTTTACATGTTGCTATCCAGTTATCCCAGTGTCATTTGTTGAAAAAAAAACTACGCTTTCCCCCTTGAATTGTCTAGGTTATGTATATTTGACATACATTCTAGGTGGTTTTTATGAAAGAATAATTCTGGGACAGTGATTATCAAACTTTAATTCAGATCAAAATCACCTAGAGGGCCTGTTAAATATTGCTAGGTTTTACTCAAAATATCTGATTTAGTATGTCTGGAGTGGAGTTCAAGAATTTTCATTTCTGGCTGGGCATGGTGGCTCATGCCTGTAATCCCATACTTTAGGGGCCAAGATGGGAGGAGTTTGAGACCAGCCTGGACAACAAAGCGAGACCTTGTTTTTACAAAAAAACTGAAAAAGAAAAAATGTTCATTTCTAACAAGTTCCCCATGATGCTACTCCAGCTGATGTGGAAACTACACTTTGAAAACCACTGGACATTGCTTTGCAACTGTGGCTGTACACACATGAGAATGACTGGAAAGTTTTTAAAAGATATTGATGCCCAGGCTCCATTCTCAGAGATTCATTCAGCTATCTTGGGGCTTAGTTGGGAATTTTCTTTTTTTTCTTTTGTTTTTGTTTTTGTTTTGAGACAGAGTCTCGCTCTGTCGCCCAGGCTGGAGTGCAGTGGCGTGATCTCGGCTCACTGCAAGCTTAGTTGGGAATTTTCAAAAGCTCTTCAGGTGAATAGAATGAGTGTTGAAGATTGAGAACCATTACTGTGGAATCGTGGTTCTTAATTAGGGATCTATAGTGGAATTACCTGGACAGTTTCTATGTTCACATACTTCAGTTCTACTCTTGGAGATTCTAATTCAGAATGGAACCTGGAGATTTGATATGATGAAAAGCTTCCCGCTGGGTGCAGTGGCTCACGCCTGTAATCCCAGCACTTTGGGAGGCCAAGGCAGGTGGATCACCTGAGGTTGGGAGTTCAAGACCAGCCTGACCAACATGGTGAAACCCCGTCTCTACTAAAAATACAAAATTAGCTGGGCGTGGTGGCAGGTGCCTGTAATCCCAGCTACTCGGGAGGCTGAGGCAGGAGAATTGCTTGAACCCAGGAGGCACAGGTTGCAGTGAGCCGAGATCGTGCCATTGCACTCCAGCCTGGGCAGCAAGAGTGAAACTCTGTCTCATAATTACAAAAAAAAAAAAAAAAAGCCTCCCTAATAACTCACCTATGTAAGTAACCACTGCTCTAGGATATTGCATCCTCCTTCTTCCTATCATTTTGAGTATTTTCCTTTTCACTGACTCTATTTTTATTCCCTTTATCAAATTTGATTTCCTCTACCTTTGAGAAAAATTTTTAATGATCCTTTTGCTCCATTTAGCTATTACGCTGCTTTCCTTTTATTCTCAAACTTTCATTTCCATATGATTTAATTAAAAATTTCTGAAGGCTAAACAATTCCCTCTATCAGTCTATCAGTTTGTTCAAAGTAAAACCTTTAGCTTATTAATAGTGATGAGTGAGATTATTTAGGTACTTATGATATACAGCCAGGTTTATGCTACATAATGCTGATATGCAGCGTTATATTTATCTTTTTTGAGTGAATATCTCCAAATGAAATTGCTGGCTCGAAGGATATACATATGTTTGGTATAATTGTCAGGTTGCCCTCCAGAAGGGGTGTACCAGTTTTTCTGTGCTTTCAGCTAACAGAGTTTTTGTCAGCTTTGTATCAGTGAGGCAGCTGAAAAATAACTTATTGTTTCAATACTTGTTGTTAGTGTGGTTGAGCATTCTTTCCTCTTTTTTTTTTTTTCTTTTCTGGGTATTTGTATTTCTTAAGTGAACTGCCTGTTTTTCCTTTACGCATTGTTTTCTGGAATGTGGTTACTTATTAGTGTCACATTAGATTCTTGCATTGTTTGTACTTTGCCAGTGAGGCAAAGCCATAGTGGGAAGAGCATGGTATTGAGAGGATGCCAAGGTTCTGATTTCTAGCTCTATCAATGTACAAATCCTTTTGCTTCAGTGGACTCCAGCTCTGTAAGATAAGAAGCTTAGCAACTTCTGCTTCTCTAACTCTAATGATATGGGATGTCTATTGCAGTGGATTCCTTTCATTCCTCTTTTTCCTTTCTATTTCTCTTCAGTGGATCCATACACACTTGTATATGGGATGGCAAAATTGTGTAATTAAAAAATATGGCTTTTAATTAATGTTATTTAATTATTCATGATCTGTCAGTAGTTCTTCCGCATTCCAAAGGCACTACCTGGTCCTAGCCTCTCTCATTTAATTATTTCATAGAAGAGTGGTGATAGAAGAAATCCTAGGGGTTGGGCATTTACTTCAGCTTCCCACCCAGTGTAGAATTTCCTGCTGTGTCATAGAAAGACTAGCTAAATTCAACTTAAGCATTGTGTTCATTCATTTAGTCAGTAACTATTGTGTGCCTGCTATGTGTCAGGCATTGTTAGAGGTGTTGTAGAGACAGTACTGAAAAAGAGATGATGCCTTTGTGCTTAACAAGCTTACATTGTAATGAGGAAGATACAATTATATATGTGGTGTCAGGTAGGTAAGCACAATGAAGAAACATGAAACAAAAGCAGGGTTAGAAGCAGTGAAAGTGTGGGCATGCTTGGGCAGCGTGGTTATTTTAGATAAGGTAGTAGGAAAGGCCTCTCCGAGGAGATGTTGTTTGAGTGAAGAAGTGGGTGGGAAGACATACTTATCTGGGGGCTGATATTCTGGCAGAGGAATAGCAATTATGAAGGCTCCCGAGTCAGAAACTAATTTGGCATACTCAGAATATCTATATCCATATATTGCCCGACTGTGTAGTCTGCAGTAAAAGTATTTATTGAGAACCTGCAATGTGCTAGACATAGTTCTAGGCACCTGGGATAAAACAGTGAACACCTCACACGAAAACCTTTACCCTCACGAAGTATGTATTCTAGTAAGATAAACAGTTAAAAAATTATTAAAACATTTTAAGCAGATGATTAAATGCTACAGTTTAAAAAAAGGCAGGAAAGGGGCATAGGAAGAGGGTGTGTGGTGAGGTGGGGGTGTTGGTTGGAAAGTCCTCTCTTGTTACACTTGAGCAAAGTCCTTAAGGGCTTGAGTGAGTGAGCCATTCAGGTGTCTTAAGTAAGAGCATTCCAGGCAAGAATAAGACTGTGAAATGAATGCATATCTAGTGGGTACGAAATAACAAAGCCTGCATGACTGAGGGGAGCGTGGTAGGAAGTGGGGCCAGAGATGCAGCAGGAGGCTGATTATATATGTCATTGCAGATCTTTGTAGTGATTTTGGCTTTTTACTCTGATATGGAATACCACTGGAAGGGTTTGATTGAGAAGCTTGAGATGAACTTAGGTTTTAAAGGGATCCCTGACTTCTGTGCTGAAAATGTTCTTGTAGAGTTTAAGGATAGAAGCAAGGATATTAGGGATTGCAATAATCCAGACAAGAGGTGATGTTGGTTTGGACCAAGAGTGTAACAGTGGGTATGGTCACAAATAGATTCTGAATATATTTTGAAGGTACAGCCAACAGGATGTTGTTGATTGATTGGATTTAGGGTGACAGAAAGAGGGGAGTGCAGGATTTTTGGCCTGAGCAGTAGAAGATTGGGATTGTCTTTTTTTTTTTTTTGAGACAGAGTCTCACTCTGTTGGCCGGGCTGGAGTGCAGTGGTGAGATCTTGGCTCACTGCAACCTCTGCCTCCTGGGCTCAGGCAATTCTCCTGCCTCAGCCTCCCAAGTAGCTGGGGTTACAGGCGCTCGCCACTATGCCTGGCTAATTTTTTGTATTTTTAGTAGAGATGGGGTTTCACCATGTTGGACAGGCTGGTCTTGAACTCCTGACCTTGTGATTCACCCACCTCGGCCTCCCAAAGTGCTGGGATTACAAACATGAGCCACTGCGCCCAGCCAGGATTGCCATTAAATGAAATGGGAGAAGTTGTAAGAGGATCTGGTAAGGTAGGGAGAAGATCAGGAATTCTGTTTCGACTTTGACTTTTTTTTTTTTTGGGATGGTGCTTCGCCCTTTGTCGCCCAGGCTGGAGTGCAGTGGTGCAATCTCAGCTCACTGCAACCTCTGCCTCCTGGGTTCAAGCGGTTCTTCTGTTTCAGTCTCCCGAGTAGGTGGGATTGCAGGTGCCCACCACCATGCCTGGCTAATTTTTGTATTTTTAGTAGAGACGAGGTGTCACCATGTTGGCCAGGCTGACCTCCAACTCCTGACCTCAGGTGATCCATCCGCCTCAGCCTCCCAAAGTGTTGGGATTACAGGCGTGAGCCACCATGCCCAGCCCTGTTTTAACTTTTTAAGTTTGAAGGAATTATTAGACATTCAAGCAGTGGTGTGGAATAGGCAGTTGAACGTCTGAGTCTGAAGCTCGGGGGAAGAATGGGGCTGGTTATGTAAGCATAGACGTAGTTCATATTTCAAGGCCATGGGACTGGATGAGGTCACCTAGGGAGTGCCTGAAACTAGAGAAGAGTTCCTGTAACAGAGCCATGGGGGCATTCTAATGGTGAGAAGTTGGAGAGATGAGCAGAGGAGACTGGAGCTAGGAGAGTGTGGCATCCTGGAAACTAGTGCAATTTCTTACTGCAGTTCTTCAGTCTTTAATAATGCACACTGTGAATGGGTAAGGACGCAGAATTTTCTAAATTTATTTGACCACAGAACCATTTTTTTTTCCAGATAGGTAGTAAATAATTAGAAGCAATTTGGGAAAGACTAACCTGGTTCATTTCACCCTACCTGGATGGCTGAGTTGGCCAGGGCTCTTTTTTGCAAGAACAGAATACCCACCTCAAACTGATTTAAGCCACAGGCTCGCATGACTGGGCAGAGCAGGGCTGCATTTGGCTTCAGGCATTTGTTGGATTCAGATGCTCAAATAATGTCAGTATGGTTCTTTATCTTTCTAGATCTTATTAGGCTTCATTCCTTAAGTAGGCTTCCTCCCTGTAGCAGACAAGAGGGCTCTGGTATCCCCAAGTTGACATCCTCCCAACTTAGCCACTTCAGTGACAAGAGAAGCTATCTTCTGTTAACACTAGCGTAGAATCCTCACAGTGATTCTTATTGGCTAGGCTTCTCATGACTGACCTTGAACTGGTCATTGTGGCCAGGAGGATGAGTTACCCTGGCAAGCTTGGGTCATGTTCCCCATTCCAGTGTCTAGGGAAAGGGAAGTCTGTGATTGACAGTCTTTTTTTTTTTTGAGACAGAGTTTCGCTCTTGTTGCCCAGGCTGGAGTGCAATGGCGCGATCTCGGCTAACCAAAACCTCTGCCTCCCGGGTTCAAGCAATTCTCCTGTCTCAGCCTCCTGAGTAGCTGGGATTACAGGCATGTGCCACCACGCCCGGCTAATTTTGTATTTTTAGTAGAGACAGGGTTTCTCTATGTTGGTCAGGCTGGTCATGAACTCCCAACCTCAGGTGATCTGTCCGCCTTGGCCTCCCAAAGTGTTGGGATTACTGGCGTGAGCCACCGTTTCCGGCAATTGACAGTCTTACCATGACCACGTGGTACGTATGTTAACTATAATCCAGCCAATCCTTGATGGATTGATGTTTGGTTTATTTCTAATCTTTGGTTCTTACTGACAATATAAAGCTAGCTGAGATTTGAACACAGATTTTTCGGATACCCAGTGCATAATTTGTCATAGCTGTAATGAATACATTACAGAGGAAAGGAGCCTGGCTGGCTGCCACTCTGTTAATTGAATGATGTGAATGGAAGGATGGGAATCCAGCAAATGAGAAGGAAAATTCATCAGAAAGCTTTGAGGACAACTGAAAGAATGTAAGATCCTTAACACTGCAACTCAGATGAGGAACAGTGGTCATTCAATATACACATACTAAGTAGGTAGTAGAGTACCACACAGTGCGTGGGCTTGGACTCATCTGTCATGGTATCCTTGTTTAGCTTCTTTGGGCAAGTTAATTTATCTGTGTTTCAGTTTGTTCATCTTTAAAGCGAGGATAGTAATACTATCTACCTAGTAAGAGTTGTTGTGAATGGTTGATGAGATGACCCTATAAAGGACTTGCCTTGTGTCTGGATATAGTATTAGTGGTAGTACTATCAGTAAGTATATACGAGTGTATTCCCCCCCCATTTTTTTCTTAACTATTTTATTCTAACATAATTACCGCTTTACCTGCAGTTGTAAAACTTATGCAGAGATCCTTGTACACTTTACCCAGGTCTCCCGTTGGTAACATCTTGCAAAACTACAATACAATACAGTATCACAACCAGGATATTGACATTGATACAGTCAGGATGCAAAACATTTCCATCATCACAAGGATTCCTCATGTTGCTCTTTTATAGTCATACCCATTCTCCTCTCACCCTGTTCTTTCTTTAATCCCTGGCAACTACTATTCTGTTCTCCATTTCCATAATTTTCTCATTTCAAGCATGTTATATAAAAGTGATCATACAGAATGTAACCTTTTGGGATTGAATTTCTTCATTCAGCATAATTCTCAGGAGAGTCATCCAGGTTGATGCATATGTCATTAGTACATTTCTTTTTATTGCTCAATAGTGTTCCATGGTATGGATGTACCACACTTTGTTTAACCATTCACCTTTTGAATGGCATCCAGGTGGTTTCCAGATTTGGGCTATTACAAAGAAAGCTGCTGTGAACATTCATGTACAGGTCTTTGTCTGAATACAAGTCTTTATTTCTCTTGGATAATTGCCCAGGAGTACAATTGCTGGGTTGCATCACAGTCATATGATTTGTTTAAGAAAACACCAAACTGTTTACTGGAGTGGCTATACCATTTTTCATTCCCTCCAGGACTGTATGAATGATGCAGTTTCTTTGCATCCTTGCCGGTGTTTGGTGGTTTCACTGTTGTCTGTTTTATCCATTCTGAAAGGTGTATACTGATACCTCATTGTGGTTTTAGTTTCCATTTCTGTGCTTATTTGCCCTCTGTATATTCTCTTGAAATGTCTTTTGTCATTTTCTTTTTACGGTTGTGTTTTGACACTAGTTCTTTGTCAGATATGTGGTTTGCAAATATTTTCTTCCACTCTGTAGTTTGACTGTTTGACTTTTCAGCCTCTTAATAGGGTCTTTCTTAAAGCAAAAGTTTTAAATTTTAATGACATTCAATTTATTACTTTTTCTTTTTATGGATTGTGCTTTTGGTGTCACATCTGGTAACTTTTTACCTATCCCTAAGTCCAGAAGATTTTCTCCTGTGATTTTTTTCTAAAAGTTTTATAATATTATGTTTTACATTTTTTTTTTTTTTTTTTTTTTGAGACAGAGTCTCACTGTGTCACCCAGGCTGGAGTGCAGTGGTACAATCTTGGCTTACTGCAACCTCTGCCTTGTGGGTTCAAGCAATTCTCCTGCCTCAGCCTCCCAAGTAGCTGGGATTACAGGCGTGCACCAACACACTCAGCTAATTTTTTGTATTTTTAGTAGAGACGCGGTGTCACCATGTTGGCCAGGCTGTTCTTGAACTCCTGACCTCAAGTGATCCACACGCCTCGGCCTGCCAGAGTGCTGGGATTATAGGTGTGAGCCACTGCGCCCAGCCTATGTTTTACATTTAAGTCTATGATCCATTTTGAATTAATTTTTGTATAAGGTGCAAGACTTAGGTCAAGGTTCATTTTTTGCCTATAAATGTCTGCTTGCTCCAGCACGAATTGTTTAAAAAGCAATCTTTCCTCCATTTAATTGCTTTTGTGGAATATTTGTGTAGGTCTGTTTCTGGGTTTTCTGTTATGTTCCATTGATCTATATTTCTATCCCTCTACCAATACCACGGTCTCAATTATAGCTATCTAATAAGTCTTAAAATTGGGTAGACCAGGCCGGGCGCAGTGGCTCACGCCTGTAATCCCAGCACTTTGGGAGGCCGAGACGGGCGGATCGCGAGGTCAGGAGATCGAGACCATCCTGGCTAACACGGTGAAACCCCGTCTCTACTAAAAATACAAAAATTAGCCGGGCATGGTGGCGCGCGCCTGTAGTCCCAGCTACACGGGAGGCTGAGGCAGGAGAATGGCGTGAACCCAGGAGGCGGAGCTTGCAGTGAGTCGAGATCGCGCCACTGCACTCCAGCCTGGGCCACAGAGCGAAACTCCGTCTCAAAAAAAAAAAAAAAAAAAAAAAAAATTGGGTAGACCAGTTCTTCTTACTTTACTCTTCTCAAAATTGTTTTAAATATATTAGTTTCTGTACATTTCCATATAAAATTTAGGATAGTCTTATCTATACCTACAAAAAAATCTTCCTGGGATTTTGATAGGGATTATTTTAAACTTGTGTATCAGTTTGGTCTCCACTGACACTGCAAAACTTCATTACTGGTCGGTTGGTTGGTTTGAATGTCCAGGATCCCTCCAGGTCCTTCTCTGATTCTACACTAGTGGAGTGTGTTGGGGTGCTTGATTGTAGGTAGAAGTCCAAGCTCTCCCCACTTGGCCTTTGTAGCGTGCCTGGGGGTGGGATTACAGTTTTGTGTGTGTGTGTGTGTGTGTGTGTGTGTTTGTGTTTGGCTGGAGTAGAATGATTATTATCTAAAACTTTTCTGTCTTCCTAGGCTGCCCTTTGTATAGTTCTTTAACGAGAAAGCAGGCTTTTATTGGGGGGTTTTATTGTTGGCATCTCTTGCCATTTCTGATTGCTGGGATCTTTAGTGAGCTGTAGGAGGCAGAAGAAAACCCAAGGAACTCATCATATTCCTTGGGTCCTGAGGTTCATAGCCAGTCTGCCTTATGCTTGTTTTATATATAATGTCCAGAGTTTTATTTGTATTTTGCTGGCGGGGCAGGGAAAAATGTGCTTATCTTCTTGCAAGCTGTGTCCACATTTTCTTCTTTTAATTATAAAAATTTTGAATATTTAGAAAAGTCGTATAGGATAATGAACATGAACCTATCTAGTTTCTAGTTTTAAGAGTTGTAAATGCTTTTCAGTATGTCTTAATCTATTTTTTCTTCTTTTTTGAGATGGAGTTTTGCTCTGTTGCCCAGGCTGGAGTGCAGTGGTGCACTCTCGACTCACTGCAACCTCTGCCTCCTGGGTTCCAGCGATTCTCCTTCCTCAGCCTCCCAAGTAGCTAAAACTGCAGGTGTACACCACCATGCCTGGCTAATTTTGTACTTTTAAAAGAGATGGGGTTTCACCATGTTGGCCAGGCTGGTCTCAAACGCCTGACCTCAAGTTATGCGCCCACCTCCCCAAAGTGCTGGGATTACAGGCATAAGCCACCCAAAGTGCTGGGATTACAGGCATAAGCCACTGTGGCTAGCCAGTCTATTTTTTCTGAGGTCCTTTTAAAGTAAATTATAGACATAATGACATTTCACTTCTAAATATTCAATATGCATCTCTAAAAAATAAAATTTTTGAATATAAGGACAATACTTTATATCGAATGATTTATAATAACTTCTTCATATTATCTAATATCCAGCTTATATTCTGATTTCCCTAGTTATACCCAAAATTTCTTATAGCTTGACAGACAAAGAAGAAACAATCAAGAACATGAACTGCATTTTGTTGTTAGGCTTTTACGCTTCCTGTTATCTGAAACAGTTCCTCTCCTACTTTTTCCTACTTGACATTGATTTGTTGAAGAAATAGTTCCTGTTGAACCTTGGAATGTCCCATTGTCATTAGGGTTTTGTCTGATTGTTTCATTGTGTTTCTTTTTTCAATATACCCAAGATAGTACTTCATCCTTGTGTTTCTTTATCTCTTGTATTTTCTATAAATTTGAAGTTAGATCCAAAGGCTTGATTAGATTCAAATTTGGTGAGAATATTTCATAAATGATGCTACGCTAAGCAGATTTTCATAAGTTGATTTTATTTATAACTTTTATGTGGTAGAGAATATGCCTTCTGCATCCTGTGATACACTACTGGATGACATCGAAGATATCGTGTCTCAGGAAGATTCAAAACCACAAGATAGGCATTTTGTAAGAAAGGATGTTGTCCCGAAGGTACGAAGGCGAAATACCCAAAAATATTTGCAAGAGGAAGAAAACAGTCCACCAAGTGACAGGTAAGCTTTTTTCCTTGAAATTATATTCATTTTCTTTTTTTTTCTTTTGAGACAGAGTCTTGCTCTGTCGCCCAGGCTGGAGTGCAGTGGTGTGATCTCGGTTCACTGCAACCTCCTCCTCCTGGATTCAAGCTATTCTCCTGCCTCTGCCTCCCTAGTAGCTGTGATTACAGGCACACACCACCATACCTGGCTATTTTTTGTATTTTTAGTAGAGATGGGGTTTCACCATGTTGGCCAGGCTGGTCTTGAACTCCTAACCTCAGGTGATCTGCCCACCTTGGCCTCCCAAAGTACTGGGATTACTGGCCTGAGCCACTGAGCACGGCCGAAATTATATTCATTTTCATTCCAGGGAGAAGCTGACGCTACTGGTCTGTGTGATATATATAATGTCTCTTCATTAGAATCTTTGAACTTTTGATAGGAAATACAAGTTGAGTATCACTTATCTGAAATGCTTGAGACCAGAAGTGTTTCAGATATCACATTTTTTTTTTTGGATTTCGGAATATTTGCATTACATACTTTCCAGTTGAGTATTCCTAATCCAAACATCTGAAATGCTCCAGTGAGCATCCTTTGAGTATCATTTTGGCACTCAAAAAGTTTCAGATTTTAGAGCATTGTGGATTTTGAATTTTTGAATTAAAGAAACTCAACCTGTATGTAGATTTTTTTTTTATTTGAATGATTTTAAATTTGGCAAGGTAATTGGTTAAAAAGAAATGAGATGTCAAATTGGATGTTCCTAGAAGATAGCCTCGGGCAATAGGGATCTCTTGGGTATTACTGTAGTTGATATGTAAGTCTGTGTTATTTCCAAATAAAATTTTTACCAGAGTTTGTGATTCTTATGAGACAGTAGTATTTTGGACATTTGAATTTTCTTAGCTGATTTTCAAATACCTGTGGATCAGGTAAAGGCAGTGGGCACAAATAAATTATTGCCCTATTTACGCTATTATAGTAGATCTCTAGTCCGTGAAATTTTGATACAACCTAACCAGAAAGGATAATGTAATTATATGGTTTTAATAAGCCTATATTTGTTTATCTAGTCAACTGCTGAACTTTATAATCTGCTTATTTTGTTGGGAAACTAAGCTTTTAAATTCTTGGAATTTAAAATTTGCTTATATTTTAATGACTGAAGTTTATAAAATTTGTCCTAAATGTGTCCTTAAGGTAATTTTTATTTACTTATAAATTATTAGAGCAATCCAAGTTGAAAGTCCTTTTTTCCCCTAAAAGTTATTTTTAGAACTCTGATTTTATAGAGTGCTTTTAATAATGCTTTAGGATGACGGTTTTTAACTTTGATTAAGTTACTTATATCTGTAAGTTTTAAGGAAGCTACAGATTGCAACTAGTATGTAGGAATCTGTAAACAGACATACTTTTCTTTATTTGCCATTGCTGCTAGAACCACTTTCTTTCCTATTGTTATTTTTGTGTACCTTTCCAGGAGTTGAACTTAGTAAGTTAGTAGTATGAATTTAAAATGCAATTCAGAGAAAAAGGATATTTTTTTATGTGGAGTGTTAACTTTTTAGAATTCTGTGGTTATTTTATCTTGATTTTAGACTTTTGATACAACAACAGATTTTGAGTTAAGTTGGTGCGTTTAATGAATAGCTTTTGAATGGATTGTAGTGAGTTTGTTTTTTGTGTAATATATCTTAAAATCATCTAGTGGTTTTTATTTTAAAAATAACTCAATGAGGTTGGGTGTAGTGGTGGCTCATGCCTGTAATTCCAGCACTTTGGGAGACAAGGTGGGAGGATCACTTGAGCCCAGGAGTTCAAGATCAGCCTGGACAGTATAGTGGGCCACTGTCTCTACAAAAAATAAGAAAAATTAACAGGTGTGTTGGTGCATGACTGTAGTCCCAGCTACTTGGGAGGCTGAGATGGGAGGATCCCTTAGGCCTGGGAGGTTGAGGTTGCAGTGAGCTGTGGTCACACAGCTGCACTGCAGCCTGGGCAACAGAGCAAGACCCTGGATCAAAAAAAAAAAAAATCACTCAATGAAACTTACTTTTTTTTTTTTATTGATTCCTTAACAGCACTATTCCAGGCATACAGAAAATTTGGATACGAACATGGGGTTGTTCTCATAATAATTCAGATGGAGAATATATGGCTGGACAGCTAGCTGCTTATGGCTATAAAATTACAGGTAATGAGATCTATAATATATTTTATTGATTAAATTTTTCAGAATTAAGCTTTTAGAGATAAATAGCCTAGCAGTTAAAGGGTATTTTAGCATGACAGTGATTTTAAGGTGAAACAGATAGTTATTACACATTTTGTAGATAACCATGGATGTCATATTTAAAAAAACTTTTTATTTTGAAATAAGTTTAGACTTTCAGAAAAGTAGTAAAATTAGAGAGTTCACATATGCCCATCACCAAGCTTCCCTTGATATTAACATCTTACGTAGTTGTAATATCATTAATAAACCAGGAAATTAACATTAGTGCATTTCTGTTATCTAAACTGTAGATCGTATTTGAATTTTACCAGTTTTCCCATTAACTTCCTTTTTCTGTCCCAAGATCTAATGTTGGGTCCCACCTTACATTTAGTTTCATGTCCCCTTAGTTTCCTCCAATCTGTGACAGTTTCTTAATTTTTTCTTGTCTTCTGTGACCTTGACACTTCTGAAGAAAACATTTCCTTGATATTTCTGATGAAAATGATTATTATGTAGAATGTCCTTCAACTTGAATTGGTCTTTTTCTCATGATTAGAATGAGGTTCTGGGTTTTTGGCAAGCAGAGAACAGAAGCGATACTATATTTTTCTCAGTGCGTCATATCGGGGTCATGATGTCAGTGTGTCTTATACTGGTACACTAACCCATGTCTGCTAGGTTTCTTTCCAATACAGTCACTGTTTTTCTCATTACAACTAATAAACATCCTATTTCTCCTCAACCTTTGGCCTGTTAATTTTAGTATCTACTGGTGGATCTTGTCTGCAACAGTTATTACTGTGGTGTTTACTTAATGGTGATTTTCTGCTATCTTGTTTTCTTTACATTTATATTTATTTATTTATTTATTTATTTATTTATTTATTTATTTACTTTGAGATGGGGTCTCTTTGTGCCCCATTCTGGAGTGCAGTGGCACGATCTCAGCTCACTGCATCCTCTGCCTCCCAGGTTCAAGCGATTCTTCTGCCTCAGCCTCCCAAGTAGCTAGGATTACAGGCATATGCCACCATGCCTGGCTAACTTTTGTATTTTTAGTAGATACGGGGTTTCACCATGTTGGCCAGGCTAGTCTCGAACTCCTCAGCTCAAGTGATCCACTCGCCTCGGCCTCCCAAAGTGCGGGGATTACAGGTGTGAGCCACTGCGCCCAGCCTCCTCTTTACATTTATTAATTGGAGTTTTTCTCTAAGGAAGAGCTGTCCATTCTTCTCCATCTTAATTAATTAATTAAATTTTTTTTTTTTAGACAGAGTCTCGCTTTGTTGCCCAGGCTGGAGTACAGTGTTGTGATCTCGGCTCACTGCAACCTCTGCCTCCGGGGTTCAAGGGATTCTCCTGCCTCAGCCTCCCAAGTAGCTGGGATTACAGGCATGCGCCACCACACCAGGCTAATTTTTTGTATTTTTTAGAGATGGGGTTTCGCCATGGTAGCCAGGCTGGTCTAGACCTCTTGATCTCAGGTGATTTACCTGCCTTGGCCTCCCAAAGTGCTGGGATTACAGGCATGAGCCACTGCACCTGGCCCGTCTTAGTTATTTCTATCAGTACAGACTCATGGATATTTATTTTATCCTGTGGATATAGTCTGATACTATCATTATGTATTATGCTGCTTGTTGTTCCAATCTTGGCCATTAGGATCTTGTTCAGGCTGGCTCCTGTGTCTTTTCAGCATGCCGGCATCTTTTTTTTGAGCACTTCTTTATTTCCTGGCACCACAAAATGTTCTAATCTCTCATATTTTCCCTTCCCCAGTCTTGGAAGCAACCAGTTTTCCAAGGAGTCCTGATTTTTTTCATTAAGAGAATGGCATTTAGAAAAGGGGATCTGGGCAGTCAATATGCTTGCTCGTTGCCACCGTGAGGTGTCGCTGTTGTGAGGTCCTCTTGGGGGATGGAGCTAGGAATTATGTATGAATAGTAACCCACACATATGCACGCATCTGTAGCTATTTCTGTATCTATTATGTGTACTAAATGGAACTATAATTCGAATGCTTTGTGACAGGCACTGACCCGGTGCTTTATGTATGTTATCTTGCTTAGTCCTTGAGTAGGAGGAAATATTGGCACCCCTACTTTACAGTTGAGAAAGGAGAGGTTGTGTCTTTTTTTTTTTTTTTTTTTTTTTTGAGACAGAGTCTTGCTCTGTCTCCCAGGCTGGAGTGCAGTGGCGCGATCTTGGCCCACAGCAAGCTCCGCCTCACGGTTCAAGGGATTCTCCTGGCTCAGCCTCCCGAGTAGCTGGGACTTCAGGTGCCCGCCACCATGCCTGGCTAATTTTTCATATTTTTAGTAGAGACAGAGTTTCACCGTGTTAGCCAGGATGGTCTCAATCTCCTGACCTCGTGATCCACTCGCCTTGGCCTCCCAAAGTGCTGGGATTACAGGCGTGAGCCACTGTGCTCGGCCTGAGAGGTTGCGTCTTATCTTAAATCACATATGCAGTGAAGTCCTTTGTCACTTCCAAACACTGCTCCTGACCATTGTTCTGTACCTCATGGCTGCCTTTGCATGTGTAATTGGCAAGTCCTAGCTATAAGACAGCATGTAATGATTAAGGAGGATTGGAAACCTAGTCCTTGTATCACCCTTTTTCCTTCAGTAACTAAAATATCTTTTTTTTTTTTTTTGAGACGGAGTCTCGCTCTGTCACCCAGGCTGGAGTGTAGTGGTGCAATCTCAGCTCACTGCAAGCTCCGCCTCCTGGGTTCATGTCGTTCTCCTGCCTCAGCCTCTCGAGTAGCTGGGACTACAGGTGCCCACCACCATGCCTGGCTAATTTTTTTGTATTTTTTTAGTAGAGACGGGGTTTCACCGTGTTAGCCAGGATGGTCTCGATCCCTTGACCTCGTGATCCACCCGCCTCGGCCTCCCCAAGTGCTAGGATTACAGGTGTGAGCCACCGCGCCTGGCCTAAAATACCTTATGTTATTAATTTTGTATTTTTTATAACATATTCTTTAGATGGCAAAATGAGTCTTAATATTTCTGTCCTTTAAGTTAAAAATGGTCAAAATATGCTTTCAGAATTACTTCTCTATATTCATTAGTAATTTTTAGTATAATTTAGCCTGGGCTTGCCTTACCATATTCTGATGGTGTAGTTTGAGTATTAAGAAAATAGAATTTATTTATTGATTTATATTTATTTATTTTTGAGACAGGTCTCACTATGTTTGCCCAGGCTGGCCCCAAGCTCCTGGGCTCAAGTGGTCCTTCTACCTCAGCCTCCCAAGTAGCTGGGACTACAGTTGTGTGCCTGGCTAAGAAAATACCCTAAGGAAAAAAAAAAAAAAAAGGCTGGGTGTGTTGGCTCATGCCTGCTGTAATCCCAGCACTTTGGAGGCCGAGGTGAGAGAGGGTGGGAGGGTCGCTTGAGCCCAGTAGTTTGAGACCAGTGTTGGCAACATAGTGAGACCCTGGCCCTGCAAAAATATTTAAAAAGTAGCCAGGTGTGTTGGTCTTTGCCTGTAGTCCCAGTTACTTGAGAGGATGAGGTGGCAGGATCGCTTGAGCCTGAGAGGTAGAGGCTGCAGTGAGCTGTTCTGTGCACAGCACTTCAGCCTGGGCAACAGAGTGAGATCCTATCTCAAAAAAAAAAAGGCCCTGAGATAATTTCCTAAAACATAAGGAAAATCAGATATTGACTTTTTCTATGTCATATTAAATATCTAATACATTTTAATTAAATTTTAATCCATTAGCAGTTTGTGTTTGGTCTTGTAACAGTACTTGTCTGTATAAAATAACAGTCCTGGTATGTTTATACAAGAATATTAGGTTTTGTTTTACACACCTAATTTTGTTTCTTATTTGGGAATAGTTAAAAAGAGAAAATAAGGAAGTAATTACTTGAATGGGAATTTTTTTTTTTTTTTTGCTAATGTAGCATAGTCTGTTGCTTTTATATATTATATGTATTTGTATTAATTTTATAAACTATTGATTGTTCCTACTTTAGAAATTCATAGTTGTTAATTCCAGCCTGGCTTGCATGCAGCAGACTGTGGGAATACTTTCTTCACTAGTCTAGGTGCTATAGGCCCAGGAAATATAAACAGAATTAGCTTTGATAAGACATTTAAGAAGTAAATCTCTACAGATTTTATATTTAAAGATTTGATATGAATGACTTCTGGATTACCTATGCCAGTAGTCACTTTCATTACTATGGAATAATGAGAATGTATAAAGTTTATTATGGCTTACTAGTTGATAATGTTTTCGTTAATCAAATGGAAACCTAAAATATTAAATGTATAACATAAAATAGGTATAAAATATACCTTATGTATAATGTATAGGGAGTTTATTGAAAACAGTATGCAGATAAATTATATCAAAATTAGTTCTCAGTAGTCATAGATATTTTTATCATTTGGGGAAGAAAGATTATGTGGGTATGTATTTGAAATTGCTGCTTTTAAATATGCAAATTCAGGATATAATTATTCTGTGTTAATACTTCATAAGGCCAGGTGTGGTGGCTCACGCCCGTAATCCCAGCACTTAGGAGGCCGAGGTGGGCAGATCACCTGAGATCAGGAGTTTGAGACCAGCCTGGCCAATGTGGCAAAACCCCGTCTCTACTAAAAATACAAAAATTAGCCAGGTGTGGTGGCACACACCTGTAATCCCAGCTACTCGGGAGGCTGAGGCAGGAGGATTGCTTGAACCCAGGAGGCGGAGGTTGCTGTGAGCTGAGATTGCCCCACTGCATTCCAGCCTGGGTGACAGAGTGAGACACTGTCTCAAAAAAACAAACAAAAACAACAGCTTCATAAAGCGAACTGTCAGAGCAGTTTGCTGTTGTTCATTGCCTCTTTTCAAACCCTTTTTTATTTTGAAGAAAAAGGTGGCTCATAACTTTTTTGTTACGTAGTCTCACTCCGCTGCCCAGGCTGGAGTGCAGTAGCACCATCTCGGCTTACTGCAACCTCTGCCTTCTGGGTTCAAATGATTCTCCTGCCTCGGCCTCCGGAGTAGCTGGGATTACCGGTGTGCGATACCATGCCTGACTGATTCTTGTATTTTTAGTAGCGATGGGGGTTTTGCCATGTTGGCCAGACTGGTCTCTAACTCCTGGCCTCAAGCGGTCTGCCCACCTTGGCCTCCCAAAGCGCTGGGATTACAGGCATGAGCCACCGTGCTCGGCCAGCTTTTAAATGATTCTCCTGCCTCAGCCTCCTGAGTAGCTGGGATTACAGGTGTGCGGTACCATGCCTGACTAATTTTTGTATTTTTAGTAACGATGGGGTTTTGCCATGTTGGCCAGACTGGTCTAACTCCTGGCCTCAAGTGGTCTGCCCGCCTTGGCCTCCCAAAGTGCTGGGATTACAGGCATGAGCCACTGTGTTTGGCCAACTTTTAAATAAACTATTACAAAATCGTGCCTGCTTGTCTCTCATTCAAAGAATAAAACTTACTGAGGAGAAATGATGTTAGCCCCTAAAACTCAGAACAATTACTTGTATCGTGGGTACATGGATATGTGATATAATTAGATTAGTATCTTGGGAAGCAATTAAACTTTCCCTGTGAGCACCATGGCTTTTTAAAGAAATGAATGTGTTCTCCAAGTAGGCAATTTTTATAGATTAAACTTTTTTTCCAGTCATCCTTTGTTTATTGTTTTTGGATTATTTCTTTGGGAGATGTTGGTAAATTGTTTTCAGTGTGCTCATTGGTGGCAAATCTTCATATCTTGAGAATACATTTAGTATTAGAAAATGGCCACAGGTCATTTGAGGCCAAATCTGGTGAATAAAATATGTGCTATGATGTTGCACAATGCTGTTCTAGTTGAGAATAAATTTTGTCTTAAGTGATTCTGAAATCAGTTCTTAAAGAGTTCTGAAAGAGTAGCTGTGATTCTTACACGTTTTTGGTCTCTTCAGAACCTCACAATCCTTACACAATTTTGTTAAGGAATTCGTAACCACTCCCTAGCCTGATAGTGGAATAAAGGTTTAGGCTTCCAAGGTGACTGCTTTGGGAACAGCCCTCATTTAGATACAGCTGTGTTAGATACAGCTGTGTTATGTTTAGTTTGCAGCCATGCCTGGTGTGAATGAATATTGTATGTGTTTTTTGGTTAGTTGGAAAAAAAAGTCCATCCAAAGACCATTGACTGAGGCTGTGGTTCATAAACACTGAAGAGTAATGGTGTTATGTGTACGAAATATTTGTGGACATGCTTACCTAAGTCAGAATAGAGTGTTTAGCCTGGGTGCCCACATTTTCAGAGCAGTTATTTAAAAATTGCTGAGCTGTTAACATTCTTGATAGTTTCTTTGTATATGTGTTTATAGTTTATTCATTTGGCAAACATTCTCTGAACATGATATATGTTACAGAGTAGAGTGCTAAAGAGGTGTAAAGATATGAAATTGAACCAGCCATGGATTCCAGCAGACAAGAAGTTTATTCTTTTTTGGCAAAGGAAAGGCCTTCATATTCTGTGTTAAATCCTAGAAGTTGTTTTAGGAAATACTTAAGCTCATAATGTATTCTTTCACTTTTTGTAATATGGGAGGTAGGACCTGCTTTATTTTTTTATTTTTATTTATTTTTATTATTTTCCGAGATGGAGTCTTGCTCTGTTGCCCAGGCTGGAGTGCAGTGGCACGATCTGGGCTTACTGTATCCTCCGCCTCCTGAGTTCAAGCAATTCTCCTGCCTCAGCCTCCTGAGTAGCTGGGATTACAGGCATGCACCACCACGCTCAGCTAATTTTTGAATTTTTAGTGGAGACGGGGTTTCACCTTGTTGGTCAGGCTGGTCTCAAACTCCTTACCTAGTGATCTACCCATCTTGGCCTCCCAAAGTGCTGGGATTACAGGTGTGAGCCACTGTGCCCAGCCAGAGTTGTTTTTTTTTTTTTTTGAGACGGAGTCCTGCTCTTTTGCCCAGGCCAGAGTGCAGTGGCGCTATCTTAGCTCGCTGCAAGCTCCGCCTTCCAGGTTCACACCATTCTCCTGCCTCAGCCTCCCGAGTAGCTGGGACTACAGGCACCCGCCACCACGCCCGGCTAATTTTTTGTATTTTTAGTAGAGACGGGGTTTCACTGTGTTAGCCAGGATGGTCTCGATCTCTTGACCTCGTGATCCGCCCGCCTCGGCCTCCCAAAGTGCTGGGATTACAGGCATGAGCCACTGCGCCCGGCCCCAGCCAGAGTTTTAAAATATGTAACCCTTATTAGAAGCCTTTCTCGTTTTTTTTTGGTGGAAAGAAGGGGGTATATATCCCACTGCAGTCTATACCACAGGAACATGGTCAGTCTGTTAATTTCAGTGCTGAGTTGGGATTTGAAAGTAAGCTGTTTCTTGGCCGGGTGCGATCGCTGTCGCCTGTAATCCCTGCACTTTGGGCGGCCTAGGCAGGTGGATCTCCTGAGGTCAGGAGTTCGAGACCAGCCTGGCCAACATGGTGAAGCCCCGTCTTTACTAAAAATACAAAAATTAGCCTGGTATGATAGTGCATGCCTGTAATCCCAGCTACTAGGAAGGCCGAGGCAGGAGAATAGCTTGAACCTGGAGGGCAGAGGCTGCAGTGAGCTGAGATTGTGGCACTGCACTCCAGCTTGGGTAACAAGACTGAAACTCCGCCTCAAAAAAAAAAAGTAAGCTGTTTCTTCAGTTATAGATAGCAGTGTCAGCAGAGTGCTACCTGGTCCATTCCTACCTCCTTAATCATAAGTATAAAGTAATTGATCCAGTGGAACCTCAATAGGATATTTTTGGAAATTCTAGTGGATTCAATGAAAGAATCATCAACTATCTTAGTATAGGGCTGTTAACTTATACTTTCTACACATAACTCTTTAATCTAGCTTTCTTGCTCCTTTACTATCACCATGATTATTTACATTTATATAGTGTCTTACAGTTTGTAACATACATTTAGCTCTGCTAATTTTGTATAGCTTGTACCTGAAGATAAAGGAAAAACAAAATGTTAACTTAGGCCTTACAGAAATTATTTAAAAACATCCTGACATAGGCCAGGTGTGGTGACTCACACCTGTAATCCCAGCACTTTGGGAGGCTGAGGCGGGCAGATCATGAGGTCAGGAGATCGAGGCCATCCTGGCTAACACGGTGAAATCCTGTCTCTACTAAAAGTACAAAAAAATTAGCCGGGCATGGTGGTGGGCGCCTGTAGTCCCACCTACTCGGGAGGCTGAGGCAGGAGAATGGCGTGAACCTGGGAGGCGGAGCTTGCAGTGAGCTGAGATCATGCCACTGTACTCCAGCCTGGGCAACAGAAAGAACGAGTCTCCATCTCAAAAAAAAAAAATAAATAAATAAATAAATAAATAAATAAATAAATGAAAAATAAATAAATACATAAATAAATAAAAATCCTGACATTAAGGTTTCTGACTTAAAATTATATGTGTAAGTAATAAGTATTTACAGTGAAGTGTTTAGTTATATATTGAATAGAACTTTTAAAAAATGTAACCCAGGGTTTTCTTGCCAAAATTCTTTATTCTGTAGCCAAAGATGATGTCTGTTGTTAATATCTTAAGGTTCTGAAGTCTACCTGGAATTATAGTGCAAGTAAATTGTAGTCTGATCATGTGTAGTATCTGTAATGCAAGGTGTGACCATCAGCTTATAGATATAGTTGAATCTTAGCATTATTCTAAGGCTTGGAAGTTAAACATAGAATTATATACAGAGAAACAAAGCCTTTCATACATTAAAATAGAAACTATTTCTGCTGATCTGTAAAATGTCCTTCTTGTGGATATTTTCAGATAATTTTCCAAGCTTTTACTATATATATGTATACATATGTATATATATGTGAATACATATATATGTTTTATGTACTGCAAAACTGTAGTCTCAAGATCATTATTTAAAAGTACATCCTTAACATGGCTGGGCACGGTGGCTCATGCCTCTAATCCCAGCACTTTGGGAGGCTGAGGCAGGAGGATCGCCTGAGGTCAGGAGTTTGAGACCAGCCTGGCCAACATGGTGAAACCCCATCTCTACTAGAAATACAAAAATTAGCCCAGCGTGGTGGTGCATGCCTGTAATTCCAGCTACTCAGGAGGTTGAGGCATGAGAATTGCTTGAACCTGGGAGGCGGAGGTTCCAGTGAGCGGTGATCACACCACTGCACTCCAGCTTGGGTGACAGAGTGAGTGAGACTCCGTCTTAAACAAACAAACAAACAAACACATCAAACAAACAAACATCCTTAACTTGCCAGTAATTCACTCTTACTTTTCTTCCTGTGGAAATGTGCTTATGTTAGGTTATTTGCATGAACTGAGATTATTAAGTTCTAATATTTTTCTGCACATTTTGGCCACTATTATTTCATGTAGAAAGTTGAGAGAATTTTATTCAAAGCTGCCTTTGTGTGAGGATCTGATAGCATAGAGGTAGTAGAAATAGACATTTTTTAAGGGGTAACTCCCAACAAAATAAAAGCGAAGTACCAGTTGTGGCAGGGATGACAGTGGTTATTGGATCACCGAGCTGTATTCTTTCTATCAGCTCTCTCCAAGGGACTCAGCTTTCTAGGAGGGGGAGATGGAAATCTTAAACAGGTTTGATAGCTTCCCTACCTTTTATCTGCCCAGACAACAAAAATAAAACAGCTCACAGTGTTAGGATTTGGGGTGATAAATTAATTTGGAGATATCTAAATGTAAAATGAGATTTCTGGGCACATGGCAGTGCGGTCTGTATGATAAACAACTGGGGTTGAAACAGTAAGTGCATGAACTAGACAGACTCTTTTTGACCAGACCTTGTGTTATAGGTGAATGAAATTTGGGAATCCTATACTTGGAATTCTGGAATGGCTAGCCTGGGCCAGGAAAAATCACTTTGTAATCTAAGAAGGAATTGAGTTAAGAAGATTTGTTCATCACACCACATTTCCATGTTGTTGAGGAAAATAGATTGGCAGTGGTGACAAGGTCAAGGATGTGTTGTTCGAAGTTGTAGAAGATAAGCAGCAATTTAAAGGCGTTACAATACATTTTTAAGAGTGGAAATTGCATTGAAGAGTGGAAGAAAAGTCGACATAAGAGAATTAGGGCATGTTGTTTGCCCAGGCTGGTCTTGAACTCCTGAGCTCAACCAATCCACCTGCCTCGGCCTCCCAAAGTGCTGGGATTACAGGCGTGAGCCACCGTGGCTGGCCCTTAATATGTTTTAAAAGGATGTTTAATACTCTTCATTACTGTGTTATGCAATAGTTGCATGATGATTTTTCTGATCTCTACATTCTATTTTTTTTCTTTTTAAAATGGAGCACAGAAGTACTTAGTTTCTGATGTTTTTCCATCTTGGCCCAGTAATTTCCTTTTTTTTTGTTATTTTATGAAGCACAAAACTAAATATTTTTGAACCAAGAGACTACTGTGTGGTATTAATTTTGATTTTGTACTAAATTCATGTTATTTACACAAATCAAATAGTGTCAACCTTAAAATTTTTTTAAGCAATATTTTTCTTATGTTTGAGAGTTAACATGTATGGTTGATTAGAATCTTCACCTTCTAAAGGGATTAAGGAAAAACCTCGTTCACTGTTGTGAATTCTAAAATGTTTTGGTTCCAAGTCCTAGTTTTTCTTACCCTGGTATTATGTCCAAAATGAATGCCCACTAAAAGTTAGTAACTCTCATGGCAATTAAAGTATTTTGATAATGTTTATAAGTTCTTGTTCTCAATTTTGCCACTAGTAAAGATGTGGGAGAAGTTAATCTTTTTTTGTTGTCTTTCTTGTGAACTTAAAGATCATTTTTCATCCTGTTCAACCTTTGGCCTGACCTTTTCAGGTCACTAAATGTCTGGTTTGCACTTCTTGTAGCATGTGAGAAATAATACTTCAAAATTCAAGTGTAATTGTATTAATTTTTGTGAATAAACTGCTATGGAGTGCTGAAGTGTGTTAAGATGCCTAGTCTTTTCAGAATTACCGGCATTATGGTATTGAACTTAAAATATTTTATGTTTATAATATTTTAGAATTTTCATGAGTCAGATAAACATATACCCAGATTTTCAGAAACTTGACATTTGCTTAATTGCTTAATAATTCACATCAGGCTTAGAGATTTGTGAAATATTTTTGGGATAATTTATTTAGAAATAGCGTGTGTTTAAATATTAATTTTCTTTTTTAAGAAAATGGGCAGATGATAAATTACCATGAAAGCTTCATTTAAAAATCTGTTGTTAGTATTGTCTTCTTTAATTTTGGGGAGAAAAAACTTCTGAGATGTTAACAATTGAACATGTAGTGTTGGCTCTTTTTGGCCTTCAATTTAAAATTGTCATGTGTTTGGATTAAAGACATGATGTATTTTTAGCTATTGGGCAAGAGATGGCAATATTGCATTACATGATCACTGCAGTTACACTATTATAAATGAAAGTGAATTTCATGTTACAAATGTTCTTCTAATGCAATTATTAGGCGTCATTAAATTAGTTTACACTTTATTTCTTCTGATTGATTTTTTAAAAAACTTTTTAGCAGTATTTATATAAAAATTGGACAAATTGACCCTTTCAGAGGCAGTATGACCCTTTCAGAGGCAGTATGATCTTGTGCAGATACCCGTCTGCAATATGTGTGCTGAACAGATGTGAAAATTATTTAGTCACTGGCTTACTGCTTGACACCTTCATTGCTCTGTTGCCCTGACTGTGCTTGTCCTAGAATCTGGTTGTTGTCCTCTTTGTCCATAGGAGCATATGAAGGTGGGAGTTTTTGAATTTGAGGACAAACATTTGTTACCTTTAATACTACATTGCTTTCATACTCACTAAAAACTAACCTTTGCATAGTATGCAACTTGTATAGCTTATTAATCTTCAAGTCTATTAACATATAATATGGTTAAAGAGGCTTAATAATAAAACAGAATGTAGTAAACTACTGCATTTAAAAATTTCCCACCAATTCCTACTTTACCAGCATATGTTTGATGGTTAAGGGGGAAGTGATTTGAATATCTCAGGATTTGCAGAGACTTTGCTTTTACCTCTTCTTTCATTGTAGCTTGGTCATTCTCAAATTTGAGTTTCTAAGGACTTTTAAAGTGTTACGTATGCTAATCCATGTATACATTATTTTTATGATTGATTAAGGACTTTTTTGGGAAGAGTTGTGGCTATACATGATTTTTACCTAATCTAATCATTTTAGATTCAAACTCCTTGCATAAAATGTAGCTCTGCTTAGCACTGCTGCCATTAGCTTATTTCTGCTGGCTTAGAGTGACGTCTCGGCTAGTTCCTGTGTTAAGATAATTTAACTGGTTTACATTTTCTTTTTTATGATGTGTGAGTTCTTTCTGTCTTTCTCATCTTTACCTTTGACATGTCAGAGACACTGTTGCTTAGTTATTAAGAACAGACTGTCAGCCGGGCGCAGTGGCTCATGCTTGTAATCCCAGCACTTTGGGAGCCCGAGAGGGGCGGATCACCTGAGGTCAGGAGTTCGAGACCAGCCTGGCCAACATGGCGAAACCCCATCTCTACTAAAAATAAAAAAATTAGCTGGGCTTGGTGGTGCGTGCCTGTAATTCCAGCTACTGAGGAGGCTGAGGCATGAGAATCGCTTGAACCCAGGAAGTGGAGATTGCAGTGAGCTGAGATCACAACACTGCACTCCAGCCTGGGCGACAGAGCAAGACCATCTCAAAAAAGAAAAAAAAAAAAAAAAAAAAAAAAAGAACAGACTGTAGCCAGCTCTTAATATTAAGCCAGACTGTAAAACCAACTACCACCATTTATTAGCTATATAACTTTGATAATATCTCTGTGTCTTAGCATCCTTATTAAATGAAGATGGCAGTGGTAGTCCTTTCTGAAGATTAAATGAATCAGTATATGTAAAGTGGTCAACTTTGTATTTTAGTATTATAATAATTATTAGATATGATACCTGGCACAAAGTAGTAATTCAGGTGTTTTTTTGTGTGCATTAGTGAACAAGTAAAAACAAGTATATTTCTTGAATATAATGTATAGAAGTAATTTTATTCTTTTTATCTTTAAGTTAGAAGAAAAATTAAAGTATATTCCAAAGGTTAGATAAATGCAGTGTGTATGGGAATCCCTTGAGTTTTTCAGTAAAATTCTATTTGGGTGGCTGTCAAGTCCAGTCTGCATAGTCTTGACATGTCTTGGATAAGATCCTTATACTATCACTTTTCCTGTCATGGACACTACAAATTATATTGAATCAGAAATCTAATTTAATCCATTCTTATTCAATTGGAAGCAGTAATTGCTTTCAATTTAATGGGATTGGATTCAGTATTAGAAATTTTGATGTTCCTTCAAACTTAATACAGTATGGTTATATATATTTCCATTTATTTGTGTGTGTTCCTGTGCCCTCGCAGAGAGATTATCTTGGAGTATTACTTGTATTCACTTGAGTTATTTGCAACGGTTGGTAAAGAGGCATATTGTAAGGGTGGGAATGAGAGTGGCATTCTCTTTGTTTTTTTTCTTTTCTACCCATGGAATAATGAAGAGAGAAATAATAAGGGCCTTCAAAATGGGATTTCCATCCACTCAGAAATAAGGAAAGGAAATTTAGAGTCTCTGGAGAAGATCTGGAATGCTATTTACTCTTGAGGGTAGACAGCATCCAGCCCTACTAAAGATGAAAAAAGGAGAGCCTGGGGATGAAATTAAATCCATCAAAAAATTCACTGTTGGTCAGGCCTGGTGGCTCACGCCTGTAATCCCAGGCTGAGGTGGGCGGATCACTTGAGGTTAGGAGTTCCAGAAGAGCCTGACCAACATGGTGAAACCTCGTCCCTACTGAAAATACAAAAAAAATTAATCGGCTATGGTGGTGGGCGCCTGTAATCCCAGCTACTCGGGAGGCTGAGGCAGAAGAATTGCTTTGACCTGGAAGGTGGAGGCTGCAGTGAGCCAAGATCATGCCACTACACTCCAGCCTGGGCAATAGAGTGAGACTCCATCTTAAAAAAAAAAAAAAATTCATTGTTAGCATGTTATTTCAATCTTTCCCGGCAAATCATACTTAGAGACAGCTAAGTTTATCAATTCTCATGTCCTATACGGTGCTTTTTCTTGAATATACGGTAGACAAGAGGTAAGGCCTAATGGGTGAAGTAACTACATTTCTGAGTTAGTGTCTAATTGTTTTTGATCACCTAGTTCCATTTGACAGAAGATGTAGTGCTTATGGCTCATCCCATTGACTCTTTCTCTGCTTTCACTCCTTCAGCAGTGTTTTCAGTAGCCTTTTTGGTGATCTTATTGACTTGTCTTTTTTCTGATGTTCTTTTTAATTGAATTGCTATATGATATAAGATGGAATGATTGTGTTTTAACCATGATCTTCAAGTCTGCTGTGTAAAGAACTAATGATTGCAGTTTGAGTAAAATTCTTAGTAACAAGTGAATCAAAGATAAAGATAGATCATTGAGAATATTTTTTTTCTCTCCATGAGGAAGTTCATTATTAGCTAGCTTACAAAAATGAAGGAATTGTGAGAGTGTTCTGGAATAAATGTTATGGCTTAATAAAACTATTCAGAAAATCACTGAACAATACAAAAGTGGAAGACATTGAAAATGGTATATGGACACATCTAAGATCAAAATTAAGCCAGAGAAGCTTTAGGGAGAGTATTTGAAGCTTATCATTTCCATTTGTAACGGCTTTTTATATTGTGGTGTAAAATCATGTGCAAGCCATAAACAAGGGCTTTTAAAAATATTTTTGTTAATTTTTTTTTAGTTTTATAGAGATGGTGTCTCACTGTGTTGCCCAGTCTGGTCTTGAACTCCTGACCTCAACTGATCCTCCCATCTCAAATTCCCTAGTCACTGGGATTACAGGCATGAGCCACCACACCTAGCCAACGAGGGCTTTTTTTTTTTCTCATTAACATAGAGATATGAAGAATACTATATTGGATTAAAAGTTTTTGCATTTGTGAAGTGTAAGCAGCTGTGTGAATGTAGTCAATGTGTATTCTTCATTTAATAAACATAAGTATCTTTTCCTTTCCAAATTATACAAAAAATACTAAAAGCAATCAAACGATTTTTACAGAATCTTAACTAATATAAAAATTTGTTCATTGCTTATAATACAGAATAATTATATAACTTGGCTCATTATCTAAGCTTAATGAATTAATGTTGGAATGTAAAAACGAGCAATTTTAAGCCAGCGATGGCTCAATCATTTTTAACTGAGGGATTTTGGGATCAATTACTAAAATGTTCTGAGCCTCAGTGTCTTTAAAATGTAATGATGCTCTATTAATCTCATGAAATTGAAGTGAAAACAAATGTGAGGTAATATGTTTTTGGAAATATTTATAAGTTTAAAAATAGCCTGCTTGGTACTTGTGCCTGTAATGCTAGCTACTCAGGAGGCTGAGACAGGTGAATTACCTGAGGCCAGGAATTTGAGTCTGTCCTGTGCAACATAGCAAGACCCCATCTCCAAAAAAGCTAATATATTTATAAAGCTTAAATGTTATAAAATGATAAACTGATGGTTTTTGAATTCTTTGCTCTACTCACCTTTCATCTGTTAAAGATGTTTTTGTACAATTTAGCTCAGTTCCTAAATATACCAAAAGATGGCACTGTTTACCTATGTTTAATATTTTAATTTGCATTTTTTGATGAAAAAGTGTGTTGAATGTTTTATCTACAAATGTTTTAAATTGAGGTTATTTTTTTACATTTAATTTTCTGTTTTGTAAATGGATCTTTAATTCATGTAAAGTTTACTAGGACCAGGTTTCATTTTTATTTTGAAATGGTTTGGAAATTCAGATATTTAACAATCATTTTGTAGATATAAACTCCTGTGTGATCCATTGTAATTAATGATAAAACCTTGTATTAATGTGACAGCTAATGTTTCATGGAAAACCTAGTTGCTTTTGTATAACAAAAACCATTAAATTTTTTAAGCCTCTGAAAACAGTCCAGTGATTAAAACATGACAGCCACAAATAAATTATTTATGTGGCTTTTAGGTCACACTGCCCAGGTTTATTCATTTTAGAAAGTTATTTTATCTTAAAAGTACCTTTGAAAATGTAGCAAAACCTTTCATTGCTTGAATTTCCTACTCACAGTTGTGTGATGAGAGGAGAATCTAGGTCCAGGTCCTGCGAAGAGCTTCTCTGGGTGAGAAATGCAAAAATTAGATAATATGAATTTGACTTGAAGTGAGGGTTATTTATATAGCAGGATGTGGTGAATACACTTCCCATACAGTTAGACGGAAACCTCCTGATTGTTCATTTATACAGCCTATTACATCCAATGTAGTTTATGACCTAGAAAGAGAATACAAGTAGGATATTTTTTTATCCCATCAAAGCTATCTATATATATATATATTTTTAAATGAACAGCATTTGTCAGTGATTTTTACAGGGGTGAAAAAGCACAAGACAGTTCCATTACTATTATAAAATGTTTTACTTTTGTTGTGGGGGTAAGTTTAGAAGTCCAAGATATAATAATTTCAGATGTGCTTCTACTGTTTCCTTTACTTAAAAGTAGGGACTATTTTGAGGCAATATAATTTGTATGTTTCAGTTTTTATTTCTCTCTGAAAATCACTTTTTAGGGTACCATGCCTTGGAAAGAAAGTTTACATTTTTTTCCGTTAAAAACCCATCCTCCTAACTCTGAAATGACTGTCTCAGTTACTAAATGTATATAGCTTGGGGGAAGTGAAGGCACAGTTGGCAGTTAGAGGTTTGTTTTTATGTTCATGGGAGTATATGTGCTTATATTTAAATGTTCACTCTTCTAGCAGGGTTTGTTGATGTTAGTAATATGCTACATATGCGATTTGTCTGAATTGTTTAAAAATGCATAATTACAGGAGGATTTGATTATTCAGCAACAGTTCCAGTAGCTAAAGACTATCATATAGATATTTTCTTCCAGTATTTGACAGTGGTTCTGTGAGCTATGAGTAGCATAAAAAATAAAAAGAAGATACTGTGACTCTTTAATACCCTAGAGGCCGTAGTCTTAGGATATTCTTACTGTAGAGATGAAAAAACAGGGCTTCATTAACAAACTGAACTGCTATTTCACCTCTTTTAGTAGATGTGTAATTCTGTGGGTTTGGTAAATAACAAAGGCTTTTTTCCTAAATGATTTAATGCTTTCAGATTTTTGTGGGAAAATTAGAAAAAGCAAAAATGCACTCAGTGATTTTTTTTTTAAACCCCTTTGTTTCTGGACAAATGGACAAAGATAGTTAAGTGTCCCAAAAATGGTTTTAACAGGCTTCCCTCTCCAACCCCATACATACCCTGGCTGTCCATAATTCCAATTTTGGGTAGGTAGTAAAATGTGATATTAGACTACGAGTATTTTCCCTCCAAATAATACTTGTGATTAAAAGAAATGCAATCAAATAGCATTATATATTCGTTATGAAAGAAAGATCTGTCATGCAGATTTTGCCTGGTTCCTTTAGATGCCTTGTAATAATGTGCTAATTTATGCTGATGATCTTGCCTCATGACCCTTCTGTGTGGCCTAGATATGTTAATATGTTATAGCTTTTTAATTTCGATCCTCTGTGTTGGTTGAATATGCTTGTTAGTCCATAGTGCCACTCACTAGTCTGTGTCAAGAACTGAAAAAGAACAAGAAAAATGTATCTCAGAATCAATTTCTTTAAGCATGTATCAGTAATGGAGGAAATTATAAAATATACATAATTTTAATAGGACTTTATGTCTGAACATTCATTGAAAATAGTAAGCACTCTAAGTACTGTAAGCTTTTAATTAGGAAAGAGAGTTGGGTCATTGGTTTTATTAAGCAAGGGCTTATTAACATCTTTTGATTTTTTTTCTTGATTTTTGTTTAATATCAGTGAGAAAATATTACAAGAATGAAAACTAGACATCACTGGCAGTTTTTACTTTATTGCATCCATTTTTCTGTTCCCTAAACCTTGAGGGTTATGCATCTAAAGATTCCCATGGTAGGAAAATACTGTATGTGGTTCATAAATTCATGACCTTAAGGTAGCAGAGACCAAGGCCTAAAATAGATGGGAGAACTCAACTGTTTAAAAAAATTTGTTAAAATAAAAATTCCATAGAAGGAAAACAATTTATGTACCTTAAATATAATTCATCTTTATTATCTTTCCTCATCTACAGAAGCTTCTCCTTATTACTTATTTGTGTTCTTTCTACAGAGAATATACTAGGAGGGGTATTTTTCCTTATTTTTAGCTCTTGATCTGAAAGTGTAATGTTCTTTTCGCTTTGTCTTGAAATTGTTGCCTCCCCATTTTTGGGTCTCATCTGGATCTGAAAGACATTGACTGACTCAAATATCCGAAAAACTTGGTAACTTTCAAATTGGTATACGTGGCATAATTAAGAATATGTTGGTGCAAAAGTAATCGTGGTCTTTGCCATTGAAAGTAATGGCAAAGACCACGATTACTTTTGCACCAGCCTGTATTTCACAAACGTCTCTGTGCCTGTGATTACTTCTCTCTAAAATGGTTTATGGAGTAGTTGTTATGATTAATAAATGGTTGATAAATACTAGCTATTATGGTATTAAGCATTAATAAGGAAAATTCACTATTACATGTAAATGTTTTGAGTCCCTGAAATTAACTGGCAACTTAATGAAATTTGATTTAAGCACACATTTAGTCCATTTCAATCTATTTAAACGTGTTTCTCTCTTGCACATCTTTTTCTGATGGAGAGCGTGAGTTAGGAAATGAGCCAAAATAGGATATATAATGGATAGCCTCTTTTGGTAGCCAGTCAGACAGAATGGGGTGATGTCTTCATAGAAGGAATATGGAATTAGGAGTTGGAAGATTTGGGGTCTTGCTCCAAAGATCACTTTGATTGTTGGTGAACTTATTTATCTAGTCTCAGCTTTTTAATTAATTAATTAATTAATTATTTTAATTTAGAGACGAGGTTTTACTTTGTGGCCCAGGCTGGAGTGCAGTGGCATGATCATAGCTCACTGCTACTTTGAATTCCCAGGCTCAAGAGATCCTCCTGCCTCAGCCTCCTGAGTAGCTGGGACTACAGGTGTGCACCACCATGCCCAGCAAATTTTTTTTTTTTTGAGACGGAGTCTCCCTCTGTCGCCCAGGCTGGAGTGCAGTGGCGCGATCTCGGCTCACTGCAAGCTCCTCCTCCCGGGTTCACGCCATTCTCTCACCTCAGCCTCCTAAGTAGCTGGGACCACAGGCGCCTGCCACCACGCCCGGCTAATTTTTTTGTACTTTTAGTAGAGACGGGGGTTTCACCGTGGTGGCCAGGATGGTCTCCGTCTCCTGACCTCGTGATCCGCCTGCCTCTGCCTCCCAAAGCGCTGGGATTACAGGCGTGAGCCACCGTGCCCAGCACCCAGCTAATTTTTAAATTTTTTGTAGAGACGGAGTCTTGCCATTTTGCCCAGGCTCTCCTCCAACTCCTGGCCTCAAGGGATCCTCCCACTTCAGCCTCCTAAAGTGTTGGGATTCCAGGCGTAAGCCACTGTGCCTGGCCTATTCTTAGCTTTTAAATTCTCGTCTATGAAATAACGCATTTGACTGTTCCAAAAGTGTGGGGGACAGGTCATCTTCTTTCACATGCATTGTCTTACTTTGTAAGGTAAATAAAGTACTATATTAAGAAATGTGGGCCTGGCACGGTGGCTCACGCCTGTAATCCCAGCACTTTGGGAGGCCGAGGCGGGCGGATCAGAGGTCAGGAGATTGAGACCATCCTGGCTAACACGGTAAAACCCCGTCTCTACTAACAATACAAAAAAAATTAGCCGGGCGTGGTGGCGGGCGCCTGTAGTCCCAGCTGCTTGGAAGGCTGAGGCAGGAGAATGGCGTGAACCTGGGAGGCGGAGCTTGCAGTGAGCCGAGATCGCGCCACTGCACTCCAGCCTGGGCGACAGAGCGAGACTCCGCCTCAAAAAAAAAAAAAAAACAAAAAAACAAAAAAACAAAGAAATGTGAGGTGTGAAATCCTTCTTGAACATTTTTAACTTCACTCCTCCCTATGCTGCCACTCTGCCCCCTCATCAGACTCTTCCTTAACACACTGCTGTGACCCAGATTGTCTTTATTTCTTCTTGTAGCACTTGTTAGACTCTATTGCAATTATTTATGTATTTGTCTCATTAGACTGATCTTGAGTACAGAGATGGCCCTTTATTCTTGTATTCAAAGTACCTACCACCATATTTGGCTTATAATAAGCCTCAGTGTTTGTTGAATGAATTTATATCAATATCCATGCCATTCATGAGAAACAAAACTTATTATATAGAGCATAGAGGTGGTTTCTAATTCGTGTTGCTCTTATTTTTACTGTTAGATGTAAAACGTTGAATGATTTGTTACCACTTGGCATAATTAAATTTAGCATTTTTCTAGTTTAAGTAGTTCAGTTTTTGAGACACTTTTATGAGCCTCACTATATTAATGGCCTTATTGGTGCTTTACAGATTTTGTGATTCATGGGCACTGTAAGTATAAATTTCATGCTTACAGCAATTGAATAAAATAGGCACATTGTTCTTTGTTAGTTTCTTCAGTTGGTTCTTTTAATTTTCCTGTTCTTACTGGTGATTCCTTGAGGCATCTGGCCAGTGTTGAGTATTTCTTCCTGACTCATCATCCCTTCTGCCACCTGCCAAAGGAATGCTTTTACTTTGGTCAAGAGCATTTCGAGTGAGTTAGATTTCATTATTGGTGTAGGCTATGGACCACCTGATAAGTCTAAGCATGTCATACTAATTAGCATTGACTGCCAGCCACCATAATGCTTAATTCAGGTGCTATGCTGTTTTAATTCTAAAGGTGTTGTGAAGTATGGAAAAATCCTTTACCTGAATATGAAACTAGCTACTAAATTTGGAGTTCTCTCCCTACCCCTGCAGCATTTTCCTTTGTGTGAAATTTCAGTTGATTATATTCAATTTACTTTTATATAGTCTTTCAGAATCAGTAGAATTTTTTTCCTTAGATATATCTAAGTCACTCCTTTTTGAGATGATTTAGAAAAGAGGAAATTGAGGATTGGAAGTTAAAAAGGGAGAAAGATGGCTGGTAGGTAACATGTAGAAGTTTTAACCTTTCATCTCAAGAGAGTGATTCTTCTGGGCTTTAATACGTGTATCTGAGAGCTGGGAGGAAGCTGTGTTGGAGGGTGTCTGGGACCTGGTGAGACCTCAGAAAATAAGAGTCCATCATAAAGTAAGAAAGGCATTGATGGGACTTAAAAATATTTGACTACAGCGAAAGCTTTTTATTTATTTATTTATTTTTATTTTTAATTAATTAATTTTTGTTGTTGTTGTTGAGACGGAGTCTCTGTCGCCAGGGTGGAGTGCAGTGGCATGATCTCGGTTCACTGCAACCTCTGCCTCTTGGGTTCAAGCGATTCTCCTGCCTCAGCCTCCCGAGTAGCTGGGACTACAGGCGTATGACACCACGCCCAGCTAATTTTTGTATTTTTAGTAGAGACGGAGTTTCACCATGTTGGCCAGTATGGTCTCTATCTCTTGACCCCATGATCCATCCACCTCGGCCTCCCAAAGTGCTGGGATTACAGGGGTGAGCCACTGTGCCCTGCCAATTAATTTATTTTTTTGAGACGAAGTCTCACTCTGTCGCCTAGGCTGGAGTGCAGTGGCGTGATCTCAGCTCACTGCAACCCCCGCCTCCTGGGTTCAAGCGATTCTCTTGCCTTGGCCTCCCGAGTAGCTAGGACTACAGGCATCTGCCACCACTGCCAGCTAATTTTTGAATTTTTAGTAGAGACAGAGTTTCACTGTGTTGGCCAGGCTGGTCTCAAATTCCTGACCTCAGGTGATTCAACTGCCTTGGCTTCCCAAAGTGCTGGGATTACAGGTGTGCACTGGGTCAGCTTTTTAGAATGCATTTTATCTGCTGCAAGTTAAAAGAAATTTACTAGCCTTTGAATGAAACTGTAGAAGGAAAATCCTGAATTCCTAGATATCAAGGGATGGTTAGAGAACCCCCAAAAGTGCCGTATTGATCATTACAAAAAAAAGGGTAAAATGTACCCTTATAGTCTCTTCATTTAGTGCAATATCTTTATTGTGGTAAGTTATAGATTATTGATAGGGGCTTCTATAGTTTATTTTTCTACTTTTGGTCTCCTTATCCTATCTTCCCACTAGATTAAAAAATTCTCCCCAAATATATTCTGCTGTGGGGATTTTCAGAAATGTTAGCACCCTCACTGGGGAGGAATTACCTTCTACCTGTATTTCTGGAAGGGGAAGCTTATGTGAATCTCTAAAAAGAGAATTATATTGATGTTACGAAGTAAGTACTATAGGTGAAAGAGAGAATAAGAAAAAACTCGATGTTTAAAGGAGCATCTATTGAGTTACTCTGTGCAAGGCTGACCAACTCACCTTGTGATCTTAGTCAAGCCATGTAATCTCCCTGAGCCTCAGTTTATTCATATATAAAATAAGCAAGTTGAACTCCTCTGTTCCCTGGTTCTTTGTAAATTCATTCATTCTTAGATATTCATCATAAGCCTGTTGTGTTATGTATTCAGCAGTTGAACAAGACAGATGCAGTCTTATCCTTGTAAGAAGACTTCTCTTTCCCCTATCTCTGCTGACCTGTCCTTCTCCCTGTTCTCTTATCTAGTAATTGGTTGGATAATGAGGAAGTGAAGCAATGTGAAATGCTTAATTACAAATTTGGGGACTCTGTCTGCTTTTATGGATGAAGTGGATTGACATTTTGGGGGGAAAAGTACCCTGTAAAAACATAGTTTATATATATTAAAAATGTTATTAAAATGAAAAAGTGATTTATCAGTTAGTGGTAAATTAATTGGCTGACTTGGGAGTGAAAATTATTTGACTTGGGAGACAAAATTACTCTCTAGACTGAGCTAGAGAGTAATTTTGTCTAAATTGAGGTATAGCAGATATAAAATGGAAAAGATTTATCTTTGATGTTGAGTAATTTTAAAAAATGCATTTGAGCTTCTTGGGAATAGTTACCCATCTTGATGTATTTGCTGAAGATCAGATGTAATTTTAAAAAAAATTTTTGGTAGAAAAATGTCTTTGGTATAAGTCAGGCCTATTATCTTGAGATTTATGCCTTTATTCTGGAAAATTGAAATTTTTATCTCATAAAAGAGGAAAATAATTTGAATGGAGTTAATAAAAATGAAAGGAGTAAAATTTCACTTAGAAATACAGTGAGGCATCCAAAATGAAGAAAAATCCCTTATTTGGCTTCTAGATCTAAAATGATATTCTAATCTATGCAGGTTGGTTCAAGAGCACTTTACCCCTGTTGGAGGCAGCCAGGTTAGCTTTATTGAATGTAAATCTCTGACTTCTCCCAAGATACCCATGAAAGCAACTAAATTCATTGGTTATTAGGCAGCAAGAGTAAGTTCAATTTTCTCTACACTTGTGACAATTAGAGGTTGGTTCTAGCCTGTCTAATGCTTAAGTTTCAAGGCTACCTGTATTTGAGAGCTGTTTTGGGGAGATAACCTTGTAACACATACATTTTAATGAGTACATTACTTTTACCACCTGCTGAAGTCGACTTGGAGTGACTACTGACCTGAAGTGAATGCCTGTGTTCAATATTAATATGGCATGTCTGGATCCAGACAGCAATCTTTCATTTTGACATGCACATAGTCAAAGTAAATTAATGTTTAAAACCCAAACACTTTAAGTTCAGCCAGTGTGTGCATTCCATAATAATCCTTCAGAAGCAGTTTACATAGAAATGCTGAGTGCTTTCTTATACTTTATTTATCATATGTATTGGGTCCACATTGCAGTACTTATAACGAGATTTATCCAGTGCTGTTTTTGTTCCTTGTTTTGTGGAGGCTAAAGAAGTTAATTTATTTCAGGATTTAGTCTCTGCATATTTTAAGCAAAATTATACTTAAAAATCTTCATGTGCCTGGCAAGATAGTAGTCTAATTTCAGTTATATTATTTTTAGATGGAAAAAAAAAATCAAGCTAATTGCATACTTTATTTCTGCTCAAATGATCACCAATTTTTGAAAGTATAGTAGTAGTTTAAAAAAAGAAAAAAACTAGGCCCAGATATAGTGTATGTTTGTGACTACATGTAACAAGGATATTGCTGATTTTCCTTTTCTCTCATACATACCATTTTCTAGTCTTGCTTTTATTGGTTAGAAAACATTCATGGCAGATGTAGTAATGGGGAAATTATATTAACATTTAAGTATTAAATTAGCTTGTAGCCAGAGTCTCCTTCTAATATGATGACATTTAGCAAGTTCAGGATTTTAAGGACCATGTTGCGCAACTCATTGTTACACATTTCCTGTTTGCCTTTTTTGAAAAAGTATCTGAGATCTGTTTTTTCAGATTGGAAATTTCCATTGTGGATTTCAATGTTGTTGTTGTCATTTTACCTTGCTGGTCAGTGTTTGTTATTTATGTATTAAGAATATGTAGTATAGTGACCATAATGAGAATAGTAGGTGATTGGAGTTGTATGCAAATGACAGTTTTCATAACACTTTTGCAGTTTAATTTCAACAAAAACCTCAAGTTATATTTATTAGCAAACATATTTCAGCTAAGGAGTTTTTTATGCTCCAAAAAGATGGCAGATGGAAATGAACCTAATATGTGTTCAAAGAAAGTATGCTGCATTTATTTCAAATTGTATCTGATACATCAGCATGATGATTTATATGTTGTCTTAGAATTAAAGTAGATGCCATACTTTTACTGTAAAAGTCAAAATTAGATTTCTTCTATATTTGACAGAATTTATTTTCTGTTCATAAATAAATATAGTATTTGGTTTAGGATGTAGAACATCAAATAACAACTGTTAGATTATGCTTAATATATTTATCATTTTCTGAATTTTGGATGTTCTTAACATCAGAAAAATATGTCCTTTACCCATACAGTGACTTTAGATTGGATTTGGAAGCATTGTACAGAGAAGACCTATTGTTCCTATTGAATAAGGATGCCGTACAGAGATGAGCTTTTTGACCCACTGCTCTTCCAGTAGTAATGGATTTGCACTAATTTGAGCAGAGTATGCCACTTGGTCCTGTTTTTCAGTTGTCCTGTGTGATGGCTGGCTAGCAAAATCAAACATCTGCATTTTGACTGTGGAAGGCAGTATAACTAGCTGGCTCATACTGGTTCAAATTTGCAACACTGATATGGTTAGTATTATGGTGTCACTACCTGAATTAAGTAGTTGTGGCTAAATTGTTTATATTATATGAACATATTCGTTATTATTCTGCATGGAGAATTTTTGTCCTCATGGATTGTTTCATAAAGTGTTTTATTAGCTTGGATTAATTGGAAAATAAGCTTTTTAATATGGACCTCTCCCCTAGTCAGAGACTTTGCAAATGATTTCTACAAAAATAAACTATAAAATAGATGATATAATGGGGCCTATTATTCCTGATTTGATTTTAATTTGCTTCCTTTTATAATTTTTCCACAATAAAACAGAGCCTCTCAGAAAGTAAAAGGATGTAATCCTAGCTCAGATGGTATAGGGTCCTTATGTCTTGAGCTATTATGATGGAAGGTACCCCTATACCTCCACTGATAGAAATATGATGGGCAGACATTTTCTTTGGTGAAAAGTAGTTCATAGTTTACTGTGATATCCACTCCTTGGACTTACTTTAGAGGACTGTTTACTGAGGGCAAAATATGTGCATGATTACATATAATCAAGGTTAATTTTTATCAAGGGTCACCATGTTTTTGCTATGGTCTGACAATCATGACCTACATTAAAAGAGCCCTGTGGGTCTGTCTGGTGTATTTTTGCTTGATGTCTGGGTAGTTTATTTCAGATGCTTGTCAGTTTCATTATATATTTTTGTTTGGGGCTCTTGCTGGATTTTCAGGTACACCATAAAAACAGTTCTCTTTGCAGTTAGATTGTCATGAAATAGCTTCTGTTTTATGGTATGAAAACACTCTTTAATCTTGAAGGGTGAGTAATTTTGGGAACATTTTCCATTTGGTGGTGTGTTATGTTCAAATGGTAGGTTATTTTGAAATAGGATAGACTTTGCAGCTAAGATTCCAGATTTAGTTCAGTTAATTCATTCTTTAGTGAGTTTTTCTTGGGAAAATATTTTGGAATTTTCATTTCAAATGCATCCTCCTCATTTAAGAAAAATCCAGATGAGTAGTTTATTTCACAATATAATAACTAAATAGGATTTATAAAGCAGAAATTTATAAATCCTTTCTTTTGCTGGGACAAAGGCAATGGTGAAAATTAAAAAAAAATAAAGTTAGGACATTTAGGTAACTCAAAGACAGAACTTAATGGCTGTTAAGATTGGAGTATTTGGTTTTGTAGTTTTTAAACCATATTTAATTTTGGCCATATCTATCTTATTTAGTAGTTTAAAGGATAAACAGTTCAAACAGTAAGAAAAAAGCAGTTTGTGTTTTGTCAGTTTTCAACTTTAGATATCAGTAAATCATTGCTGTAGCTTTCTTTATCTTTTGTTTGCACAAAAAACCTGTTAGAATTATGTCTGCGGGGACCATCTGCTGTGGTTCCCAGTCTTGTCAGTGTGATAAGGGATAAGCTGTATAAACAGGGGCACCACAAAAAAAAAAAAAAAAAAAAAGAAAGCAAACTGCTTTTAGAAGGGAAAAAGTATCCATTTAATTTTATAACATAGCCACAGAAATTCATATGATTTTTCTCATAATCTATCAGAATTGAGGTTGTAATATATTTTTTCAGAAACCACAGGTCCAAGTTATTTCTATGGTTTATCTTCACATTAATATTATATCTTTTTGATTACAGGGTTTCTATTTTGGAGGTCATAGCTTTTAAAAGTTCTTCGAAAATATTTCAGTATAGCACTTGACATTGCAATATTTTTCACATTGTCTGCTTAGTTTCTGGATCTTTTTTTCCCTAGCCATTAATTTTTCTTTCAGTTGAATCCTCAGAAATCATCCTTTTCCTGTTTCATTTGCAAGGAGGTCATGATGCTTCGTAAGGAACAAGGCAGTCATTTCCATGGCAACACACTCTATCAAAACATCACAAATCTGTCGTGCCCCTTACCTTTAAACTCTCAAATGCTAAGAGGAGGAGGTGTGTAAGGAGCAGCATTGTTCTTACAGCATAACTATACGATCACAAGGAGAGGGAAGTCAATTAATTGACTCAAAAGTACCTTAAGTTGACTTAGCTATAGACATATATATGTAAGGAATTTATCTTTTATATTGTATTAAACAGTGTTTTGAGGATGGAAAAATGAACATTCCAAAACTCTGATTTAAAGATCTTATTTAGTGTCTGTGAGAACTGTAAAAGAAGAATAAATAGCTGAGTTATGTCATACATGTAAACATGTTACACAGTTACTCCAGTCATGAGAAGTCTACCTTTGCCTGGAGGCCCCAGCACATGTCTCTGTCAGTCATTTTGGCTTAAGCTAGGATATTTTCAGCATGATAGTGACACCTATCTTTTAAACAAGTTCCAGAATTTTGTCAATTTTCTTTTTCTTTTTAACCATTAAGAGGAGGTGTTAGCAAGATGGCGTGACTCCTGGATATGGAATAGGAGAACAATTGGTGTTTCATCATTACTGAAAATTTTATGCTCTTTGAAATCAGGTATGAAGTATAATAAAAATCAACAGTTTTATGAGATTTTGTGGTAAAGCAATTCTTATTTTATTAACTTCAAGTCTTCTGCATTTTCAGCATTTCATTTTATTCTGTAGCATTTTTACTCCTGGGTAATGCATTTATTTGTGTGACCTGTGAAGATGGTAAATTTTGCAATGCTTAGCGCCTTCTGTTTCCCCATGTTCCTTGTAGCAAACTCTATGCTAGTCCTTATCATAGAACCTACCTATTGTACTTTAGGAGTCAGCTCACAGGACTGACACCTCCCACTTGACTGTAGCCACCTTGGAGGCAGGAGCTTGCTTTTCTCTGTGTGTGGCGTGGAGCAGGTGTTCAATAATGTTTGTTGAGAGAACAGTGGTCAGAATGAATGGAATTAGTTGTTTGTGATAATGTTTATTTTCTCTATATGGCACAGGTATATATATATTTTAATTTTTTACTGTGTATGTCTAAAATGAGGTTGAAATATGTTCTCCATACCCATTTTGTATTTAACAATTTTTTTGTAGTGTATTTTGAAATCTTGGTAGGCTATTTCCTTTTGCCTTTTCAGGCCTCCATACACTCCTATTACAAGAGGACTTCTGTCTCTGTTCCACATTTCCCTTCGTTGTTGGCGACCTAACCTTGGTGACCGCAAGCGATCGGTTGTGAGAGAAAGAGCTGTAAGTGGGGAAGGCTTTCCGAGTCTATAGGTACTACCTGGTGGCAGTATTAACACATTTTATTATGAACTATTTGACAGAGAAAAGGATTAAGAGAATAAGGACCAGTTATATATCACCTACTCAGATTTAGAAATGAAACATTACTGATATAGCTGCAGCCCTCCATGTAGGGGGCGGGGGTTAGGTGGGAGTATATTTTTCATTTTCACTTTGTACCTTTTTGCTCTACAAAAGCTTCAGACTTCAAAAGAAATCTTTCCTTGCTCTGTGCTTTCATAGTACTACCCCAGGCCTAAGTGTATTATTGAACCTGCCAGTGTATTATAACCATCTGTTCAGATGTCTGTCACCTCTACCAGGCTGTACTTCATCTTTGTATTTTCAGTACCGTACATAATAGCTAGAATGGAATAGGTGCTCAGTAAGTGCTTGTTGTGTGAATGACTGAATGAATGAATAGGTACAATTCTTTTCTCAAAATACCATGTTAATGTAGGATTCTGTTTAGCAAAACTATTTCCTTGTCTAGCCCATAGTTACAGGGCCTTGGTGCTCTGATTTGAACAAATTGAATTAAACATAAAATCCTGTAGAACAGATGCATTTACAAGTCTCTGCTCACACAGCTGCTGGTCTATTTAATAAAAACATTGCTGTTTTGATTGGGTATTCATAGCCTTTCTTTTTGTTAACTCTATTAGTATCATGGTATAAGCAGACTACAGTCTAGGGAAGATGAGTGGAAGAATGAGCCAGTGATCAGAACTCAGAGAGACAATAGGAGATGGATGTCAAGAAGATGGATGGGGAAAATGTTTTAGTCTTAGGTGTAGTTACAATAAAAAGAACAAATACATGTATTTGTCTTCCCTGGACTATATGTCATAAATCTCTGACTCCATATTTCTTATGCAGTTATTGTAACCTTCCTTCCCCTAAACCACCTAAGTATGTATAACATTCCTACTCTAAATTACAAAAAATCGATACTGATGCATTTGCTTTTTAAATTTTTAAAAATTCAGGTATAATTTATATCCAATAAAATGCATAGATCTTAAGCATTCAGTTGAGTGAATTTTTTTTCCCATTTATGCACCTATGTAAACACTACCCCAAACAAGGTAGGGGATATTTCCATCACCCCAGAAAAATTTTTCCTACCTCTCTCCCATCAACCCTCCTTTTCCCTTCCCCTCCCCTCTGCAGCAGCCACTTTCTGATTCTGATTTCACTTGTTCTTGGGAGTCATATGAATGGACTCATAGTATGTACTTTTATGTCTGGCTTCTTTTATTCAAGATACTGTTTTTGGATTCATCCATGTTGTTGCATGTATAAATTCGATTTGCTTCTAGCAACAGAAATGTGTATACTAGCAATCAAATACAAATTTACTTTTACCTTAAAGTTGAGAGATTGAGTAGTGCTTTTTTAAGAGGATTGTTAGTAGACTTCCACAGCAACTCACATATATTGAGTGCCAGTCCCTACGCTCAGTGCTTTACACACATTATCTTATTTAATTGTGTTTTGTGATTGTTTGTTTAGTTGTTTACTTAATTCTCTACGGCAGACATGTTCGGTGAAAGCATTGACATCTGATGAAGAAGTTGACTTGGTGTTTGACAAAAGAAACTGTCTTGTGATATAAAATTCTGATTGTTTTCTCAGGACTAAGTACTAAGCATTGTTTATGGCAGGCATCGATGAGCTTAAATCATGAAACAGGAGGAAAAGTGTAAAAGGACAATGGAAGAGAGTTACTGGGTGGGAAAGAAAGAAGTGCAGTAGCTAGTTTAGATTCGTCTTATACAATCTGTGATGAAACTTTTGAGACAGAGTCTCGCTCTGTTGCCCAGGCTGGAGTGCAGCAGCGCAATCTCGGCTCACTGCAACCTCTGCCTCCTGGGTTCAAGCGATTCTCCTGGCTCAGCCTTCCGAGTAGCTGGCATTACGGGCCTGCACCACCATGCTTGGCTAATTTTTGTATTTTTTTGGTAGAGACAGGGTTCAACTTGTTGCCCTGGCTGGTCTCGAACTCCTGACCTGAAGTGATCCACCTGCTTCAGCCTCCCAAAGCACTGGGATTACAGATGTGAGCCACTGAGCCCGGCAAAGTTGCCTTTCTTCATAGAAGAAAGTTGCAAAATATACATGAATGAAAGTATATTACATACAATACGGATGCCTGAAAAAAAGCATATGTAAATTGTGCTTAGCCTCTCAAAGATGCTTGTAATCAGTGCCCTTATTTTTGTTCAGAATTATATCAACCTAGTTTTGAGTTTTTACATATAGCTTTTGTTTTACCAGCACATATGTAATACCTGTTATGGTGCCAGTTCATTGTCCTAATTGCTTTATGTATATTAATTCTCAAAACTCTGTGAAGTGGGAATTTTTTCTGTTTTTTAGTCCCTGTTTTCCCCATGAGGATACTGATGTAATACGAAGTTAAAGAACTGGACCAGAGTCACATAGGTAGTGCAAGTGGGGCTGGAATTCTAACCTGGCTGGTCTGATTTCAGAGCCCGTGCTCTTAATCACTGCACCGTGTGCCTCAGCCTCCCCTCTCCCTAACATGCTCCTCATTCGTCCTTGATCCTAGGGATGATGCTGGTTGAGTATTTCAAGGTTTGTAAAGATTGACAGTATCAAAACAGATGTAGCAACTGGGACTTTGATAATTTCTATAATTCACAAAATAGATCTTAAAATTGCATAGTTCTGTTTTTTGTAGGGGAGGGAAGGATATGTAGGAAGGGATGATTTATAATTTGAAATCTGGCAGCAGTAGAGCACGTACCTTAAGCCTCAGCAAAGCTAATTACATAACCAATTTTGTGCTTATTCAAGGCTGTATTTATAGTAGATTGGTGTTTCTGGGCTAGTTGGTCGTAGACCCTGGGAGTGAGAGACCATAGGGACGGTCTGTGAATGTACGTATGTTTGAATTAGGCAATGGCAATTGGAAGTATTTTATTACCACATGAGGTCCTGGTACTCAGATTGGGCACACCTGCAGTAGGTTGTTGACATTTGTGAATCTAACATTTGGGGTTTCAATTATTTTCAAGCCCCCAGAAAGTCCATGACATTCAGTAGTTTGTTATGAAAATAATATCAGTTTCATAGAGTTGTGGGGTTCTGAGAATTAAATAAAAATAATGTGTGTAGGCGTTAGCTGCTGGAAGGCTGGAATACAGATTCTAGTCATTTGGTGAGTGAGTGAACCTAGCAGAGGTCCTCCCGTGTCTGCTTGTGACATTCTGCATTTGGGAGTCTCAGGATGCATCAGTGACTGTGCTGTCGGTGCACTATTATGGCCACTTCTCATCCTTGCTGGACTGTGAGTCTTCTCTAGACTCAGGGCTTCAGAGTTACTTCTGCCCCTGTGTCCTTCATGGAACACTTACTTTTTACTTCTGTTTGGTCTTTCAATATAAAGTTCCTTTATTTTTAATTACCAAACTTCCCTCTCCAGGTTATAAGTAAGGTGGTTTTTGGCCATCACCTTTCTTAGCTATGGGTTAAAGCATTCTGGGTACTATTTTCTCCTTTTTATCACCATGCCATAGCCCTTGTGTCTCTCCCTTCAACTCATGGTTAGGTTGGTTTCATTGGCACTTTACTTTTTTTTTTTTAGATGGAGTTTCGCTTTTGTTGCCCAGGCTGAAGTGCAATGGTGCGATCTCGGCTTACTGCAACCTCCATCTCCTGGGTTCAAGCGATTCTCCTGCCTCATCCTCCTGAGTAACTGGGATTATAGGCATGCGCCACCACGCCCGGCTAATTTTGTATTTTTAGTAGAGATGGGGTTTCTTCATGTTGGTCAGGCTGGTTTCGAACTCCCGACCTCAGGTGATCCGCCCACCTTGGCCTCCCAAAGTGCTGGGATAACAGGCGTGATACTTTTAATTTTTAAACCTTAAAATACATTATTAATTTTTCCAAGAGAAGCCCCGATATTTTTGTAGCTTGGCCTCCAGAGCCTCAGTTATCCCTGATGTAGTAGATCATCTCTTTGCTTCCAACTAAAGTGGAGCATTGGATGTTGTTTGTTAAGGAGTGATTTTCCCATTTACTAACTCATAAAATTTGCTGACTGTGTTTTTTGGTAAGAAGTCTTATAATGCTTTCAATTTCATAAGAGTCATTTTCATAGAGTCCATGCAATATACACTTAGAGTGTAAAAGATACTGAGTTAGATGCTGTAGGGGCTCCAGAAATGAAGTCCTGTCTTTCATTCTTACAAAGTGTTCATCCTTTTAAGTTCCTTGTTAATGTTTGGGGCAAACTAAATATAATTTTTTGGTTAGACTTTAGGTAAATATTTGAAGAAAAATTTTATATGCTATATTAAATTTTTATTTTATCACAAGTTTCATTAACTTTCACTTTTAATGCCATTCTTTATGAAATGTCAGTGTTAAAGTGACCCCAGTAGTGTGACAGGCAAAAGGGTCAGTAATGATGGCTTCTTTAGTAGCCTTCAGAACTGAGCAGTTTGAGATTAACAGCCAATATGAACTGCCTGCAGTAATCATTAAAATATAATCTCCAGTTTTGGTATGATTTTACGTATCTATAATTTATAATAAATGTCTTGAAGTTGCAGGTTTTTTTCCTTTGCAATGAATCAATAAATTATGTCACAACCCTTAACCCCAAGTTTTTGCTTTAGCAATTCAGGATAATGCCAAAAACTTACTTAGCTTTTAGTCTGTGCCAGGCATTGTTCTGAACAAGGTACATACAATGCTGTCTTGTAGACCCTGGATTTGGAAAGCCCCCAATCCCTTTATAAAGCATATGTATAAGTTGTATAGATAAGTGTATTTTCAAAAGTAAACATATAAAAATTCATAATTGATATTTGAGGATCAAATATTTTCCTCATTTATGTATCTAACCCACAAAAATTTAATTGTTTATAAGACATTTTATGGAGACCTTTACATTTATATGAAGTAAAATTTAATATGTTCCTTAACTATCCAATATATTTGAGTATCTGTGAGATATGCTATGTGCTGAGGGATACAATTAAAAAATAGAAAAGATTTGATTCTTGTCTTTATTTTTTCAATTATTTCAGGTGGCAAACACAGATGGTCACAATATAATGTGACACCTCCATTTTCCCAATGAGAATATTAAATAAATTGTTTTGACTAACTTGAATATGTAAACTTTAGAGATGAAGATGAATTTCTGTATATTTATTTAAGTTATACATACATATTTAAAATAGCATTATATGAGATAATTTTCAAATGTAACTCTTCTCTCCTGGCTTTTCATGAAGCAATTTTATCTAAACTCTTCAAATGCATCTTTGACATATGAGGGTTTTTTTCCTCTCTAGAACCTCTTTTTGAGTTGTCTGACACAGTTTTCTACGGTTCCATTTGAATTGTCTGAAATCCAACCTATTTTGAATCTATTTACGTTGTGGTCACTGGAAATTTTCTCTCAGGAGCCCCTCCATTCTCATTATTAAAGATCAGTTGGTTTTCTTTTTCCTCCTGTAGAAGCATGTATGTTGATCTCTGTAGTGTAGGCACTTATTATAATACTTAAAAAAAGTCATTTTTGCAAGGCTTGTTTACAATGAAATCCAATATTTGCCAATGTGAGGCAATATCCCTAGGAGTTAAATCTGTGTTAAATCTCATCGCAGCTTTTACTGCAATTTTTACTGATTCAGATGATTGTTTCTGGGGGACTTCTCTAAGCTTCCACAGATCCTGTTACTTAGGGTAATGTCTTCTCCAAGTGATACTCTGTTATTCAAAGTAGGACTGGAGAGAGTAAAAAGAGGTTCTGGTAATAAGAAAGACTTTCTATGGACTTTATTAATAGAAATAGAAAACAATTTCCTATTTTCTGAGGGATTTTTTTTGGGAAAAGTAAACTTTGCCTTACACTTGGGCATTTGTTGAGTTGCCAGCTAACATCTCTTAGCGGGGAGTTGGTAGATAGGTTCTATTTAACCCAGTGTTTTTCATGCTGTTCTATTCACCACTGCATACTGCTTTGCCTTGCCGTGAAGTGTACTCTTTTTACCCAATTCCTCATTTTCATATTTCTGTTTTCATAGTATCTTGTTAGACTTTTACTTCTTGAGTCAGATGAAGAAAACTTAATCAGTATTGATGTCTTCAGTATCATAAATATCTGTAACTCTTACTTTGAATGTAAGAGTAATGTTCTGATTACTGCTAAGATTCTACCAAATTGACTTTCAGTACATATTGATGTATTTCTGGAATGAATGTTCCTGTGATCTTGGCTTGCAGATGAAAACCTTAATATTTGAATCAGACTGGTGCAATGTGGAAAGACAAAATACACACTTGAAATATTTGCATGATAATCTACGGAACAAAAACATTTAGTGGGAGTGGTGGTAGAACGTTTCCAGGATCAACACTTGAATGCTGTGAGAGAACTATTTTTTTTTTTAATGGATGGCAGGTGGCAGAGTTGAAAAACAGGTTTTTATAATGGAAATGCTAAGAGTCTTAGCTATAGGAGTATGAATGGTATTGTTACAATAGATATAATAGATGTATTGCATTATCTTATCTCATCAGACACTTTTGTTAGTAAAAGCGCCCCCCCCCACTAGTTTCAGTCTGCTCTTGCAGAGAATCACTCCTCTCAACAATTTTTGCTACTTACAAAATTTTTGAGATTCAAGATATCTTTAATCTGTCGAGTTTCAGCAGATTTAATAAGCATAAATTTATTTTATTAAAAATATTTTAAGTCAGGAAAGTAAGTATAGGAAACAGACCAGATGTAATTCAGATTACAGGATCTGGATTTGCCCCTTTAATGAATGTCAGCTATGCTGGCAATATTCTGCTGGTTTCCTTTTTTTTTTTTTTTTTAACATTACTACTCATATTTCACATTTGATTTGTTTTCAATATCCTTACTCTTAGGAAGGGGCTTAGGAAATTGAATTACATTTTATATGTTTAGTTCCTAATCTCATTCTTATTTTAATACCTGTTCAGATTCTTAAGGCTTTTTGTAAATAGGGGTCTGTGGTGTCTGTAAGTCTGGGGGCCTAGGAGGGAGTCTCACACAGGAGTCCGGTTTGATCACAGTGGATAGGGTACTCTACAGTGTGCTTAAAGGCAAGGGGGCTCTAAGAAAGAGCAGCCCTGGTCAGTGTGTTCTGAGAAAGCAGGGCAGTGTCTGAGAGGTGAGTTAAAATAGGAGTGAGTAGTCACCATTTTGGGATATTAGACAGGAAGTGCTTTCTGTACATGCAGGCTGGAAATGCACACAACCCTCCTGCCCCATCCGTGAGCAGTCCAGTGTGGGGAGAGGAAGGAAGGTGGGATGTGGTTGGTCATAACTGTGATCCCTTTTCTTCTCTATAATGCTGAGTGTTCACAATTGAGAACTGACTGGTGAGTCCTTGGTGAGTTAAGGCTTAAGCTGAGGTCCCTGGGTAGTTAGGTAGTTCTAAGAATGTATTTGTTCAATAGAACTTTTGAATAACTTCACTTAGCTAGCTTGTTAGTGCTAGGAACCCAAAGATGACAAACAGCCCATTCCTCTGAAAAACTGTGACTCTGGTGAGGTGCATAGTTATTTAGACCTGCCGGATGAGAATACCACTTTTCCCCGCACCAAATCTACCTGCTGGAGTGAATTTATTTCATGTAGACTCTGAGGTCCCTCTGTTGCTTTTGATAACGTGCTCTCATCTGAGGCCAGCTCCGTTACTTGTATACTCATCCTGTCTCCCCCGCCAAGGTCATTGCTCCTGCAGTTTTCTGCTTTCTCTGTTGGATCATTTTCCTTCTTTGCTGGATCATTCCTATCATCAAACATTCTGTGATATATCCTACCTTAAGCTAATCTTGTTTCTTTTTTTTTTTTTTTTTGAGACGGAGTCTCGCTCTGTCGCCCATGCTGGAGTGCAGTGACATGATCTCGGCTCACTGCAAGCTCCGCCTCCCGGGTTCACACCATTCTCCTGCCTCAGCCTCCCCAGTAGCTGGGACTACAGGCGCCCACCACCATGCTAATTTTTTTTTATTTTTAGTAGAGATGGGGTTTCACCGTGTTAGCCAGGATGGTCTCGATCTCCTGACCTCGTGATCCGCCCGCCTTGGCCTCCCAAAGTGCTGGGATTACAGGCGTGAGCCACTGCGCCCGGCCGATAATCTTGTTTTTTGACACCACATTCTTACTCTCCAACTTCCTGATACCACGTTCTTCCTCTCCAACTATTCCATTTTTTTCTTTCTCTGTAATAGCAAAATTCCTTGGAAGGACCTGCTGCTTCTCTTTCTGTTTCTAGTTCACTCTACGGAGGCCCTTTTACTTGAAAGTGCTCTCATCAAGTTCACCAATGACCTTTGCTTGGCCAAATGCAAATGCCACTTCTCAGTCCTTATCTTATATAGTCTTTGTTTGTTAGCATTTGCCACAGCTTTTCACTCTTTCCTTCTGGAAATACTGTGGCCTTCTGGACACTACTCCCCCTTGCTTATTGGTTCTCTTCCTATTTCACTGGCTGCCCCTTCAGTCATCTTTGCTGGTTCCTTCTTATCATACCGAAATGTTGGAGCATCCCCAAGGCACTTTGTTTTACTTTTCCACCTATACTCACTTATTTGGGTTTTTATAGAGTCCCATAGCTTTTAGGTACTTTCTCTATGCTGATGCTTTTTTTTTTGGAACCCTGGGCTCTCTGCTTACATATCATCTGAATTTGGATCTTTAAAAGGCATGTCTATTTACCATGTCCAAAACTACTAATCTCCCCCACAAATCTGTTGCTCCATGTTCTTCATATCTCAGTAAAAGGATTCTGAGTCTTTTCAGTTGCTTGAGCCAAAGACTTTGGAGTCAAGGATAACTACTTGTTTCCACATCACACACTGAGTCTATCAGCAAATCCTGCTGGCTCTACCTTTAAGCATATCCATAATCCTATCATTTTTATCACCTTCACTTAGGCTACCACTGTGGTCTAAGCCAGCATCATCTTGCCTGGATTATAATAGTTACCTGTTTTATCTCCTAGCTTTTCCCTCAACCATCTGTTTTCCACACAGTGATCAGAGATTCTTCGAAACCTAAGTCAGATTATTTTACTTTTCTGCTCAAAATTCACAATGCTGTCTAGTACAACTTTCTGCAAAAATGGAAGTGCTCGGCCAGGCACAGGGTGGCTCACTCATGTAATCCCAGCACTTTGGGAGGCCAAGGTGGGTGGATCACCTGAGGTCAGGAGTTCGAGAACAGCCTGGCCAATGTGGTGAAACCCCATCTCTACTAAAAATACAAAAATTAGCCAGGCTTGGTGGCCAGTGCCTATAATCCCAGCTACTTGAGAGGCTGAGGCAGGAGAATCACTTGAACCTGGGAGGCGGAGGTTGCAGTGAGCCGAGATCACGCCACTGCACTCCGGCCTGGGTGACGAGTGAAACTCTATCTCAAAACAAACATAAAAAAAGGAAGTGCTCTAATCTGTGCTAATATGGTAGCCACTGGCCATGTGTCTGTTAAGTACTTCAGATCCGGCTAGTGCAACTGAGGCACTGAATTTTAAATTTTATTTTAATTGATTTAAATGTAAATATCCACATGAGTGGAAGCCAAGATTTATATCATGTTCTGAGGTTTACAAAGGCCAGATGAAGTGAACACCTTTTCTACTTCTCTTGACTTCATCTCCTGCTACCACTGCCGCCCTCATTTTCTTGCTCTTCTTTGAATATACCAAGCATATGCTTGCACTTGCTATTCCCTCATGCCTGGAATGTTCTTCCTCCAGGTGTTTTTTTTTTTTTTTTTTTTTTTTTGAGACGGAGTTTTGCTCTTTTTGCCCAGGCTGGAGGGCAATGGCAAGATCTCGGCTCACTGCATCCTCTACCTCCCGGGTTCAAGTGATTCTCTTGCCCCAGCCTCCTGAGTAGCTGAGATTACAGGCGCGTGCCACCACGCCCCGCTAATTTTTGTATTTTTAGTAGAGACGCGGTTTTGCCATTTTGGCCAAGCTGATCTCGAACTCCTGACCTCAGGTGATCCACCTGCCGCAGCCTCCCAAAGTGCTGGGATTACAGGCATGAGCTACCACGCCTGGCCTCCTTCTTTTCATTTTAGGGGATGAGAGTTCGAAGCTAACAGATAATAAAACTTATAAATTATCTACAAACCAAGAATCTGAATTGTTGAAATTTTCACTTTACAAGAGAAGATCTAGTTAGGTTTATATGATAATCTTGAACTGCTACAAAACAGATGCTGTGGGCTGGGCATGGTGGCTCATGCTTGTAATCCCAGCACTTTGAGAGGCTGAGGTGGGAGGATCGCTTTAGCCCAGGAGTTTGCCACCAGCGTGGGCAGCGTAGTGAGACCCTATCCTTACAAAAAATTAAAAAATTAGCTGGGTGTGGTGGTGCCCACCTGTAGTCCCAGCTACTCTGGAGGCTGAGATGGCAGGATTTCTTGAGCCCCAGATTTTGAGGCTGCAGTGAGCCATGATCATGCCACTGTACTCCAGCCTGGGCAACAGAGTGAGACCCTGTCTGAAAACAAACAAACAAACAAACCGCCCCCCTCAAAAAACCAACTCAATACACCAGAACCAAAAACCAAAAAAAACCCCCAGAAGTTGGGTACTGTGGCTCATGCTTGTAATCCCAGCACTTTGGGAGGTTAAGTTGGGCAGATTGCTTGAGCCCAGGAGTTCGAGACCAGCCTGGGCAACATAGCGAGACCCTGTTTCTATGAAAAATATAAAAATTTAGCCAGGCATGGTGGCATGCACCTATGGTCCCAGCTGCTAAGGAGGTTGAGTGGGAGGATGGCTTGAAGCCTGGGAGGTGGAAGTTGCTGTGAGGCAAGATCATGCCACTGCACTCCAGCCTGGGCGACAGAGCAAGACCCTGCCTCAAAACAAAACAAAATAAAACAAAAACACCACAAAAACCAACCAAACAAAAAATTGTTGCTGTGGGAATATTTGATGGGTTTAATACTTGTTAATATCCAGTAGAGATAATTAAGGCTGATCCTTGATTCCCTTTCCCTAGCATTTTATTGTGGTTCATTTAGGTGTTCTCAATGTTGAGTGAACTTTTCAAAAATACTCTTCCTTCTCTATAACCCAAAGAGTATATTCTTCAAAGCTACCTTCTACATGACTCCCTCACCCAAAAATTCATCTTTGTTTCTAGCAGCCTACGCTACTCATTTCTTTGAGCCCACCTTTGAATTTAGGACTTGTAAAATTATAAACATTTATAAATGTTTGATCTCTATGTCCATGGAACAGCTTTAAAAATCTTCTTTAATCTCTGAGATGAGGCAGTCAAGAATAAGGCATCTTCGATTACAGAATCTCTTTGAAGTTTTCTTTCTATTTCAGGTTTTCCCTCTAGCACTCCTACGTTCGGTAGCTCTAAGGTGGATTTTTTTAATTAATCTTTTTCCTTTTTGCTTAGGTATCCTTGGCAGTCTTTCAAAAGTTAAGAGGCAACATTAGTAAAATTATACTTTCAAACTTTATCATTTTCGAACTCTGTTTCTCTAGTAAGTTAATGAGCTAGAGACCTCCTTTTAAAATAATCTCATCTATTTTACATTTTAATGCTGTTTCTGTTGTAGATATTACAGTCCTAAAAATGTGTTATTTTCTTAGAGTAGACTGGAAAGCTCAAATTAATCAATATGTCTCCAGCCTAGCTACCATCCATTTCTGTTTTATAGGATTATATACTTGTTTATTTTATAAAATGGAAAGTTTGAAATCTTATAATATTTTCATTTATGGTTTTATGTGAATCAAACAGTCTTGGTTCAGGTGATTTAAAAATATCACTACAAAAAGGAGATATCTTGCTTATTTTTCATTCATGTAGTCCTGTGTGAAATTATTGGTGGTCTTTCTGTCTCCGTGAACATCTGCAGCCACACAGAGAAATTTTATTTGCCTTTTGTTATCAGATTCACATATTATGAATGTTGAGGCTAGATATCATTGATATCATTGATTAGAACCATTAAAATACTAAAGATACTAGTAAAGAAAAAGATACTAATGACAAAAAAATACTAATCTTGCATATTAATCTTGTTTTTACTTCAGTGTTAGTAAAAACACTAGTAAAAAGCAGTTAGTTACTTCCTTTTTATTTTGTATTTGACATTACACACACATGTTCTGCACGTTCTGAGAAGAAAGTGTCAGATTGCTTCCTGTTTGAGTTTAGATGCAATCGCTAGTCTTGCTGAAAGCCAATGAAATTGAAAGGCTTAGCTTTGTAAGTAGAATTTCTGTTTCTTTAACTCTATAGTTGATAATATTGTTTCTCAAGTTTCCTTTGGTAGGTATTCTCAGGGAACGTTCCAGGATCTTGTAATACTTCTTGTTTGATTAGAAAATGATTCATTACGTGCCTTTCAGCTCTTTAGGAAAGTGGACGGCCTTCACATCAGTGGGATTGAATTCAGAAAAAGAACATACTACTAAAAGTACTTTTGTAATTATTTTATTAGTTTTTCTCATATTATTAGTTTTTCTCATATTTCAGTGAAATTTCTTATATTATTAGTTTTTCTCATATTCAGTGAAGTGCTAAAAATGATGTCCAAATTTATGTTTAAAGTTTCACAGAGTTATACACTGACTTTAAAATTGCATTGCTTTATTTTAAGGATTAGAGAAATGGTAGTGCACGGGTTAAGAATTTGGGTGATGGCACCAGGCTGTGTAAGTCCAAGAGCCACTTTGCTTGCCATGTGACTTTGAGAAAGCTGTTCCATCTCTTTGTCCCCAGTTTTCTCATTTATAAAATGAGGATAATAGTGCTTATTCCATATGACAGTTATAAGTAGTAAATGAATTTAAATGAAAATATTTAAGGTACTTAAAAGTGCTCATATAAGTAGTAGGCTGCTTATTGTATTGTACTAATATTAATGAAGTATTAACAGTTGTTAATACTGTGTTTTAATTCTTGCTCTTTCATTTGATAGTCATATGACTGTCCCCAGGTTACTTTACTTTCAGTCTCATTTTTCATCTTTAAAAACAAGATTATATTATGTTGTATCTAATAAGGCCATCATGATGATTCTAGACTAGATATGCAAATTACCTACTATGCACAGAGTAAGGGCACCATAATTTTATTTTTTTGTTTTTATTTTTTATTTATTTTATTATACTTTAAGTTCTGGGATACATGTGCAGAATGTGCAGGTTTGTTCAAAACATAGGTATACACGTGCCACGGTGGTTTGCTGCACCCATCAACCCATCATCTACATTAGGTATTTCTCCTAATGCTATCCCTCTCCTAGCCCCCCACTCCCCAACAGCCCCCGGTGTGTGATGTTCCCCTCCCTGTGTCCATGTGTTCTCATTGTTCAACTCCCACTTATGAGTGAGAACATGCAGTGTTTGGTTTTCTGTTCGTGTGTTAGTTTGCTGAGAATGATGGTTTCCAGCTTCATCCATGTCCCTGCAAAGGACATGAACTCATCCTTTTTATGGCTGTATAGTATTCCATGGTGTATATGTGCCACATTTTCTTTATCCAATCTATCATTGATGGGCATTTGGGTTGGTTCCTAGTTTTTGCTATTGTGAAAAGTGCTGCAATAAACATACATGTGCATCTGTCTTTATTGTAGAATGATTTATAATCCTTTGGGTGTATACCGAGTAATGGGGTTGCTGGGTCAAATGGTATTTCTGGTTCTAGATCCTTGAGGAATTGCCACACTGTCCTCCACAATGGTTGAACTAATTTACACTCCCATCAACAGTGTAAAAGCGTTCCTATTTCTCGACATCCTCTCTGGCATCTGTTGTTTCCTGACTTTTTAATGATCGCCATTCTAACTGGCATGAGATGGTATCTCATTGTGGTTTTGATTTGCATTTCTCCAATGACCAGTGATGATGAGCTTTTTTTCATATGTTTGTTGACCACATAAATGTCTTCTTTTGAGAAGTGTCCGTTCATATTCTTCGCCCACTTTTTGATGGGGTTATTTTTTTCTTGTATATTTGTTTAAGTTCTTTGTAGATTCTGGATATTAGCCCTTTGTTAAATGGATAGATTGCAAAAATTTTCTCCCATTCTGTAGGTTGCCTGTTCACTCTGATGATAGTTTCTTTTGCTGTGCAGAAGCTCTTTAGTTTAATTAGATCCCATTTGTCTATTTTGGCTTTTGTTGTCATTGCTTTTGGTGTTTTAGTCATGAAGTCTTTGCCCATTCCTGTGTCCTGAATGGTATTGCCTAGGTTTTATTCTAGGGTTTTTATGATTTTAGGTCTTACGTTTAAGTCTTTAATCCATCTTGAGTTAATTTTTCTATAAGGTGTAAGGAAGGGGTCCAGTTTCTGTTAGGGGTCCAGTTTCAGTTTTTTGCATATGGCTAACTAGTTTTCCCGACACCATTTATTAAATAGGGAATCCTTTCCCCATTTCTTGTTTTTGTGAGCTTTGTCAAAGATCAGATGGTTGTAGATGTGTGGCATTATTTCTGAGGCCTCTATTCTGTTCCGTTGGTCTATATATCTGTTTTGGTACCAGTACCATGCTGTTTTGGTTACCGTAGCCTTGTAGTATTGTTTGAAGTCAGGTAGCCTGATGCCTCCAGCTTTGTTCTTCTGCTTAGGTTTGTCTTGGCTATACGGGCTCTTTTTTGGTTCCAGATGAAATTTAAAGTAGTTTTTTCTAATTGTGTGAAGAAAGTCAATGGTAGCTTGATGGAGATAGCATTGAATCTATAAATTACTTTGGATAGTATGGCCATTTTCATGATATTGATTCTTCCTATCCATGAGCATGGAATGTTTTTGCATTTGTTTGTGTCCTCTCTTATTTCCTTGAGCAGCGGTTTGTAGTTCTCCTTGAAGAGGTCCTTTACATCCCTTGTAAGTTGGATTCCTAGGTATTTTATTCTCCTTGTAGCAATTGTGAATGGGAGTTCACTCCTGATTTGGCTTTCTGTTTGTCTGTTATTGGTGTATAGGAATGCTTATGATTTTTGCACATTGATTTTGTATCCTGAGACTTTGCTGAAGTTGCTTATCAGATTAAGAAGTTTTTGGGTTTTCTGAATATACAATCATGTCATCTGCAAACAGAGGTAATTTGACTTCCTCTCTTCCTATTCGAATACCCTTTATTTCTTTCTCTTGGCTGATTGCCCTGGCCAGAACTTCTAATACTATGTTACTATGTTGAATAGGAGTGGTGAGAGAGGGCATCCTTGTCTTGTGTGGTTTTTCAAAGGGAATGCTTCCAGCTTTTTTTTTTTTTTTTTTGAGACAGAGTCTCACCCTGTTGCCCAGGCTGGAGTGCAATGGTGCAATTTCGGCCCACTGCAACCTTCACCTCCTGGGTTCAAGCGATTCTCCTGCCTCAGCCTCCCACGTGGCTGGGATCACAGGCATGTGCCACCATGCCTGGCTAATTTTTTGTATCCTTAGTAGAGATGGGGATTCACCATGTTGGATGGGCTGTCTAGAACTCCTGACCGTGTGATCCACCCGCCTCGGCTTCCCAAAGTGCTGGGATTACAGGTGTGAGCCGCTGTGTTTGGCCTCAGCTTTTGCCCATTCAGTTTGGTATTGGCTATGGATTTGTCATAAGTAGCTCTTATTATTTTGAGATAGGTTCCATCAATACCTAGTTTATTGAGAGTTTTTAGCATGAAGGGGTGTTGAATTTTATCGAAGGCCTTTTCTGCATCTATTGAGATAATCATGTGTTTTTTGTCATTGGTTCTGTTTATGTGATGGATTACATCTATTGATTTGCGTATGTTGAACCAGCCTTGCATCCCAGGGATGAAGCCGACTTGATCGTGGTGGATAAGCTTTTTGATGTGCTGCTGGTTTTGGTTTGCCAGTATTTTATTGAGGATTTTTGCATCAATGTTCATCAGGGATATTGGTCTGAAATTTTCTTTTTTTGTTGTGTCTCTGCCAGGTTTTGGTATCAGGATGATGCTGGCCTCATAAAATGAGTTAGGGAGGAGTCCTTCTTTTTCTGTTGTTTGGAATAGTTTCAGAAGGAATGGTACCAGCTCCTCTTTGTACCTCCAGTAGAATTCGGCTGTGAATCCATGTGGTCCTGGGCTTTGTTTTGGTTGGTAGGCTATTAATTACTGCCTCAATTTCAGAACTTGTTATTGCTGTGCTCAGGGATTTGACTTCTTTCTGGTTTAGTCTTGGGAGGGTGTATGTGTCCAGGAATATATCCATTTCTTCTACAGTTTCTAGTTTATTTGCTTAGAGATATTTATAGTATTCTCTGATGATAGTTTGTATTTCTGGGGGATCAGTGGTGATCTCCCCTTTATCATTTTTTATTGCGTCTATTCGATTCTTCTCTCTTTTCTTCTTTATTAGTTTGGCTGGTGGTCTATTTCATTAATCTTTAAAAAAAAAAAAAGAAACCCAGCTCCTGGATTCATTGATTTTTTGAAAGGTTATTTGTCTCTCTATCTCCTTCACTTCTGCTCTGATCTTAGTTATTTCTTGTCTTCTGCTAGCTTTTGAATTTGTTTGCTCTTGCTTCTCTAGTTCTTTTAATTGTGATGTTAGGGTGTCAATTTTAGATCTTTCCCACTTTCTGCTGTGGGCATTTAGTGCTATAAATTTCCCTCCAAACACTGCTTTATCTGTGTCTTAGAGATTCTGGTACGTTGTGTCTTTGTTCTCATTGGTTTCAAAGAACTTATTCATTTCTGCCTTAATTTTGTTATTTACCCAGAGTCATTCAGGAGCAGGTTGTTCAGTTTCCACGTAGTTGTGTGGTTTTGAGTGAGTTTCTTAATCCTGAGTTCTAATTTGATTGCACTGTGGTCTGAGAGACTGTTTGTTATGATTTCTGTTCTTTTGCATTTGCTGAGGAGTGTTTTACTTCCAATTATGTGGTCAGTTTTAGAGTAAGTGTGATGTGGTGCTGAGAAGAATGTATATTCTGTTGATTTGGGGTGGAGAGTTCTGTAGATGTCTATTAGGTCTGCTTGTTCCAGAGCTGAGTTCAAGTCCTGAATATCCTTGTTAATTTTCTGTCTTGTTGATCTGTCTAATGTTGACAGTGGGGTGTTAAAGTCTCCCACTATTATTGTGTGAGAGTGTAAATCTCTTTATAGGTCTCTAAGAACTTGTTCTGTGAATCGGGGCGCTCCTGTATTGGGTGTGTATACATCTAGGTTAGTTAGCTCTTCTTGTTGCGTTGATCCCTTTACCATTATGTAATGCCCTTTTCTCTGTGTCTTTTGATCTTTGTTGGTTTAAAGTCTGGTTCATCAGAGACTAGGATTGCAACCTCTGCTTTTTTTTTGCTTCCTATTTGCTTGGTAAATATTCCTCCATCCCTTTATTTTGAGCCTATGTGTGTCTTTGCATGTGAGATGGGTCTCCTGAATACAGCATGCCGACGGGTCTTGACTCTTTATCCAATTTGCCAGTCCGTGTCTTTTAGTTGGGGCATTTAGCCCATTTACATTTATGGTTAGCGTTGTTATATGTGAATTTGATCCTGTCATTATGATGCTAGCTGGTTATTTTGCCCATTAGTTGATGCAATTTCTTCATAGCATTGATGGTCTTTACAATTTGGTATGTTTTTGCAGTGGCTGGTACTGGTTTTTCCATTCCATATTTAGTGCTTCATTCAGGAACTCTAGTAAGGCAGGCCTGGAATCTCTCAGCATTTGCTTGTTTGTAAAGGATTTTATTTCTCCTTCACTTATGAAGCTTAGTTTGGCTGGATATGAAATTCTGGGTTGAAAATTCTTTTCTTTAAGAATGTTGAATATTGGCCGCCACTCTCTGCTGACTTGTATGGTTTCTGCAAAGAAATCCACTGTTAGTCTGATGGGCTTCCCTTTGTGGGTAACCTGACCTTTCTCTCTGGCTGCCCTTAACGTTTTTTTCTTGATTTCAACCTTTGTGAATCTGACGATTATGTGTCTTGGGGATGCTCTTCTCCAGGAGTATCTTTGTGGTGTTCTCTGTATTTCCTAAATTTGAATGTTGGCATGTCTTCTAGGTTGGGGAAGTTCTCCTGGATAGTATCCTGCAGAGTGTTTTCCAACTTGGTTCCATTCTCCCCATCACTTTCAGGTACACCAATCAAACGTAGGTTTGGTCTTTTCACATAGTCCCATAGTTCTTGGAGGCCTTGTTCATTCCTTTTCATTCTTTTTTCTCTAATAATGGGTTATTTCATTAAGTTGATCTTTAGTCTCTTTAGTCTCTGATATCCTTTCTTCCGCTTGATCCGTTTGGCTATTGATACTTGTGAATGCTTCTTGAAATTCTCATGCTGTGTTTTTCAGCTCCATCAGGTCATTTATGTTTTTCTCTAAACTGGTTATTCTAGTTAGCAATTCCTCTCACCTTTTTTCAGGGTTCTTTGCTTCCTTGCATTGGGTTAGAACATGCTCCTTTAGCTCATAGGAGTTTGTTATTACCCACCTTCTGAAGCCTACTTCTGTCAGTTCGTCACACTCATTCTCTGTCCAGTTTTGTTCCCTTGCTGGCGAGGAGTTGTGATCCTTTGGAGAAGAGGCATTCTGGTTTTTGGAATTTTCAGCCTTTTTGCGCTGGTTTTTCCTCATCTTCGTGGATTCATCTACCTTTGGTCTTTGATGTTGTTCACCTTCGGATGGGGTCTCTGAGTGGACGTCCTTTTTGTTGATGTTGATGCTATTCCTTTCTGTTTGTTAATTTTCCTTCTAACAGTCAGGACCCTCTGCTGCAGGGCTGGTGGAGTTTGCTGGAGGTCCACTCCAGACCCTGTTTACCTGGGTATGACCAGCAGAGGCTGCCGAACAGCAAAGATTGCTGCCTGTTACTTCCTCTGGAAACTTCGTCTGCCAGATGCCAGCCGGAGCTCTCCTGTATGAGGTGTCTGTCAACCCCTTCTGGGAGGTGTCTCCAAGCCAGGAGGCACGAGGATCAGGGACCCACTTGAGGAGGCAGTCCTGTCCCTTAGCAGAATTTGAGCACTGTTCTGGGAGATCTGCTGCCCTCTTCAGAGCCGGCAGGCAGGAATGTTTAAGTCTGCTGAAGCTGTGCCCACAGCTGCCCCTTCCCCCAGGTGCTCTGTCCCAGGGAGATGGGAGTTTTATCTATAAGCCTCTGACTGGGGCTGTTGACTTTCTTTCAGAGATGCCCTCCCCAGCGAGGAGGAATCTAGAGAGGCAGTCTGGCTACAGCGGCTTTGCCGAGCTGTGGTGGGCTCTGCCCAGTTCAAACTTCCTGGCAGTTTTGTTTACACTGTGAGGGGAAAACCGCCTACTCAAGCCTCAGTAATGGTGGACATCCCTCCCCACACCAAGCTTGAGTGTCCCAGGTCAACTTCAGACTGCTGTGCTGGCAGTGCGAATTTCAAGCCAGTAGATCTTAGCTTGCTGGGCTCTGTGGGAGTGGGATCTGCTGAGCTAGACTACTTGGCTCCCTGGCTTCAGCCCCCTTTCCAGGAGAGTGAATGGTTCTTTCTCGCTTGCATTCTAGGCGCCACTAGGGTATGTAGAAAAACTCCTGCAGCTAGCTCAGTGTCTGAATGGCTGCCCAGTTTTGTGGTTGAAACCCAGGGCCCTGGTGGTGTAGGCACCCGAGGGATTGTGAAGACCATGGGAAAAGTGTAGTATCTGGGCTGAAGTGCACTGTTCCTCTAGGCACAGTCCCTCACGGCTTCCCTTGGCTAGGGGAGGGAGTTCCTCGATGCCTTGTGCTTCCCAGGTGAGGCAACGCCCCGCCCTGCTTCGGCTTGCCCCCCATGGGCTGCCCCCACTGTCTAACCAGGCCCGTTGAGATGAGCCTGGCACCTCAGTTGGAAACGCAGAAATCACCCGCCTTCTGTGTTGATCTGGCTGGGAGCTGCAGACCAGAGCTGTTCCTATTTGGCCATCTTGCCAGCCACCCCTTTATTTTTATTTTTTATTTATTTTTATTTTTATTTTTTCAGACGGAGTCTCGCTTTGTCGCCCAGGCTGGAGTGCAGTGGTGTGATCTCAACTCACTGCAACCTCTGCCTCCTGAGTTCATGCCATTCTCCTGCCTCAGCCTCCCGAGTAGCTGGGACTACAGGCGCCTGCCACCACGCCTTGCTAATTTTTTGTATTTTTGGTAGAGACGGGGTTTCACCGTGTTAGCCATATTGGTCTTGATCTCCTGATCTCACGATCCGCCCACCTCAGCCTCCCAAAGTGCTGGGATTACAGGCATGAGCCACCATTTTTTATTTTTTTGAGGCAGAGTCTCACTCTTTGAACCAGGCTGGAGTGCAGTGGCATAATATTGGCTCACTGCAACCTCTGCCTCACAGGTTCAAGTGATTCTCATGCCTCAGCTTCCTGAATAGCTGGGATTACAGGTGTGCACCACCATGCCCGGCCAGTTTTTGTATTTTCAGTAGAGACAGGGTTTCACTATGTTGGCCAGGCTGGTCTCAAACTCCTGGCCTCAAGCAATCCACCTGCCTCGGCCTCCCAAAGTGCTGGGATTACAGGCGTGAGCCATCACACACAGCCCCATAATTTTATTAATAGTAGTTGTAGTTCAGTTTTTATAATTTTCTCTCCTGAAAACCCTGCCGGATACCCATTTTCCTTTTTGTTTAATCTATTGTAATATTTAACTGTATCCTGCTAAATTGATATCTAGAGAGTTTCTAAAAGGAGGAACTCTTGGGATTCAGGGCTTTAGACACGATTGAAATAAATGTCTTTCTTAATTGCAGACCGTGAGAGAAACGTGGTGGTGATCATTAAGTTTCCACTACTGAGTGTTAAAAAAGGATGTGAGTGCTGAGCCAACATTTTCTCTCTCTTTTATCTCCTGTTATTCCCTCCTCTCTGTCCATTAATATCTGTTGTGAGGTGGTTATGGCAGCTGGAGTTATAGTGCGGACATGATAGTGCTGTAATAGGAACTGCAGTCCTTTCATTTTATAGTGATGGCATGGGAGCCACGGAAAGCTGTAAAGCATTGGAGGGTTACAAGAGTTCCAGAAGTACTGTAAGAAACCTGAAGTTGCATTTCCTTACATTCTTATATTTGTGATGGTTATAGTTAGAAAAATCACTGGAATAATTTGGAGTCTAGGGAAAGCTTTGGTGTGGGCTAGTTTTGTATGAATATTTACTTTTGTTAATATTACATACCAATTTTTGTTTCTAAATGGAAACCTTAGCTTACTGAGCTTCACATTGATTTTGAGGACTGTGTAGTGGTGATTGAAAAATAGGTTACAGCCATTTTGGAAGAGAGAATACACTGGACTTTTACATGAAGTATGGCATACGATACATATCTGACACATCTTGCTAAAAAGCAAGTCCTTAATGACATGACCTCCCATCTTGAGCATAGACACATGTTTTAAATTCATAAATGATGGCCTATTGAGAGATATCTATTGTGTTCATTAAAATATACATATGAAACGAGGATCAAATTAAACATTTCAAGTAGCTAATTTTATCAGCTCTTAATAATTAATTAGTTTTTAGCATTTAGAATGAAGGTAATTAAAATAGATTTACTACATGCTATAAGATTTCTGCCTCTGGAAGATGAAAGGGGACATTTATTTTTCATATGCTTAAACATTGGCGTTTTTGCTTTTGTTCTATGGGGATTTTGTATGTAACAAAAAAACTTACTGAGTTATTTTATTATGAAATTTTAATTATAAAATATCTTTAATGCTTTTTAGTCGGCCTAAATTTAATTGTAGTTTGTTGGAATGTTACAATTTTATTTTAAATTTCTAAAGTTAATATAAAAGTCTTTTCTGCTACTGTGGTGTATTGTTATATCATTTTATTTATATTTTTATAATTTGATTTTTAAAGTGGGTCATATCTTTACATAGTTCAAAATACCCAAAATATAAAGGCAAAAGTTTTTTTCCTGTCTGGATTCCTTATTTGCTTGGTTCTCCTATAATCTCCAGGTAAAAACATTAGTTTCTTGCATATCCTTCCAGAGTTTATACAAATGCAAGTAGATATACGTACATATTATAAGTTTTTTCTTTTATCACATTTTAAAAAGTATAAATCCAGAGATATTAAGTAATAGATAATAAGTGTTAGATGTCAGATAATAACTTGTAAAGAATAAAGTTGCATTATTGTTATACTTGGAAATAAAATAATTTAATTACATGTCTCTCTCCAGTTATTTCAGGTTGAGTGTACGTTTGCTTCGTCTTCAAAGTAGAAAGTTCCTGGAGAAGACCTACTCTTTCTGGAACTGTTTTTGTTTGACCCATGCTATGCAAACTTACTCATTCATGCAAACACTGGGTGCTTTATGCAAATATTACCACCTGTATTTTTTATTTGTGTTTCTCAAAGGAGTTTTGGCAAAATTTGCATAATGACTTGGCTCATTTAGCTTTGTGTATTGTTAAGAGTTCAAATTCTGTGGATATGAAAGTTTACAGTGTATACCAAATAAAAAGGTCGTGTGGTAGGCAGTGTTCTCAGGATAAGCCTGTGTTAGGTATTCAAATCTAATTTGCATATTGGATCTAGACCTATGACTATTAACTCCATTTACAGTTGATAAAAATTTGCATAAAATTGGTCATCTTGATAGCTTAAGGTATACTGAGCAAAATGTTAACTCCTTGGGTAGCATGTGTGACTGTATGATTGTCAAGATGAAAGTTAATCTAAGCACATTTGGTTTACTGATAATCATTTCTAGAAATGAGCTGTAGTATCATGTCAGAATGTCAGAAACATGTCTGACAATTTACCTTTTCATACTAGAAATGGTGGATGACATGTTTCAAATCCTGGCAGCTGTGCTGTATCAAATCCTCCCTATGTGAATATCATGCTTGGTACTTAGATAGTTTAGGAGCAGTACTGTGGCTTGTGATTTGTTGTATAATTCTGAAAGAAAATATATTAATTTTGTGCACTTTATATTGGCTCTTGCTTTATTGTAGCCTTTATCCATTAATCTGCTACTGATGGATAATTTCTCAATCATTTGGTCCTTTTTGTAATGGCTATGTGGAGTTGGCAATTCTTTTTATTAAATATTGCATGACTGTATATGTGTTAATAATTTATTGGGGTAGTGAGCTGATATAAATCTCTTTTTAGATGAAGTTTTTGGCTATTTACAAAGGTTGATTACTTTTTAGAACAGTGATTGCCTCAGATTTGCAAAGGTTGAGGAAAAGCACACCTCTTATTTTACCTTTTTCCATTTGTGGTTAAACCTATTGTAAATATATTGGAAGGGTTTTAGGCCCTTGAAGACGCCTCTGTATTTGAACAGTTTGATTCTGTCAATTTCATTTAAATCATTATTTTTTGTAAGACCTCAGGATAAATACCACTTTTGAGGTAGTGACTGAACAAACATGAGTTCTTGAATAGTTTCTATTAAAATGTTTTTTTTAATCCTATGAGTGGTCTCTGTGCCTTTTAAAATAAGATTTTAAATAAGATGATAATTAATACTCAAGATATGATACTTTTATTTATAGTGATTTGGTTGCCTTGATCATATTTAATGATGATTTAAAAAACCTGGATGGAGAGAGAGATATATATGTATACATATATATATATATATACACACACACACATGAATGATAAATTATTCTGTAATATTATTTATACATTCATTGTTTCTAGCTAGCAAGCACCCTTAGTGTATTTAATGTATTAGATTTATATAATTCACTCTATGTACAATATTAGATTAGGATGAGAATTATATGAAATGAGGCATGCCACTATCAAGTCTGGCATGTTTTTGTTACCAAGTTCTGAGTGCTGAATGAGAAACAGTCATGTATTTACTCAGATTGATCCCGGATCCCCTGAGGGAATTGGCAGTTTCCTCTGGATGGCATTGCTAAATCTTCAGTTTTCTTTCTTCCTCGCTCTCTCTGTGGCCCATACTTAGGTCAGATTACTGAGAAAATCAGTGTTATTGACGAATGCCTTGTACATGATTATAAAAGTCTCAATACCTCTGAGAAAGATCAGAAACACATAATTAAATGCAAATAGGGTAACTTATTTAATTTTGAGTTAATTATAGCTTCATCCAATGTCATTGATTACTGGGGCAGCACAACTTGGTGTCCATCTAGTACAGATGATAGTGATTCTTATTTTTTCTTTTAGATATATTAATGCTTGACTTTGAGGATAACACATTTTTAATTCAGAACTAGTGTTTAAGTTTTTTGTTGTTAAGTTTTAACAAAAGTTTTTCTTGTGGGCATGGGAATGGTAAGTAGTGATTAAAGTTTTGAATTTAATGGATATAAGGAAGAAAAATAAACTGAGAATTGACTTACATTTTTTCTTGGAGAGGAGGGGATTCAGCACTCTCAGAGCCTCTCCTCTGTTAGCGTGCTGGTAGTTGATGAGGATGAAGTTGATGAGATGAGCAAGAATCTGGAAGGACCAAGCATAGGTATACTAATTACACAGAACTTTAAAAATCCGTGTATGATTATTTCATTGCATTGTAGAATTGCAGATGAGAAAAGAATTTGCAATATTTAACTCAAATTTGTTTTATAGCTAAAATAACCGAGGCCCGCAGAGATTGGGAGATGTGTGTGAAGCCATTGAATGAGTTACTGGCAGCCTAGAATCCAGATCATATTTATTCAACCTAATGCCTTCTTCTGCATTATTCTCTTTCCATGTTTATTTGTTATACATACAGTAGTTGTTATTGGCTTGCTAGATGGTTATGTATGATTGAGAAAGGAGGTAGGAAGACCTAATGAAAAGTTTATTTCACGATTCTGCTGAAGACTTGGTCTGCTGACAGTTAATAATAGTAGCTAATATAACATTGAGAACTTGCTGTGTAAGGGACACTGTGCAAAGAGCTTCATGGGTACTTACATGTAATCTCCACAGAGTTCTCTGAGGTAGATAGCAGTATTATAATACTATTTTGTAGATGCAAAAACCAAGTCTTAAATAGGTGAAGTAATTTGCTAAAGATACTTATCTACTCAGTATGGGGGCACATATTTGAACTCCTACCATATCCCATTCTGCTTCCCTTTATTTATCAGTCAGCATATAAGGGAAGGTCTTTGAACAGATCCAAAGCCCTTGTCAGCTCTCATGTCCAGTGACTACTGGAATTTAAGTTTTTTCCCTCTTTTTCTAAGAAAATTTTTCTTTTCATTATAATATGAAAATCAGCTAATTGAATCTCACCCCAGATTTCAAGGGATTGGACTCCTTCATGTCAAGTTTATTCTGGATAGTCTCTCAGCCCTTAGGGAGGAATGGGGTTAGCTTGCTATTATTGCTTGCTATTATTTGGTCCTCAGGATTTTAGGCTTTTACGTCGTGGTTAGTGGTTTATCAACCATCCTGAAAATGGCATAATTATAGTCTTTTGAGGATTGATGGTAGATGAACAGGTTACCTGATTTACCTTTCCTTGGGAAGTTGGAACACTTGCCTACCTCTTGCCTTTCCATATTTTCTTCTTTCTCCATGATTCCTCAGAGGTTACTTACTTACTGATTCAGCAGCCTCACTTGGTTGTTCTTTGATTCCCTGGGATATCAGTTTTCTGGGCTGGGTTTGGAGCAGTGAGGCATTCTTTATTCTTCTTACCCACTGTGGCCTCTAATTCCTTTTAACCATATTCATTGTATGCTTTTCTCATCTGAAGAAGATGGTCACATCCAGTTTCTCAGTGTGAGGATGAAAAACTCACTGGTAATTTTTGTTTTGGGTCTCCTTATTGATTAGGACTCTAGTCCTGTCATACTGATTAAATCTCAGAAGGGTATAGATGTAGGGAGTGGAATCTGCTTGTTCCCACTGAGTTCGGAAACAAGGAGGATACTGTGAGCAAAGGTTTATTCAGTGATTTTTCTTCCTCTTCTACTTTTTCTTTTTCTGTGTATTATTTGGTTCTGGCAAGTACCAATAAAAGAATCACCGTGCAGACCTCTAGGATTTTAGAGCAAATTTGTGCCCTCTCTGCTGATAATGATTCTTCTTTTGAGAAACAGTTCCTGGCTTTTGACTTTGCTAGAGACTGAACACCTACTCATGAGATCTCAGGTGACCATGTGGCTGAGTTTCCCATCATGAATTGGCTGTTGTCTGACCTGTTTAGCCATAGGTTGGGAACAAGCAGCAGCTATCTGTTATTAAGTGAAAATGGTATATAAGAGACCAAGGTTGGGCAGGTCCAGATAATATAAGTAAGTTAAACGAGCTGGTGGCTCAGACTCCTTTGATACCAACTTCTGTTCCATTGCTTCCACTCCTTCACTCCATGTGTATGGTCTCCTGGGATGTTCCTTATGGACCATTTGAGTGAAGAAGAAAATTTGAGCCTAGTTTATAAGTGGGTCTGGATGATATGCAAGTGTTACTCAGAAGCAGACACGGAAACACTAAAGCCCCACAAAAGACTCACCATGAAGGACAATGGTGAAGGAAGATCTTCCCAGTGGACAGAACTTCTGTGCATTATATTTTGTTGCCTACTATGTCTGCAGTAGGAGATGGCCAGGGACAAAGATCTACATTGATTAATGGGCAGTTGCTAAATTTTTTTTTTTTTTTTTTTTTTTTTTGAGACGGAGTCTAGCTTAGTCACCCAGGCTGGAGTGCAGTGGTGTGATACCGGCTCACTGCAACCTCCACCTCCCGGGTTCAAGCGATTCTCCAGCCTCAGCCTCCCAGATAGCTGGGATTACAGGCGCTTGCCACCACGCCCGGCTAATTTTTGTATAGTTGCTAATGTTTTATCTTGGTGGTCAGAGACCTGGAACAAACAGGATGTGAAGACTGGTGACAAGGAAGTCTAGGGAAGAGGTGTGTGGATAGACCTCTCTGAATGTCCACAAACTGTGAAAATTGAGTGCCATGTGAATGCCTGTTAAAGGGCATCTACTGCAAAGGATACTTGCTAGTGAGCTGGACAGAACAACGTGCTGTGTGCATGTCAGTCAGCCTTTTATTCACCCACATTAGGGCTTGCTCAGTGGACCCATGAAAAGGTGGCTATATTGGCAGGGTTGGGAGCTCTTCATGGGTTCAACAATAAGGTCTTTCCCTTTACAAGACTGATTGGCTACTGTTATTGCTGAGTGCCTAATCAGCCAACTGCAGAGTCCAACATTGAGTCCCTGATATGGCACCATTCACTGAGGAACCAGCCAGCCATCTGCTAGTGGTTGATTATATTGGACCTCTTCCATCATGGAGGGGGCAAAGATATATTCTCACAGGGCTAGTAGCATATTCTGCATATGGATTTGCTTTCTCTACCTATAATGCTTCTGCCAGCACCACCATCTGTAGACTCACATAAAACTTTATTCACTGTTAGGGCATTCTGCATTGTATTGCTTCTGATCAAGAATTCCTTCTCTAGCAAAGAAGGTGCGGCTATGGGCTCGTGCTCTTGGAATTAACTGGTCTTGCCCCATACCCCGTGATCTGAAAGTGGCTAGCCTAATTGAAAGGTAGAATGGCTTACTGAATACTCCTAATGCTAATTGAAAGGCAGTACCATGAAAGGATGGGGTTCTGTTTTACAAGATGTAGTATACAATTTGAATCTGTGACCAATACATGTGCTGTCTCTTTGACTCTGGGATTCAAGGGGTAAGTGAGAGTAGCTTTGCTCATTGTTACACCTAGTAACTCACTTGCAGATCTTTTATTTCCTTTCTTGGAAATACTGAGCTTTGCTGAGCTCTGGTTTGGAGACCTTGGACTTCAAGGGGATAGTGTTTCCACTAGAGGATACAACAGTGGTTCTATGAGATTGGAAGATGGGGCTGCTTCTTGGCCATTTTGCAGTCCTTACACTACTGAGCAAATACTCAGAAAGAGGAGCTAATTTAGTCACTGGAGTAATTGATACTGATAACCAAGGGGAAATTGGGGATTTGATACACTGCAGTCAAAGAGACAATATCTGAAATTCAGGGGATTCTCTGGGCACCTCTTAGTACTTCCATCCCCAACAGTGAAGGTTAATAGAAAATAATACCAGCCAAAAAAGGGCAGGATGATTAATGGCTCAAATATTTCAAGAAGGAAGGTTTGGGTCACTCCACCAGGTAAAGAACTCAGAGCAGCTGAGGTTGTTTCATCTCTGGAGCTTTGATCTGGGTCTTCTTTTTAATATCCTCGAGTTCTATGCTTAATTTTTGGGTACACTAATAATGGTTATAATAACTTTTTAATGATTTATCTATTCTAACATCTGTGCCAATTCTGGGTCAGTTCTTATTCTCCAATTTTTCTTCTCATTATGGGATTCCTTTTTCTTATTTTTTACATGCCTGGTACTTTTTGATAAGATGCTAAACATTGTAAATTTTACCTTTTTGGTTGCTGGATATTTTTGTGTTCTTATAAATATTTTTGAGCTTTGTTCTGGATGCAGTTAAATTACTTGGAAACAGGTTGGTTCTGTTCAGCATGACTGGAGCCATGCTCAGTCAAGGGCTAATTATTCCCTGCTACTGAGGCAAGATCCTTCTGTGTGCTTTACTCAGTGCCCCATCAGTCGTGAAATTTTCATGACTGGCTGGTAAGAACAGGCATTATCCCCAGTACTGAGTCAGCTCTGGGCGCCGTTACTCCATTCTTTTGAGGTCATTCTTTCCCCAGCTTTGGTTGGTTTCCTCACATACATGCACTGGTCAATGCTCAGCTGAGTACTGTAATTACTCCTCTCAAGTACTCTGTCTTACAAACTCTAGCAAGCCTTGATTTCCTCAAATTCTTAACTCTGTCTTAGTGCAGAGTCTTCTGGACTGACTGCCTTGCACAACTGCAGCCAAGTCTGGAAACTGACAAAGCAGTAAGCTGGGGCAATTGTAGGGCCCACTTCATTTGTTTTCCGTCTCTCAGGGGTCACTGTTCTGCATTGTGTTATGTTCAATGTCTTGAAAAATTATTGTTTTATATGTTCGGCCTGTTTTTTGGTCGTTTCATGTGGAAGCTTTTAATGTTAATGTTATTTCTGAGACCATATATTTATATAACATTGAATTGGATAAGATTAAACAGAAGAAACATTATTTAGAAAGTTAAAAAAATTTTTCTGCGTGAGAGCCTGTTGTTAGTTATTTAGAATCACTTCTTAATCACAGCAAGATACTTTGTTTTATTGAAGATTTGTTTCCCTCTAGATTTTCTCCTTATTAAATAGTAGAACATAGAGAAGAGAACAGTTAAGGTCGGCCGGATTGCTTCTGCAGGTTTGTGTCCATAGAGAAGCTGAATGTGTAGAATTTCAAGAAGGTAATTGAGAAGTCCGGGAGTAGAGTTTATCTCAACACCAAAAGAATCATTTTTAAATAAATACAGGGTGAGAAAAGTGAAGAATCAAAAGAGTAGCTTTTGAAGCACAGTATTCCTAAGGTCTTGTTTTAAGGATATGTTTCTGTGTTTGTTTTTTATTGATTTGAGATCATCTTAATGCGTGTTAGAAAATTTATCAGGCTGAACGAGTTGATCCTAAAATGCTGCAGAAAAGTTGGATGTGAAATGGGAAAGAAAACTAACTTTCATGAGATGCTTCGTAAAATCTATTTCAATTCAGGGTGAAAATTGCAAAACTGTCTGCCAATGCGTTTTTGATGGACATTCTGGCTATTTGTGTGAGTCTTCTGCATTGAGGTTTTATTTATTGAGCTTCCTTTTGCTTCACTCTAGACCAGGTGGTTTACATATGTTATCTCATCTTGTCCTTCTGACAAATCCTGTGAGGTATGTGGTGTTAATCTCATTTTAAAGATGAAGATTTTCAGGCTTATAGGGTTTAGGTAGTTGACTTAAGGTCACTGGTAGTAAGCAGGGATTATGGCTGGGTCTTTGACTGCTAGGCAAGTATTAACACCTCATCACACACATGGGCTGCTTTTTCTGAAGGTAGTAGGTGGAGATTTCTTTCCTTGAGTAAAAGGGCAAAAAAGAAAGAACGTAAAGTAGTTTTTAGAAGTAGTTTCTTCTGGTCACCAAATTAACAGGAAAAGGGAAACTTGTCTAACCTAGGTGTTGTGTTTTCCCCATTATTCTGACTACAGTAATTTCTGTTGAAATAACCACAGTCATTTTGTTGAAAAGCCATACGTGTTTCTAAATAAAATAGTTACATAATTTTAAGTGCATATTTTAATTAATTACACATTCTTTTAAATTATTCATAGACTATCATAGATTTTTATATCAGTTGGCATCTGGAGTCACAATGTAAATATTAGAAAAAAGATTCAGAGGACCTTTTTCCCAAATAAAATCATGTGACCCTAAAGAACAATTTAAATAACACTATAAAAACAGAGTTATCAGGAGAGGGAGTGGTGGCTACCGATATTTACCATTTTTTCTTGGTGGGGATTTATAGGAATAGAATACAGTCAGTTCCTCTATTTATTTATTTTTGTTTGTTTGTTTAAACCCGTTGCTGTTGTGTCATTAAGAATGTAAAATAATGAGATAGCTTTTTTCTTTTTTCTTTTTTTTTTCTTTTGAACAAGTCTCACTCTTTTGCCTAGGCTGGAGTGCAGTGGTGCGATCTCAGCTCACTGCAACCTCCGCCTCCCAGGTTCAAGCAATTCTCCTGCCTCAGCCTCCTGAGTAGCTGGGACTAGAGGCATGTGCCACCACACCTGACTAATTTTTGTATTTTTAGTAGAGATGGGGTTTCACCATGTTGGCCAGGTTGGTCTTGAACTCCTGACCTCAAGTGATCCACCTGCCTTGGCCTCCCAGAGTGCTGGGATTACAGACATGAGCCACTGCACCCAGCCCAAGGTAACTCTTAATAAATACAGCAATAGCTCAGGGTACTTACATCTGAGTGTGTTCTGCTGTTCCTGAAATAAATTAACATATGCATAGTAAACTCTAAAGTTATCACCATTTGGGTACATAGAAGTTTACTGAGGAAAGAAGTTTAGTGTCTGTCATATAAACAGCATTATTATCCTTGGTAATGTCTGAAGTATACAGCCAAAGTTGAGAAAGTTTTTGAACTAATAAAAATATATTTTCATTGATTATGAGAGTGAAATTGGTACATGTGTAATTTATATATATATAAAGTACACAAGTTATCTATATATAGTTTGTATACTTAAGGAAATTGAAAATTTAAGAAATTGAAAATCTACTACTTTTTAGTACTTTTTAGGTTTCTTTCCAGTTCTAAGTGAGTGTGACTTTGTATAACTGCATTGTAGTATGTTCTCCTCTATGCAAAAATAAACAAGTAAATAAAACCCAGTGTTATATCCTTGACGAGGACACTATTTTGTTGCTGACATATGGTTAGTCATGAGTTGTATTCAGTACCATACCTTCCTCATTTAGCAGCACCATCTGTTAAAACTATGGCTGATACCAGTAGAGAGGAAGCCAATTATTTTTGAGTTTGTGAGCATGGGATAAATGCGAATATGTCTGAAGTTGCCCGCAGTCAAATCCTTTACAACTGGTGTAGTCAAACAATTGGAGGTAGTGCTACCTTGGGGAACCAGGTCAGGAAAGAACATGATAATGCTTGTTCGGCATCTTTCTCTACTCTTAGCAAGGGTGATGTGTTATAAAATTAAATAACACATAATTAAGTTATTAAAAAGATTTGCATGATATGCTTTGTTTTTAAGGCTCTCAAACTATTGGTGTTTGTGGTTTGTGACTGCAGCTGGCATAATAAGAGTTGGTAAAGGTCTTTTCACAATGAGGCAAAACCTTTACAGGAATGATTTTCTTCATAGGCTTTTTATGGATTTGGGAGAGTATTGTACTAATAAAGTTAAGCATGAAGTTATTAGACATTTATCATTGATTTCATGTCTGTGTCTTTATCTGTGTTACGAATGCTTTGGACTGCACATATGGGAATATAGCAGAATAACTGGCCTTGGAGGGACATTGGGTTTTTCAAAACAGACCTCTTATCTGTGTGTGTGCTGGCAGCAAGTATGTATTTTTCGATTTCCACCTGGACTCTTGGAGCACCTTTTTATTTTCTTCTTCTTTCTTCCTTCTTCCTTCCTTCTTCTTCCTCCTTCCTTCCTCCTCCTTCTCCTCCTTCTCCTTCTTCTCCTTCTCCTCCTCCTCCTCCCCCCTCCTCTCTCCCTCCTCCCTCTCTTTTCCCTCCTTCTCCTCCCTTCTTCTCCTTCTCCTTCTTCTTCTTCTTCTTCTTCTTCTTCTTTTTTTTTTTTGAGATGGAATCTCACTCTGTCACCCAGGCTAGAATGCAGTGGCACAGTCTCGACTCACTGCAGCCTCCGTCTCCCAGGTTCAAGTGATTCTCCTGCCTCAGCCTCCCGAGTAGCTAGGATTACAGGTGTGCACCACCACGCCCAGCTAATTTTTGTATTTTTAGTAGAGATGGGGTTTCACCATGTTGTTCAGGCTGGTCTCAAATTCCTGACTTCAAGTGATCTGCCCACCTTGGCCTCCCAAAGTTTATTATTATTATTCATCTTAATGTTCTCCTTAATATTGGGACCATATTCTGCTAAATGAAGCATGGTATATATGATTTTTCCTTTTTCTAGAGGTTTATCTTTGGAAAATTTTATTTTCTTTTAACTTTTATTTTTACTTCAGGGGTACAAGTGCAGGTTTGTTACATAGGTAAACTTGTGTCATGAGGGTTCGTTGTACAGATTACTTCATCACAGGTATTAAGCCCAGTATCCGTTAGTTATTTTTCCTGATCGTCTCCCTCCTCCTGCCCTCCATCCTCTAATAAGCCCCAGTGTGCGTTGTTCCCCTCTATGTGTCCATGTGTTCTCATCATTTAGCTCCCACTTATAAGAGAACATGCAGTATTTGGTTTTCTGTTCCTGTGTCAAGTTTGCTAAGGATAATGGCCTCCATCTCCATCCATGTCCCTGCAAAGGACATGATCTCATTCTTTTTTAGGGCTGTGTAGTATTCCATGGTGTGTATATACCACATTTTCTTTATTCAGTCTCCCATTGATGGACATTTAGGTTGATTCCGTGTCTTTGCTATTGTGAATAGTGCTACAAAGAATATACACTTGCATGTGTCTTTATAATAAAACAGTTTATATTTCCATGGATATCTGCCCAGTAATGGGATTGCTGGGTTGAATGGTATTTCTGTCTTTAGGTCTTTGAGGAATCGCCATACAGTATTCCATAGTGGCTGAACTAATTTACATTCCCACCAACATTGTATAAGCTTTTCCTTTTTCTCCCCAACCTTGCCAGCATCTGTTATTTTTTGACTTTAATAATAGCTGTTCTGACTGGTGTGGAAAACGTTTTTTTTTCTTTTTTTTTGAAGTAGTGACAACTTTGAAATTATATTTGGCTCTGTTTTTGCCCAGTCTTCCCTCTCCTCTTCCCTCATGCACAAACTTACCATAGGACCAATAACCCATATCAGGCCAGACTTTCCCTTCCCTCACTTTCCCTCCTTTTCTCTTATTTTCCTTTCTGTAAGTAAATCTTATCCAAAACAGGAAACAAACATTAATAAAATATAAAAGGCAGGGAGACAATGGCAACAAAATTCTACTTTAGGCTAGAATCTAATTCTTGAGTAATTCTTTCAGAAAAGATCTGGGTGGTAAATTCTCTGTGCTCTTGCACAACTGAACATGTTTCATACTTGTTGGAATGAGTCTAGTTTTTGAAACTTTAAAATATTTTTTAGAGACAGGATCTTGAACTTGGGCTCATGTGATCCTCCTGTCTTAGCCTCCTGAATAGCTTGGACTACAGGTGCACACCACCACGCCTGACTAGAATGGGTCTAAATGTTTAGATTCAAAGTCATTTTCCCTCACAGCTTTGAGGCATTCCTTCCTTTAGAATTTATTCTAATAGTTAAGAAATCTGGTGGCCATCTGTTTTCTTTCTCTGCAGGCATCTTTTGTTTTTCATTTTTCAAAAACTTTTAGGCCTTTATTTTTAGCCTTAGTCATCTAAATATCAGAAGGACATTCCTGGTGTGAATGTCTATTCAGCTACTTCATGCTTAGGGCTCTAGGGATTCTGTCAATCTGAGGTTTCGTGTCTTAGCCCTGGAAAGGTTTTAAGTTTGTCCTTAATTTCCATACCTTCATTTTCTTTATGTTCTCCATTTCTGGCAATCCTGTTATATGTGTCAGCTTTTGTGGACTGGTCCTTTGTGCAGTGATCCACCTGCCTCAGCCTCACAAAGTGCTGGGATTACAGATGATTTTAAAGTGATGGTGTTATTTTTCAGGAGGCTAACTCTATTATTGGTATATGATAGATGGGGAAGATTTTACCTGTGACCCAGAATGAACATGTTTGTTATGTATTTCAGTTTAAAATTAATAATGTGTGTGACCAAGACACTGGTGTTTACTATTACTGTTATGCTCTTGGATAAAGCTAAGAATATTAAAACTTGAAAAAATTAATACATAATATGTTACATATTTGTGGGTACGTGTAATATTTTGTTATGTGCATACAATGTGTAATGATTGAGTCAATATTTGGGGTGTTCATTGCCATGAATATTTATCATTTCTGTGTACTGGGAACATGTCAGGTCCTCTCTTCTAGTTGTATATTTGAAATATACAATATATTGTTGCTGTCTGTAGTCACCCTACTCGGCTATCAAACATTAGAACCTATTCTTTCTATCTAACTGTATGTTTGTACCTATTAACCAGTCTCTCGTTATCCCTCCTAGTCCTTGGCACATCCCCTTCCCACTTGCGATATCTATTATTCTATTCTCTACCTCCATGAGGTCAACATTTTTAGCCCCCACATGAGTGACAACATGCAAAATTTGTCTTTCTTTGCCTGGTTTATTTCACTTAATGTAATGATTTCCAGTTCCATTCATGTTGCTGCAAATGATATGATTTTGTTCTTTCTTTATGGCCAAATAGCATTCCATTGTATATATGTACCACATTTTCTTTATCCATTTTTCTGTGACAGACACTTAGGTTGATTTCATAGCTTTGCTATTGTGAGTAGTGCTGCAGTGAACATGGAAGTGCAGGTATCCTTTTGATAAACTGATTTTTTTTTCCTTTGGATAAATACCCGTTAGTGGGATTGCTGGATCATATGGTAGTTCTATTTGTAGTTTTTTGAGAAATCTCAATACTGTTTTCCATAATGGTTGTACTAATTTACATTACCACCAACAGTGAACAAGAGTTCCCTTTTCTCTGCATCCTTATAAGCACCTGTTATTTTTTGTCTTTTTAATAGTAGCCATTCTAACTGGGGTGAGATGATATCTCATTGTGGTTTTGCTTTACATTTCCCTGATGATTAGTGATGTTGAGCATTTTTCCATATACCTGTTGTCCATTTGTATGTTTCGTTTTGAGAAATGTCTATTCACATACTTTGCCTGTTTCTTAATTAGATTTTTTTTTTGCTGTTGAGTTCCTTATATATTCCGCTTATTAATTCTTTGTCAGAGGAATAGCTTGCTAATATTTTCTTCCTTTTTGTAGGTTGTCTCCTCACTTTGTTCCTGGTTTTCTTGCTGTGCAGAAGCTTTTTAGCTTGATGTAAAACCATTTGTCTACTTTTGGTTTTGTTGTCTGTGCTTTTGAGGTCTTAATGATAAAATCTTTGCCTAGACCAATGTCCTGGAGTGTTTTCCCTATGTAAAATCACTTTTTTGAATGGATAATTTGTTGAATGGCACAAAATTCAAAGGGAACCAAAACCCATACAGTAAGTAATAAGACTCCATCCATCTGCCGTCTGCTTCAGCTAAGTATTTGTGAAGAAACTCATTGTTGCAATTTCTACACACACACACACACACACACACACACACACACACACACACACACACACACACAAAGGGTATGGATTTATAAGAATAAATGTACACACACACACATATATATATACATACATAATGTTTTTTGCTTTCTCCTTTTACATAAAAGTTAGCATATAATACACATGATTTTCATTTAACTATTTAGGTTGTTGCAGAAGTAATTGCAGCTAATATATGATTTGGTTACCTTGTTTTATCAGTTCATCACAAAATTTCTTTCTTTTTTTTTTTTTTTTTTTTTTTTTTTTTTTTTTTTTTTTTTTGAGACGGAGTCTCGCTCTGTCACCCAGGCTAGAGTGCAGTGGCGTGATCTCAGCTCACTGCAACCTCCGCCTTCCAGGTTCAAGTGATTCTCGTGTCTTGGCCTCCCAAGTAGCTGGGATTACAAGCATGTGCCACCATACCCGGCTGATTTTTGTATTTTTAGTAGAGACAGGGTTTCACCATGTTGGCCAGGCTCGTATCAAATTCCTAGTCTCAAGTGACCTGCCCTCCTCGGCCTTCCGAAGTGCTGAGATTACATGTGTGAGCCACCATGCCTGGCTGCGACAAAGTTTCTTATTTTATTTTTTGAAGTAGTAGTATATTCCATTTTGAGGATATGGGATATTTATATACAGTAAATATTTATATATTTATATATAATATATATTATTTAGCCATTCCTTTTATTCTAGACATTTTTGTTGTTTCTTTTCTTGGCTTTTGCTAATAACAAAACTGCTACAGTGATACCCATGTCTTTGTATTTATGTATCATTTTGCATATGCATAAATATATTTTTAGACTATCTGGAAGTGTAATTACTGGGTTAAAAGTTGTGTACATTTCTAATTTTGATAGATATTACCTAATTGCCTTGTGTAGAGATTATATTAATTTATGCTCCCATCAACAACATATATGCTTGCTGGTTTCCCCAGAACCTTGCCAACATAGTTCTATGTATCATGAGTTTTTTTTGATCTTTGCCCATCTGATGAATGAAAAATGGGATCTCAGTGTCTTTTAGTTTGCATTTCTTACAAGGGTGATTTTTTGTTTCATTTTCTGTGACCTGTCTGTATCCCTTTATCATTTTTCTGTTGGGTGACGCTTACTGATTTGTAGGTACTCTCTATTTGGGAAATCAACCCTTCATGATATGATTTCCAGATTTTTCCCCCTTTGCTATATTTTTATGTTGTTTATGGTTGCTCTTGCCATGAAGAAAATAATTACTTTTTACATAGTTCACTTTATCAGTGTTTTCTTTTACTCCAAGGTGATGATGGTAATTCTCTGATTGTTTCTGCTGTTACTTTAATGGTTTCATTTTCTTACATTTAAATCTTTGAGTTACATGAAATTTATTTTGATTTATGCATCATTGATGGTTCCAGCTCTCCTTCCCCTGGATGACTAGCCATTTCTCCTGATACCATTTATTAATTTATCTTTTCTCCTTTAATTCGAATGCATCTACCAAAAGCTAACTTACTAAATGTATTTGTATTCCTTCTCTCATATTTAAGAGTTATGTTTGTTCAGTATGAAAAAGTTCAAACGTACCCACAAGTAGAGGGAATAGCTCAGCAAGACCCCCCTACTTATCACAGATTCAGTAATTAAGATTTATCTTTTTTTCCTTTTACTTATGTTTTTGCTGAAGAATTTTAAAGCAATCCCAGATAACATGTCATTTGCCTCTTAGTAGTTCTGCGTGTAGCTTTAAAAATATGGACTTTCAAAAGATAATCAAATATTTGACTTTTTTTGTTTATTATACTTTAAGTTTTAGGGTACATGTGCACATTGTGCAGGTTAGTTACATATGTATACATGTGCCATGCTGATGCGCTGCACCCACTAACTCGTCATCTAGCATTAGGTATATCTCCCAGTGCTATCCCTCCCCCCTCCCCCCACCCCACCACAGTCCCCAGAGTGTGATATTCCCCTTCCTGTGTCCATGTGATCTCATTGTTCAATTCCCACCTATGAGTGAGAATATGCGGTGTTTGGTTTTTTGTTCTTGCGATAGTTTACTGAGAATGATAATTTCCAATTTCATCCATGTCCCTACAAAGGACATGAACTCATCATTTTTTATGGCTGCATAGTATTCCATGGTGTATATGTGCCACATTTTCTTAATCCAGTCTATCATTGTTGGACATTTGGGTTGGTTCCAAGTCTTTGCTATTGTGAATAATGCCGCAATAAACATACGTGTGCATGTGTCTTTATAGCAGCATGATTTATAGTCCTTTGGGTATATACCCAGTAATGGGATGGCTGGGTCAAATGGTATTTCTAGTTCTAGATCCCTGAGGAATCGCCACACTGACTTCCACAATGGTTGAACTAGTTTACAGTCCCACCAACAGTGTAAAAGTGTTCCTATTTCTCCACATCCTCTCCAGCACCTGTTGTTTCCTGACTTTTTAATGATCGCCATTCTAACTGGTGTGAGATGGTATCTCATTGTGGTTTTGATTTGCATTTCTCTGATGGCCAGTGATGATGAGCATTTTTTCATGTGTTTTTTGGCTGCATAAATGTCTTCTTTTGAGAAGTGTCTGTTCATGTCCTTCGCCCACTTTTTGATGGGGTTGTTTGTTTTTTTCTTGTAAATTTGTTTGAGTTCATTGTAGATTCTGGATATTAGCCCTTTGTCAGATGAGTAGGTTGCTAAAATTTTCTCCCATTTTGTAGGTTGCCTGTTCACTCTGATGGTAGTTTCTTTTGCTGTGCAGAAGCTCTTTAGTTTAATGAGATCCCATTTGTCAATTTTGGCTTTTGTTGCCATTGCTTTTGGTGTTTTGGACATGAAGTCCTTGCCCATGCCTATGTCCTGAATGGTAATGCCTAGGTTTTCTTCTAGGGTTTTTATGGTTTTAGGTCTAACGTTTAAGTCTTTAATCCATCTTGAATTGATTTTTGTATAAGGTGTAAAGAAGGGATCCAGTTTCAGCTTTCTACATATGGCTAGCCAGTTTTCCCAGCACCATTTATTAAATAGGGAATCCTTTCCCCATTGCTTGTTTTTCTCAGGTTTGTCAAAGATCAGATAGTTGTAGATATGCGGCGTTATTTCTGAGGGCTCTGTTCTGTTCCATTGATCTATATCTCTGTTTTGGTACTAGTACCATGCTGTTTTGGTTACTGTAGCCTTGTAGTATAGTTTGAAGTCAGGTAGTGTGATGCCTCCAGCTTTGTTCATTTGGCCTAGGATTGCCTTGGCGATGCGGGCTCTTTTTTGGTTCCATATGAACTTTAAAGTAGTTTTTTCCAATTCTGTGAAGAAAGTCACTGGTAGCTTGATGGGGATGGCATTGAATCTGTAAATTACCTTGGGCAGTATGGCCATTTTCACGATATTGATTCTTCCTACCCATGAGCATGGAATGTTCTTCCATTTGTTTGTATCCTCTTTTATTTCCTTGAGCAGTGGTTTGTAGTTCTCCTTGAAGAGGTCCTTCACATCCCTTGTAAGTTGGATTCCTAGGTATTTTATTCTCTTTGAAGCAATTGTGAATGGGAGTTCACTCATGATTTGGCTCTCTGTTTGTCTGTTATTGGTGTATAAGAATGCTTGTGATTTTTGTACATTGATTTTGTATCCTGAGACTTTGCTGAAGTTGCTTATCAGCTTAAGGAGATTTTGGGCTGAGACAATGGGGTTTTCTAGATATATTTGACTTTTTATGGCCAGGAGCAGTGGCTCATGCCTGTAATCCCAGCACTTTGGGAGGCTGAGGTGGGCAGATCATTTAGCCCAGGAGTTCGAGACCAGCCTGGACAGCATGGCGAAACCCCGACTCTACCACACACACACACACACACACACACACACACACACACACACACTACAAAAATTAGCTGGACATGATGGTGTGCACCTGTAGTTTTAGTTACTTTAGAGGCTTAGGCTGGAGAATCACCTGAGTGCACGAAGTTGAGGCTGCAGTGAGCTGTGATTGCACCACTGCACTCCAGGCTGGGTGAGTGAAACCTTTCTGTCTCAGAAGAAAAAAAAAAAAGCCTTTTTGTTCTAAATTAAAGAGAAAAACCACGGGGGGCTTAATAGTTGATGTCTGTGCTTTTACTGGTACTCAGTTGCTGAAGGTGGTATCATATTAGTCCTTTAATTGCTTAGAGTTGTGTCCTCATGAAACTTTCTCCCTGAACTTGCTTTTAAGGGAGATCTGCCTCTGTATGCCATGGTATTGGAATGTTTTATTAGTGTAGAAGTGTCTAGATGATTTTCCTAGGGGGCCACTTAATGAGCAGTCTGTGTGTAGGCCCTATGAATAATAAAATTGTGATCAGTGGTTAAGTATAGCCAAATGTATGGATAGGACCTAGGGAATAATAAAGAAGTGCTTCAAATGTAGCTTAAAACTATTTTTTTTTAAATTTTACTTTAAGTTCTAGGGTACATGTGCACAACGTGCAGGTTTGTTACATAGATATACATGTGCCATGTTGGTGTGCTGCACCTGTTAACTGGTCATTTACATTAGATATTTCTCCTAATGTTATCCCTCCCCCTGTCCTCCACCCCATGACAGGCCCTGGTGTGTGATGTTCCCCACCCTATGTCTGAGTGTTCTTATTGTTCAATTCCCACCTGTGAGTGAGAACATGCGGTGTTTGGTTTTCTGTCTTTGTGGTAGTTTGCTTAGAATGATGGTTTCCAGATTCATCTATGTCCCTGCAAAGGACATGAGCTCATCATTTTTTATGGCTGCATAGTATTCCGTGGTGTATATGTGCCACATTTTCTTAATCTGGTCTATCATTGAAGGACATTTGGGTTGGTTCCAAGTCTTTGCTATTGTGAATAGTGCCGCAATAAACATACATGTACATGTGTCTTTATAGCAGTATGATTTATAATCCTCTGAGTATATACTCAGTAATGGGATCGCTGGGTCAAACAATATCTCCAGTTCTAGATCCTTGAGGAATCGCCACACTGTCTTCCACAATGGTTGAACTAGTTTATACTCCCACCAACGGTGTAAAAGTGTTCTATTTCTCCACATCCTCTCTGGCATCTGTTGTTTCCTGACTTTTTAATGATCGCCATTCTAACTGCTGTGAGATGGTATCTCCTTGTGGTTTTGATTTGCATTTCTCTGATGGCCAGTGATGATGAGCATTTTTTCATGTGTCTGTTGGCTGCATAAACGTCTTCTTTTGAGAAGTGTCCGTTCATATCCTTTGCCCACCTTTTGATGGGGTTGTTTTTTTCTTGTAAATTTGTTTAAATTCTTTGTATATTCTGGATATTAGCCCTTTGTCAGATGGGTAGATTGCAAAAATTTTCTCCCATTCTGTAGGTTTCCTGTTCACTCTGATGGTAGTTTCTTTTGCTCTGCAGAAGCTCTTTAGTTTAATTAGATCCCATTTGTCAATTTTGGCTTTTGTTGCCATTGCTTTTGCTGTTTTAGTCGTGAAGTCCTTGCCCATGCCTATGTCCTGAATGATATTGCCTAATCTATTTTTGAAAGTGTGCATAAGGCTTAATGCTAGAAATTGGTAACATTTTGATCAAATTCATGACTGCATTCTTGAGAATAAGCGTGTCCAGGCATATTCCCTATTTGATTCCAGAATTATACCACTAAGATTTGTGCTCAGTTTTCATTTTATCAATTCTTTTCGTTTTTTTTTTGGATACAGGGTCTTGCTCTGTCACCCAGGCTGGAGTGTAGTGGCGCAGTCTTGGCTCACTCTAGCCTCGACTTCCCAGGCTCAGCTGATCCTCCTGCCTCAGCCTCCTGAGTAGCTAGGACCACAGGCACGTGCCACCACACCTACCTAATTTTTGTATTTTTTGTGGAGATGAGGTTTTGTCATGTTGCCTGGGCTGGTCTTGAACTCCTGAGCTCAAGCAGTCCACCCTCCTTGGCCTCCCAAAGTGCTGGGATTACAGGGGTGAGCCATTGCACCTGGTGATTTTTTCAGTTTCATATGAGAAAATATACTTCTATGATAGTGACAGGTACAAATATTTTACATAGCTATAAATTTCAGTTTAGATTATATTTGTCAATTGGATTCCATGGATATTATCTTTCCTTTCTGTTTAAACTATTTAAAGCTAAGCTACCCTCATATCACTTGTTATTGATAATTCAGATGTATCCTCAGATTTGTACTCCAAAGGCAACTTCAGAAACTTAAAACATGGTTCAGACTCTTGTGCATCTATAAAATTCTTTTGAAAAATAGAAAGCCAGAGGTTGCAAGGCTTTAGTTAGGAGTAAATTCAGGAGAACCATTGTACAACATGGTGACAATAGTTAACAATATATCGTATTCTTGAAAAATGCTAAGAGAGTGGATGTAAAAGTGTTCTTATCACAAAAATAACTATGTGAGGTAATGCATACATCAATTAACTAGATTTAGTCATTCTGCAATGTATATAGGCTTCTAAACATTATGTTGTATGTGATAAATACAATTCTATCTTCTAGTTAAAAAAAATGAGAAATTATTTTTGCCAAATAGCCCTAATAATCACCAGATAGTCACCAAATACCTTGCAGCAATATAAAATAAATGCAGATTTTGGTTATCATTTGTATCATTCATATATCCAATTTGACTGGCAATTCTTCCTTTTCTGAACAAATTTCAACCCCTTAATTTTCTCCAGTTTCATGGTGTGTCTATGCCTTGCTACAACCTGCTGAATCTCATACATATTTGACTGGTTAGGTCTTCCAGAGCCCTGCAGTTCCAAAAAAGATTTAATGAGGCACTTGTTTGTGAATTCACTAGCCAGTCATTTGATTAAATTAAAATGAAATTTCTGTGTTTCGCTTTTCTATATTTTAAATATCCCCCTATTTTCTATATGTATTCAAGTGACTTGGAAAGGTTATAGCACCATCTCTTAATGAAGGATTTTTGTGGAAAGCTAACTCACACCTCTCTTCTTTGACTTGAATAAACTGTTGTAATCTACTTTTGTCTGTTTTGTTCAATATAGGTAAATTATCTGTGCAAGCGAACTCACGTTTAGAGAGAATTTCTCAGTTTTCTTCCCGTAGATTCTCAGTCCTATTATTAGTTCATATGTGTTGGTTAAGTGGTAAAACAAGGCTTGGGCTGAAAGCCTTATTTTCCACATATACAGAGCCATAGCTTATACTGGAGAAAAGAAAAGTCACCTTAATCTTTTGGAGGGAAATGATGAAATCTGGAATAGTCATAACCAAACAATGTATATTTAACAAGATAGCTCAAAGACTTTCTATTTTTATAAATTTAACATTCTTTTAGAATGATTGAATTTAGAATTATTGAAAATAGCATAAATTCTTAAAGAATTTAAATGTTTGTGCCATTTGTTAAGCTTCTACAATATGCTGGATCTGCTCTTGTGACTTTGCATATATCATCTTTAATCTTCACAACGAATCTGCAAAATAAATATTATCCACATAAGATAGATGAGAAAGGTGAAGCTCCAGAGGTTAAGTATCTTGGCTAATGCCACACAGCTAATATATGATGGAGTGAGGATTTGAAGCTACATTTCTGAATATAATGCTCTTTCTTACTTCTGGACATTTGATAGTATTTGTTGAATGCTTGAAAGATGAGAAGACTAGCACACTTGTTTACTGGGTCTATATTTCCTGCCTGTCTAACACCGAATTTTTTTTTTTTCTGGAAGAAAACTTTTGGCTTCCTAATAGGTGCATTTTTTTCTGTTAATAATTTTATTTTTTCAACACTTTTAAAGAAAAATTGAATAGGTAGTATGGAATGCTCCTATAGGTGCCTCTCTTTCCCTGCCATAGCTTCTCCTATTATTTACATCTTATATTAGTACGGTATGTTTGTTACAATTAATGAACCAATATTAATACATTATTATTGAAGTCCATGGTTTGTTTTTATCTAATGTCCCTTTTCTTTTCCAGGATGCCATCCAGGACACCATATTACATTTACTTGTCATGTCTCCTTAGGGTCCTCTTGCTGTGACAGTTTCTCAGACTTTATTTTTTTTCCCCTAAAGCCTTTCCACTCTACCTTACTGCTGCCTCAGATTTACCATTTGCATTTAAGTACAATTGTAATTTGTTACTGATTACCTTGAGATTTTTTGGTGGTGGTTTTTCAAAGAGCTTTGCTACTACATACCTTGACATTTTTAAGGAATCCAGGTGTCCAGGTTATTATGTATTCTAGGATGTTCCTCTGTTAGAATATATGTAGTGTTTTTCTCATGATTAGCCTGGGATATGGGTTATTGGGAGGAAGACCATGCAAGTGTGCTGCCATTTTCACCACATCATATCCTGGGTATGTATTGTCAACACGATTTATGACTGTTGGTGTTAACCTGAAACCTGGTAGAAGTAGTGCTTGTCAGTTTTCTCCACTGTGAAGTTTACTCTTTTCTTCCCTCCCTTCCATACTGGAAGTCATTACATGAGCTTGCACTGAAGGAGTCGGGGGGTTGTGCTCCCCCTTTTTTAGAGTGGTGTATCTACATAATTTATTTGGAATTCTTCTACACAGGAGATTTGTGTCTTCTCCTGCATTTATTAATTTATTCAATCATTTATATCACTGTGGAGACATAGATATTTATTTTATACTTTGAGTTATAATTCAATACTACTTTATTTATTTTGTTACTTAAATTGATCTAGCTTTGGCCATTGGGAGATGACCCTGTCAGTCACTTCCGTGTCAGTCGCTCCTGTGTCCCTTTGCATACCTCAGTGTTTTTTTTTTTGACCACTTTTTGGCACTGCAAGATGCTCTGGGCTCATCTTGCATATTTCCTGCCCCAGTCTTAAAATCAGCCATTTCTCCAAGAAGCCTTGATTCCTTTTATTGAAGAGTAGTGTTAGAAACCAACATCTGGTGCTGGGTGTGCTTATTACTGAGGTGTCATTTCTTTTAAACTCTCCCAGTGTCAGGGAAAAATGTGTATATACTAATCTTTAGATATAATACATATATAAAAATATTTCTATATGTGTCTCTATGAAGTTAAACATGAGTTCTTACTGATGTTTCCAGCTCTAATTTATTACAACTCCTAATATTTAAGTGATTTTAAGAACACTTTTTAAGTTTATGGCAGCTTTATTCTTTACCTTTTTCTTTTGTTTAGCTTTGCTTCTATATTTAGGTGGACTCTATTCACTCTCAGTTGTGTCGTATAAGGACTTCTCAATTCTTGAATTGTTTTAATTCTTCCTTGGGCTGCCTAATTTTTTATACACAAGTTTCCCCTACCCCAAGGAAAAAATTCTTCATGGTTACTATATTTTCTAATTTCTTACTTGTATGTTTGAAAATTGTATTAAAAAAACTAAGGATTGGATCCTATCAGTGAGATATTTGAGAATTATATCTGTTCACCTTTTAATTTTCACAGTATTGCTTTCTGATTTTGGATGGATATATTAGACAAAGGGGATGGAGAGTAGTGTTGGATTGATACTGAAATGTTTTTAGTTTTGCCTACTCTGCTTCTAGATGACAGTGTTCAAAAGCTTATAGTTTCAGTTTGGGTCCCTTCCCAAGTTAAGAACACTGTTGATGTTGTTCTTTGCTTATTTTATTTCTTGTGTTTAGTTCATTGGGTTCAGAGAGATACAGGTTCAGTGATTCTGTATTGTTCTGCCATCTTTACACTTGATCTTAGCCAAAAGGCCGAGAAGTGATATTCTGCTATCTTTTACTTTGACCAATATTTTCTTTCCCCTAAAGCCTTTCCACTCTACTGCCTCCTCAAGTTTACCATTTACATTTAAGTACAGTTGTAATATCTAGTTGCTATCTTTGCTGTTATCTAGTACAACTCTCATTTTATAGATGAAGGAGCTTAATTGATTATCATTTGCATTAGAAACTGACACACTAATTTTTTCCCCCTAATTGTCTCAAACAAAAGGGAAACTACTTTTCTTTGTCAGGCTTTTTTCAATAAAGTATTTTTATGTCTAAGCATATTTGTGGTGACTAATTATATTGTTTTTGTATGGATTTTTTGGGGAAGAAAAATGTACATTAAAAGTCTTCTGTTAGTAAGATAATGAAAGATAAATCTTTGTATTTCCAAGGCAAAGCAAGCATAACTTCTCTTCAAACAGATTGTTTTGGTCAAATTTGGTTGTTGCAGAAAGCCCATTCATTTTTTTAGTAACAACAGATAAAGAGCTTAACTAAAGTTGTGATGAAAATACATATACTTATTTGAGAAGACTGGTAATTTTTGAAAAGTCTTAAGATAATCAGTATAAAAGCCAACTTTTTAAGCAAAGAAAGTAAACTATTAAGTTTATGCAATGATTCATTTTGGATATTTGGAATAGGATATGACATTATTATATAACATAGTTTGTCAGCTTAGACTTATTTTGTAGCACTTAAGTGATTCAGTGTTTTAAGGGATTTAAAATGTGATCCTTTACAATACACTTTCCCAAAATCAGTGAGGAAAGGAAATTGCTATGTTATGTTCAAATCTTGTTAAAATCTTATTGCTATAGTTTACAGAAGAGGTATAGTGATTTTAAAAATATTTATGCAGTGCAAATGCTTGCTGTATATGTTTTACAAAGTGAATCAAAGTTGGAGGGTAGTTATTTAATAGGGGAATATTTGTTGGTTCCTAAGTCATGGTTTCTGAAATAAAGAAAAATAGCAGTATGCAGTAGACCTTTATTTTATTATCAGTCTATTTTGATGTGCTTTTAATAGCACTGGTGATTAAAGTTGCAGAGTCTGGAGCCAGACTGTTAAGTTCAAATCAGTGTTCCACTATTTGTAATGTTTGGCCTTGGCTTACTTAAGCCCAGGTTCTTCATCTGTAAAGTGGGGCTAATCATGTACTTGCCTTGTAGAATCCTTATAAAGATTGAGTGAATTTATGCATGTAAATCTCTTTGATCCTGGCACAGAGAATATGCTCAATAAATGATAGCTATGGTTATATTTTTTTAAAGGAGTATGGGTTTATTATTTATGTGTTTTCTTTGAAGGACTGATAACCTTTGACATGAGGCTTATTGTAGAGTTCTTTTCTTGGTATTAGATCTTGTGCAGTTTGGGAGAGTTTACTATTTAATTCAAGCAGTTTGTTTTCAAAATTTATGAGCAGACATTTGGTGGTTTGGAGTGACTACAAGGATGAGGAAGTATAAACAGAGATAGGTAGTCAGTTCTTGGTAGATACCTTTTTCTTTTTTTAAAAACACTTGAGAAATACTATTTAGAACTGAGACCCATGTAGACAGCCACCACCATACTGTTCATCATTAGCCATACCATTCCCCATCATTAGTTAAGGAAATGCATTCGATTTTTAAGTTTTTTCCCCCCTTTCTGTGCTGTCTTTTTTTCTCTCCTGAGGATGCTTCTTGTATCTTTGCTTCTGACTTGAGGGCAGGCCAGGCAGATAATAAGTGTATAGCTGCTGCACCATTTTATATACATGTGAAGGTCCTGCTTTTGATGTAATTGGGTCTCTGCTTCTCTTCACCTTAATGTTCTTAACAACTTGCTACCACCATGAGCCCCACAAACTCATATGACTTGGTATGATCTCACTGATTAGATCTGATGGTAGAATTAATTTAAAACCACCCATTTTTACAATTGACGAGAGTAGTGGGAAAAAAAAACTGTGGCATGAACATTGAGAAGCATTTCAAATTCCATGTAGATGGCATGCTACTCAATTTTTTACATAAGCTTCTGTATTTAATTTTGTATAAGAACAAATGCCTGCGGAGTATATAGAGGCCAAATTTTTGTTTGTTTGAGTTTACTATATTCACATCAACAACTGGAATTAGGGTAGGCTGTAGAATAGAAATATCCTCTTGGTAATAATGCAGCAAAATTCTGTCTGTAAGGCTTTTATGCTTTTTGGCACAGGTCATATGATTGTGGTTTAGGAAATATACTCACCTCCTCTCTTCATCTGTTTTCTGAGTCCTAATGTGATTTCCCAGAATACCTAGCACATATAATTCAAAAAGACAATATTTGTCTTTGCTCTGGTTGCAGTAAGATAAAACTCTGAAGAATTCTGGGTTAAGATGTTACAGAAAGTTAATTTCCAGGAAAAATTACTCTATTGGAGAAGGTATAGCTCTTTCTAAGAGTATTCCATAGATGAGACTGGTATCTGTTTTTGTAACTCTATTCTTACATATTCTATTCCACTTCAGCAAACTTCTTTTGAGTAGATGATAAAACTCTTAAATTTTTTACCTGGGTGCTCTTATCTATCAAATATAAAAAAGCCTTTAGAGAAAAATGTATTGGTGACTTCAAATAGTTTAGTCAATACGCATCCATTTTGCATTTTTGGTGTTGGTTAGTTGAAGAAGAATTTCAATGGTGTGTGTTAGTCTTGTGTGGCTCTCATAGTTACCGCCTGGGCAGTATGTGGAATTCACTAAATGAATTGAAAAGTTCTGAATATCTCTTTAACTTATGACAAATCCCTGAAAATCAGTGCTTTCTGATGAGTCAAACTATATAGGTAGTATATAAAAAGTCAACATATGCTATACGGGACAGTTTAATAAGCATTTAGAGTATTTGGCTCAAATGTGTTCTGTGTACTTTAATCCTCTTCTGTGATTTGTAATATTTAGATCCATTTTCCCTATTGGGTTAGGTGGAAATAAGGCATTGACAGTCAATGAATTGCTTTTGGGTAGAGCTCAACATAAAACAGATTTTGCTGTAGTAAAGATTATAGATTATCATCTTAGAAGAAAATGTAGACTGTTATGTGAAAAAAAATGGCCAGATTTTGTAAGATTGTAATTGGGAAACTCTGCACCCCTTTGACCAATTTTAACTTATTACTCTTTCTTACTAGCTTAGGCTTAAAACAATAATGCTGTCTGCAAGATCTGCCTTTCTTGTGATCCCCCCATCCCCAGCCATTAAATTCTAACTAGGATCTATGTTTTCTTCTCTGGAGTTACTTTTGGTGGGTGGTGGAGGGTCCCACGGATGTGAATAAGTTCACTTTCCCCTACTTCTTTTATTTTGTAATTATTTTACTTCTAAGTTCACTTTTGTTACATTTTTTTCTTCCTTGACTCACTGAGTTAGAGTTAGTCTCATTGTTCAGAAGCCCTCTTCCTTTATAACTTCTTTTTTTCCAATGCCTCTGTTATATGCAGAACTTACCTTCATTGCCTCATAAATATTGGTGTTAGGAGACATCATCCCTCATCTGTCTCATTTTGCAAATAAGCTTCCTGCTAGAAAGTTGGCTAGATGGAAGCAGAGACCTTCACTAAAACCTTGATCCTCCTCTGTTTTCCCAGCACATAGTAGGTACTCAAAAATACATGTTGAATGAGAGAAAGGAAATGAGATCCAGAGAGGCTAAGTGAAGTAATATATGAGAATATATAACATGTAATGTCATGAATATATGTTATGAAAGTACTAAAAGGCTCCAGAAATGTTAGTTATTTGTTGTTAGTATTAGTGTAATAGTAAATTACCATTAATAATATTTTAAAACTTATTACTAGATGATATAGAGATACTTTTCATTGTATGTAACAGAATACCCAATCGATAGTGACTTAAACTAATGAGGATTCATTTTTACATTTTGAGGGTAGATATCTGCCAACATTGACTTAGCTGCTCTGTAATGGCAGGGCTATTGTTCTGTAATTTTCTTGGCCTTTCCTTACTTGTTGCAAGATGGCTGCTTCTGCTGTAGGCATCACCTTTCTGTTTGAAGCACCAGGAAAGGGCATGGATCAACAACAGCATCTCTGTTTTACCAGGGAACCAAAAGCCTTCCTGGAAGCTGTGTAGTACAACAGTCTTCCCCTTAAGTCTTATGGCCAGACTGTTTCACATGGCCACCTCTATCTGGAAGGAAGGCTGTGAAAGGGAGTTGGCTTTTCTAGCCTCTACTGTAGACGGGGAAGGGAGAAGGAGTTTGGAAATACATTCTGGGTTTGCTGCAAAATCTACCTCTTCGGCTAGCCCAAATCCGAATATATCCTTCTTATGAATACATTTTATAGAGAATTCAGTCACCATCTCTCCCGGGGAGATGATACCTGTTCTTATACATAATTGCATCTACTTCAAAGTCCAGAATGTCTGCTTGATACATAGTTTTCTCCATCAGGTCTAGTTGTAGCTTGTTGTCCTCTGGTGACCTAGAACTAAGAAGACAAATATATACTTCCAGCACATCAAAAACTACTAGATAAAGGAATGAGATAACTCAAATAAATCTTTTCCTTTAGAAAAGGGGAGAATTAGAAACTCAAAATAGTCATTGGTCCACAAATATACCATACTCTGTAGGATAAGAATATTGAAGATTTCCTGTTGTGGCAGTGAGTGAAATTCCTTAAACAATCTGCTATACTTATTTATGATCCCTGGGAGGTTTCCCTTGGTCACATCTGACCAGAAAGTATTGATTGGTGTAGCTGTATAATAAGTCAGGTAGACCAGTTCCTTCCACATTATTCTTTTCCGAATTGTTTTGGCTATTTTAAGGACTTCCCCTTTCCATATAAATTTTAGAATAAGTTTGTTTATGCCTACTGAGAACCTTGCTAGGATTTTTGATAGGAATTACGTTAAAGTTATATATCAATTTGAGAAGAATTGATATCTTTACTATGTTGAGTGTTCCAATCCATGAATTTGATAAGTTCCTCTGATAATTTGGAGAGACTTTAATTTTTTCAACACAATTTTATAATTTTTAGCATGTAGATCCTGTGTATGTTTTGTTAGCTATACACCTAAGTATTTCATTTTCTTTGGCACAAAGAAGTATAATTGGAATGGCATTTGCCTTTTAAAATTTGTTTCATTTGCTGTTAGTATACAAAGGTCATGATTTTTGTTTGTCAATCTTAAATTCTGTGACCTTGCAGAAGTCACTTTATTCTAGGAGTTTTTTGTTGTTGTTGTTGTAAATTCCTTGGGATTTTCTAGATAGACAATCATATTATCTGTGAAAAGAGACAGTTTTATTTGTTCATTTCCAATCTATATGCATTTTATTTCCTTTTCTTGCTTCATTTTCCTGGCTATAATTTCTTGTACTATGTTGAGTATGAGTGGTGAGGGTGGTCATCCCTACCTTGTTCCTAATCTTAGGGAGAAAGAATTTGTCTTTCAATGAGTAAGTCTGATGTTACCTCTGGGATTTTTTGGTAGATGCTCTTTATGTGTTTGAGGTAAATCTTGTCTAGTTCTAGTTTTTTTGAGTGTTTTTACCTTGAATAGGTGTTGGATACTTTGTAGATATTAAAAATACTATGAAGGGAGACTGGATTATTCTTTTTTAGCTGGAAATAGAGTAGTATGTGAATTAGAATGATAAAGTCTGACTGTTGTCTCAGGCATACAATACTTAAGGCACCAAAGACATTAACTGGCTCTGAATCAACTTCATGTATTTCTCTATTTAGGGAAAGATTTATTAACATAATTACATGTGACTATTCTTTCTTATTTTGGCTTTTAAAATAGATGTTCCTTTAACATAAACATTTTTAAAAAGCATACTTTGTCAGTATCTTTGTCGGTTCTGCCACTGATATTGTTCCCATAAAACCAACCCTTATTTTACTTTCAGGGAAAAAAAAAATACTTCATGTGGTTAAAGAATCATGTTGTATGTTTTATAGTGCCTTCCATGCTCTTGCAATTTTCCAGTGACAGCTATATATTCTTACATTGCAGAGCAGCCTGCCTCTTTAGTCTTCGTTTCAAAATAAAACCAAAAAGAAGAAAAAATTACAGAAATGTTGTTAAGAATAGTACAAAACCCTTTTTTTTTTGTTTTTTGCCTTCTGAGTCATTTGATAGTGAGCTGTTTACTTGATGCCCCATCATCCCCAAATACTTTATTGTGTGTTTCCTATAAAATTATTCTCCTACGCAACTACGACAAAGCCATCAGCAACAGGGAAATAACACTTAGGCATTACCACCACCTAATCCTCAGACTTCATTCATCTTATTCCCTTAATGTCCTTTATGGCAAAAGAAAGGATTCCCTTTGAAATGTCTCTTTAAGATTTCTTTAATCTGGACTAGTTTCTCTCTCTTTACTTGCCTTTATATCTTTGACATTTTTTGAAGAGTACAGGCCAGTTACTTGAGTGATTGTGTCTTGATTTGGCTTTCTCTGATGTTTTCTCATGAGTAGGTTCAAGTTATACATCTTTGGCGGGAAGATCTTCAGAAATGATGCTTTTTTTCTCTCTCAGTGCATCTTATCAAGTAACACCTGACTTTGATTTGTCCTATTATTGGTGATGTTAACTTTGATCAGTTGATTAAGGTGGTGTCTGCCAGGTTTCTCCACTGTAAGGTTATTTTTTCCTCTTCGCAGTTAAATGTATTTTGTGAGGAGGTTCTTTGAGGCTATGTAAATTTCCCCTTCCTCTTCAAACTTTCACCCCTCTTGAATTCCTGTGCTCTGCACCTTGCTGTCCCTCTATAGGAATGCCCTTTTCACCCTTTCTGGTTCTAACACCCAGCAAAGAGGCTCTTCTGAACCTGCACAGGCCATCCTGCTGCCTGGGAGTGATACCTGCCTCACTCCATTTCTGCTCTCCTGCCCAATATGGATGCCCTTTTCACCTCCTGGTCTTTGACACCCCAGGCCAGGCTGCCTTGTCATGCAGATGCCCATCCCATTGTGCCGCAGCTCTGTCACCCTGTGCTGGTTGCCCCCTGTAGAGATGCCCCATGTTCTTCTTGGGCTCTGAGACCCTGTGCTGGGCTGCCTGTCTTGGTGGATGCTCTTACCCTGCTCATACTTTTTTATTTTTTATTTTTGAGATAGAGTCTTGCCCTGTTGCCAGGCTGGAGTGCAGCGGCACGATCTTGGATCACTGCAGCCTCTGCCTCCTGGATTCAAGCGATTCTCTTCTCTCAGCCTCCTTAGTAGCTGGGACTATGGGCACCCACCACCACACCTGGCTAATTTTTGTATTTTTAGGTAGAGATTTGTATTTTTAGATAGAGTTTCACCATGTTGGCCATGCTGGTCTCAAACTCCTGACCTCAAGTGATCTGCCTGCCTCGGCCTCCCAAAGTGCTGGGATTACAGGTGTGAGCCACCACGCCACGTCCCTGCTCAGACTTTGATACCTTATGCCAAACTGCCCCTCTTTGTGGCCAGCCCAGCCCTCCTTGTGTCTCTGGCATTGATAGCCCATATTGATTCACCCTCCCATACAGAGGCCTTCCTCATCCTGTGTGTGCCCTGACACCCTCTTCCCCTTGGATGGGCTCTGATCACGTTTCCTAAGGCTGCTCTCTGCCTTCCCCCAGCTCAGCCACCTGCTTTTATCAGTCCCACCTATTGTCTTTATGCTGAATTTGTCTAGAAGGGTAGGGAGGTAAAAGGAACTGCAGTCCCTCTTGGTATTCTTAATCAGCCCCCTGTTGTTTGCTTTTTCACCTTTTTTTTTTTCTACCTTTTCATGAAGAGTGGTTAGAGATAATTTATAACATTTGAAATGTAAAATTATTTTCTTAGAAAAAACCAGGTGACTATAATCCTTTGAATAAATGTGCAAAGCCTGATGATTTTGGATATTTTCAAAGAAATAATCCCTGAATATTGGAGTGAAGACATCCCATATCACAGTACCTAATGTCAGATGGCAAATAGCTAGCATGGAATCAGCTTGCTTCAGTTCAGCCTGTAGAGCCAAAGATCCATCCTGGCACTGCCTTCTGGTTTCCAGCTTAAGACACCTCTTTGCAAGTCACAACATCTCTTTCTATTTCTGTTTCCGCATCCATAAGATGGGGGTTATAAATACTTAGGTCATGGGGTTGTTGGGGAGCTCAGATGAGATAATGCATTTGAAAATGCAAGTGGGAAAATGCTATGCAAATGTGGTTATTTAGTTCTAATTTATTACCTAGTCAAAATTGAAATGTATAGGAAATTAAGTCAAGCATTTTAATTGCACTTGTGATTTGTAGGCAAATTCCCTCTGAGTCATAAGGCAGATAAAAGGTCGGCATGGTTTTGTTTTTGCTGCCACTTTTAAGTCCATTGTGTTGTCACTATTACTCAACCAGGTAAACACTCCTCTTTTGAAGTTCTGCCCACCTGTTACGCCTCTGTGACATACTGCCACCTTCTAGATGATTTTTACCTCTGGTGTACAACTGTCCTCCCTACCCCAGTGCCTGTTTTCTGTCATCTTTGGTGACATCAGCTTCATTGGCCTTAACATGAGTTCTTTCATGCATCTACAATAGCTTGTGGCACAGTTCTGCTTGCATATATCACTGGTTAGGGATCTCAAAGTGAACATGTCTAATGATCAAGTTACACTCTTCTCCCCTGACCTGCTCCTCCCTAGAGCTTCCATTTATGTTACTGGTGTCACTCTTTGTATTAGCCTTGTAGATTGGAAACTTTTAACTCTTCCCTCTGTCATCTCCCATGTCTAGTCAGTCAGTAAGTTCTTTTATTTTTGCAACCATCTCTTCTCCACTTGAGCATCTATTTCCCCATAATTAATGGTGTATTCCTTTAAATCTAATCTCTGAACTCTTAAAATAGCCTTCTTCAAGGCAAATGTTAGAACCTCAGCTTGCCAGGTCCCAGACTGGTCCTCTGCTGAATAATTGGATGAAAAAGACCATGGGGCCTAAGTCACTTCTCTGAGTCAGCCCTTCCGGATGAACCAGTCAGATGTTACAGGACATGTCTCCAGAGACCTGTAAAAACCTCTAGATGGTAGGGTTCAGGCTTGGGGAAGAAGACTTACCATGTTAGGCCCAAACTCGTGCCTGGAAGCATCTAGAATCTGAAAGGACCTGTTCTGTATAGCATGAATTCCAGTATCTAAATATAGCAACTGTAAACATTTTGGTGCATTTTCTTTTATTTTTTCTTTTGCATGTCTATAATTATACTGTATGTGTTCATTCATCACATCTGTTAAATGAAAACATTTTAATGATATTTTAGTAAGTGCATTTTTAAAATTGGTGTGTAACACGGATGCCCCTTGACTTAGGATGGGGTTACATCCTGGCAAAGTGAAAATTCATATGTTGGAAATGTGCTTAATACACCCAACCTACTGAACATCATAGCTTAGCCCATCCTCTCTTAAATGTGCTTGTACACTTAAATTAGCCTATAATTGGGCAAAATCATCTGGCAAAACAGTCCACTGTAGATTATTAGTTGTTTACCTTCTTGATCGTGTGGCTGACTGGGAGCAGTGGTTCATTGCCCAGCATCTCGAGAGAGCGTTGTAGTGCATATCACTGGCCTGAAAAAGATGAAAATTCAAAATTTGACACATGGGCTCTACTGAATGTATATTACTTTTGCACCATTGTAAGGTTGAAAAATTATAAGTCGAATCATTGTAAGTTGGAGACCATCTTTGCTTCAGAGAATGAAAGATTGCTATCCATGTTTCTGTTAGAACAAGAAGATCCCTTCCAAGAAATACCAGACTCTCTGTCAGAGCTTAACCCCAGCTTCTGCTGAGAGTGTTTGTTTAGTGTTAATTTTTGATTGCTGACAACTAGTCTGTTTTTCTCCTACCTCGGTCATGATGCCTACTCATTAAGTTACCTTTCTGCTTTCTTGGTCTCGCTTATTTGTTCATTCATGTATTTATTCTTTTATTATTCATTCTCCAATAATAATAGCATAGTCTCTTCTATCTCCTGAGTTTGGCTCTGAAGACTTAAAGATTGCTTAGTTCATCGAGGGACTATTTATTTTTGAATCGTTGCCAGGATGTACCACGGGCCCATCTGTGGGCACATAGAAAGCAGTGCCTTCCTTTCTGAAGAGAGTAGAGAAAGCTTCCTGGGGGAGGTGACGTGTACACTGCTCTATGAAAGATGAGTAGCAGGAGTTGGTTAGGGCAGACAGGTGGAAGATACATTTAGGCAGTGGGCACAGAAATGAGAACAGTGGTGATGGTGTGGCTCCAGCTTACCTCTAGGTTTTTGTTTTTGTTTTTGTTTTTTAACAGCTGTATTGAGATAATAATTCCTATGCCATGAAATTCACTCATTTGAAATACACAGTTTTCATAGAGTCAATTTAAAACATTTTCAATACCACACAAAGACACTCCACATCCTTTAGCTGAGCCCACTCAGTCCTCCTATCCCTCTCAGCCCTAGGCAATCACCAGTCTACTTTCTGTGCTGTGGATTTGTCTCTTCTGGACATGCGTTTGAGGTAGAATCAGACAACCTATGTTCTTTTGTGCCTGACCTCTTTCACTTACATAATGTTTTCAAGATTCGCCTATGTTGTGTGTATCAGCACTTCATTTCTTTTGATTGCTGAATAATATTCCATTGCATAAATATACCACATTTTATTTATCCATTTATCACTTGATGGACATTGGGTTGTTTCTGCTTTTTGGCTATTAGGAATAATGCTGTTATTAACATTGATGTACAAGTTTTTATGTGAACACGTTTTCATTTTTCTGGGGTATATACTTAGGAGAGGAATTGCTAGATTATATGTTAACTCTCTGTTTAACAATTTGAGGAATTGCCAGATTATTTTCCAAAGCAGCCAAACCATTTTACATTTTGATTAGGAGCATATGAGGGTTCCAGTTCACGTCCTTGCCAACAGTTACTACTTTTAAAAAAGTATAGCCATCCTAGTAGATGTGAAGTGCTATCTCATTGTGGTTTTAATTTGTATTTCCCCAATGGCTAGTGATGTTGAGCCTCTTTTCATGTGATTGTTGGCTATTTATATGTCTTTGGAGAAATGTCTATTCAGATCTCTTGCCCATTTTTAAATTGGATTGTCTTTTTGTTATTGAGTTGTGATAGTATTTTCTTTTTAATTATGAAATTGGTAGTTGTTTTGACCAAGTAAGTTTGCTAGGTCAAAATCTAGAAGTGGTTCTTATATTGGAGATAATATTCTGCAGATTAATCTAAAGATCTCTTTTAAGATGTCTCTTTAAAATTCTATACTCTAGAATTGGTGCCGATCCTGGAAATGTACCATTCTGAGCAGATGACTTGTGTTATTGATTTGTGCCAAACAACTAAGGGTTGTGTATAATCTGAATGGAAAGCAGATGTTTTGGCAGTTTGCTAGTGAGTGGTTTTCTCTTGGTTAGGGCCTGCTCCTTTACTAAATAGAACTATTTTCAGTGTATCACTTTTCAAATATTTGAATAAGGAAGGAGATTTTTGGGGGACATACAAATTTATGGATACAATTGAATTTTTTGAACAACTTTATTATTTTATGTGTAGTAAATTCTCAATAACGACTTATTTTCTTTTTCATCAAAATAAATGTTTAACTAGCTGCAAATAGTATGTATCTTATTGACCCAGTTTTCAATTATGCATATGTACAGATTATCTATGACTATTAAAACAAACTCTTGCTTTCTAGTTTGTTGCTAGTTCCCTGAATTGCCTTAATGGAAACCATAGGGAGAAAGGAGATTATTGCAATGGTCCAGGTGTGACATGATGGCTTATACAAGAGTGGTGGTGGTAGTAGTGATAAGTAGCAGGTGTATTTCACATTATTTTGGAGATAAAATACATTGGGAATTGTTGGATTTGCCATGGAAGATGGTGAGGGGAAAGGAATGATTAAACATGATTCCAGCAAGGTGTGGTGGCTCATGCCTGTAATCCCAGCACTTTGGGAGGACGAGGCAGGAGGATCACCTGAGGTCAGGAGTTTGAGACCAGCCTGACCAACATGGTGAAACCCCGTCTCTACTAAAAATACAAAATTAGCCAGGTATGGTGGCTCATGCCTGTAATCCCAGCTACTTGGGAGGCTGAGGCAGGAGAATCGCTTGAACCTGGGAGGTAGAGGTTGCAGTGAGCCAAGACTGCACCATTGTACTCCAGTCTGGGCAACAAGAGCAAAACCCCGTCTCAAAAAAAAAAAAAAAAAAAAAGAAGAAAGAAAAAAAGGATGATTCCTAGGGTTCTGGTTTCACCATTTGGGGAGATGTGCCATTTATGGAACTGTAGAACACTGGAAGAAGTGAGGTTTAGTCATTTGCTTATTAGGTCTCAAATCCAATTCTCTGACCCTCTCAGTCCTGTTTTGTATTGCATTTCATAGGTATCCTTACCATTTGGCTTTTGTGAGTAGATCTGGACAATTGGAGGCACTGATGGAAGACTGGAGGGTAGGAGTAGGGAGAAGGTAGGGTATTTTTCTCCCTCCCTTTTTACTCCGGGTGGTGTCCCAGGAAGTGGCAGTTTCATTCCTGTGGCTTCAGCTGTCAGGGAGCTCCTTCCTTCCTTTGTAGTCCCTGGTCCCAAAGGGCAACTCCTGCTATTCTAGCCCCTGTCAAATGATCCCAGCTATTGGGCTCTTATAATACAGGTTGAGTATTTTTTATTCAAATGCTTAGGACCAGAAGTGTTTTTGATTTTGGATTTTTTTTTTCCAGATTTTGGAATATTTGCATTATACACTTACTGGTTGAGCGTCCCTAATCCAAAGATCCAAAATGTTGAATTTCCTTTGAGCATCCTGCGGTTACTCAAAAAGTTTCAGATTTTGGAGCATTTTGAATTTCAGAGTTTTGGATTAGGGATACTCAACCTGTACCACCTCTTCTAGTGGGTCTCCCCAGCCCTTAGGCTGGTAGTAGCTTCCTGCTGGGAAAAGGGAGGAAAGATTTTCCTCTATCCTCTTAGGGTCTTTGGCTGAGTCTGAAAATCAAATTGCCAAAGACAGATTAACAGAAGAAAAACATTCAAATTTATTTAAGTTTTATGTGACATGGGAACTTTCACAAGGAAATGAAGACCCAAAGAAACAGGTAAACTTTAGTATTTTTTATAGTAGGTTTGAAGAAGAGTGGAGAGCCATGGAGAAATATGGTAGGGTAAAAGAGTGTGATCTAATGGTAGTAAACTGGGGGAAACATAGTAGGACCTGATTTTGCCAGATTCTTCTGTGTCCCCTCGTCTTCAGAGATAAGGATGTTCCTTTCCTCTGGGTATAGGGAGGGCATGTCTCAGATGAGGGTCTTACAACCTGCTTCAGGGGAAGGTCAGAAATTTTCTTCTAGGTTTTATGACTTGTTTCAGGGGAGACAAGAGGGACAAGGTCAGAGAGACCTTCCTGCTTCTGCTATTTTTCAGATCTCTTCCATTTAAAATACTCACTATGTCGAGGTGGTATATTTTGGGGTAGTGTGCTCTGAGCCCCATCACTGCTGTTGTTCATTTTGGTGTTCCTTCCCATTCCCTGTTTGGAGTCTTGGATCTTCTATTGCCATGTAACCACATTTCTCTGTTAATTTGTATCTGTTTTAATGCTTAGAGTGGTTTCTTTTTTCCTAACTAGAACCTGATGAATACAGGGTGAAAATTTGAGAGTTCAATTTTGGAAATTATTTGTGTCAAGTTTAGTATTTCTGTGATGCATTCCAGTGATGTTCTTAGGTGAGTTGGATAGTGAGCTCAGATGCGTGTGTGAACTAGAAGTATAAATTTGGCTATCATCTCAGCCAAATGGTAGTATTTCAAACCATGGGAGGGATGGATGGGATCATCTAGTACACAGAAGAGAAGGGAATCCAAATCTAGGTCCTCTGAAACTCCGAGTCCTGAGAGGTGGGATGGGGGAGGGAGATGGATAAAGTAGAAAGGCCAGGGAGAGTGATGCTGTTGATAACATAAAGAAAGGATTGTTGGCGGGGTGAAGTGGCCCATGCCTGTAATCCCACACTTTGGGAGGCCGAGGCGGGTGGATCATCTGAGGTCAGGAGTTCGAGACCAGCCTGGCCAACATGGTGAAACCCCGTCTCTACTAAAAATACAAAAATTAGCCAGGTATGGTGGTGTATGCCTGTAATCCCAGCTACTCGGGAGGCTGAGACTGGAGAATTGCTTGAACCCGGGAAGCAGAAGTTGCAGTGAGCGGAAATCGCACCACTGCACTCCAGCCTGGGTGACAGAGTGAGACTCCGTCTCAAAAAAAAAAAAAAAAGAAAAAAGAAAAAAGAAAGGACTGTTTCACTGCTTTGTGCATTCTGCCAAATGTTTATGGTGTCAGTTACCTTGATGAAAGCAGTTTTAGGGACACGGTGGGTAGTTGAGGGTCTTCACCAAAATGAAGTGGTAGATGAGTGAATGTGAGGTGACAGAGTATAGCTCGTGCATAGAGAGAGTTCTTTCGAGATGTTTGATAATGAAGGGGGAGTAAACAAATGAGGAAGGCCGGGCACAGTGGCTCACACCTGTAATCTCAGCACTCTGGGAGGCCGAGGCGGGAGGATCACTTGAGGTCAGGAGTTCAAGACCAGCCTGGCCAATATGGTGAAACCCCACCTCAACTAAAAATACAAAAATTAGCCGGGTGTGGTGGCGGGTGCCTGTAGTCCCACCTACTCGGGAGGCTGAGGCAGGAGAATCGCTTGAACCTGGGAGGCAGAGGTTGCACTGAGCCAAGACTGTGCCACTGCACTCCAGCCTGGGCAACAGAGCGAAACTCTGTCTCAACAACAACAAAAAAGAAATGAGGAGATAGCAGGAAGATGTATTAAGAAAAGCTACAGTTTTTATGATTGCCTTTTACTTTAAAAATATTTAATTTTTAGAATAGTTTCTAAATGAAAGTAGAAGTCATACAAGGAAAAGTTTTCCTCTTCTTTCCCATTAACTCTTTTTTACTCCCTTCTCCCAGCCCCAGCATATAGCCACTGCTGTGTGTTTCTGGTATACATCCAAAAAAATTTTATGTAAATACCAGCAAATGTGATTATATATTCTAGATTTTCCCCTTCTTATCCCTAGGGATAGCCTACTGTATATATTTTTATTGTCTTATTTTTTTTTCTCTGAATAATATGACCTGGAGATCTTTCTGCATTGGAACTTAGAGGTTATTCATTTGTTTATAGGAATATTTGTTCTGAAGGTACTAAAATATTTGTAACCAGTCATTTTTTACGATTACAAATAATACCTGTATGTTTGCAGTAGGCTAACTTCTTAAAAGGTGAACTGCTAGGTCTGAGAATATGCACCTGCCATTTCAGTAGATACTGTCATATTACCTCCTTAAGTGGCGATCTGGTATCTATGCCCACCAGCAAAGCATGAAGAGTACTGTTTTCTCACAGTTACATCAGTATAGTGTGCTATCAAACTTTTGGATTTTTGACAGTCTAGTAAGTGAAAAATAGTATTTTTTTTAAAAAGTGCAGTTTTAGTTTTCATTTGTTAAGAATGAAGTTGAACATCTCTTTGTATGTTCAAGAACCATATGTGTTTCATTTTTTCATGAACTCTCAGTTCATATTTGTTGCCCGTTTTTTTCTATTAGCTTTGGTCTTTTAAGTTTTTGAGTTTTGTATGTTAGGCCTAAGGGCCTGACAGCTCACTGTGGCTGTAACATTGCTTGTAAGATGGGCCTGGTGAGCAGTAGTTTTGGATTGGGGCATGGTGGCTGGATCGTGAAGGGCCCTGGAAAGTCCATTTGGTGTTTATATAGGCTCTTGGTTTATAAAACTTTTTTTGACTTACAGAAATAGTATCTTATTAGAGATTCTTTTTTTTTTTTTTTGAGACGGAGTCTCACTCTGTCTCCAGGCTGGAGTGCAGTGGCGCGATCTCAGCTCACTGCAACCTCCAACTCCCTGGTTCAAGCGATTCTCCTCCCAAGTATCTGGGATTACAAACGCGCGCCACCATAAGTATCTGGGATTACAAACACGCGCCACCATGCCCAGCTAATTTTTGTATTTTTAGTAGAGACGGGGTTTCACCATGTTGGTCATGATGGTCTCGATCTCTTGACATCATGATCCGCCTGCCTCGGCCTCCTAAAGTGCTAGGATTATAGGCATGAACCACCGCGCCCGGCCTAGGGATTCTCTAGATGCAGTAACTTCTGAAATAATTATATGTCAAAATCAATAGAGCAATTTAATTTGGAATGAGGATGGGGAATATTAATAATGTTCTTTTCTACATGGTAAGTACAACGTCTGTCTTGTACCTGATTTGACTATGACCAGGCCTACTTAGCTATGGGGTAATAGCCATAATTAATTTTCAATAGTTACTGGTAGAGCTTTGCCAGCTATTATTTTTCATTTAAAAGAAAAAATCGTCTTTCATATAATGAACAGACTTCAAGTTGACCCTTGGTTTCCTCATCTTATTTCTATGAAGCACTCAGGGGGACTATTTTAAGAGAACAAACTCATTATATAAGTAATCTCCGAGAATAACTGCTTCTTCCTAGTAGCTTCTATTTCCTTTAGTCAGAGACTCACTCTACAGACACCACCACCATACAAAGGGCCAGTTCATACTCTTGAGAGTTTCAGAATGGGAGCATAGGTACTCTTTGTCAGTGTCTTCCTATCATTTCTCCTCTACTCTTTCCTCCTTTTCCCCCCTTTTTCTGCTCGTTCTCCCAGCGCTCCAACCCTAGCTGGCTTAAAGGAAAATACTTTATCATGAATCACTTTTATTCTTTTTAGAAAACAGATTTTGAAAACATGGTTACTCCATGCTGAGCATTGTGTAAGTCCAAATAAAGAAAAATAAATGAAATGTAAAGAAAAAAATTAATCTATTGACCAGAATTTTTATTTTGTTTTCTTTTTGTTTTTTGAGTTGGAGTCTCGCTCTGCTGCTCAGGCTGGAGTGCCGTGGTGCGATCTCGGCTCACTGCAACCTCCGCCTCCCATGTTCAAGTGATTCTTCTGCCTCAGCCTCCCGAGTAGCTGGGATTACAGGCATGTGCCACCACGCCCAACTAATTTTTGTATTTTTAGTAGAGATGGGGTTTCACCATGTTGGTGAAGCTGGTCTTGAACTCCTGACCTCGTGATCCGCCCGCCTTGGCCTCCCAGAGTGCTGGGATTACAGGCGCGAGCCACCGCGCCGACCATTTTCATTGGTTTTAAGAAGTTATTTTTCAAGTTGTACCTTAAGGGTGCTTTCGAATTCTCTTATTAAAGCATACTCTATTCTCAGTTTTTAGTAGGCAGTCAATGATTTGTGTTACGTAAATAAACCCTCTGGGTATGGGTAAACGTACTGCACACTTAAAATGTTTGGACTTGACTTGTCTTCCAGAGTTCTGTGGTAAAGAAACTCTCAAAACATGCTTTTTGGGTTCAAGACAATCAAACTGTTTTCTCTCTTTGTTTTGTTCTTACTGAATTTTTATTTGTATCAACCTCCATACCCTCCTTACTTAAATCCATGAATAGACTCCTTTTATTGTTTTGTGTTGTTTCTTGGGTTGATTTTCAAATGGAACTGTTGTGTAAGATAAAGGTTTGTTCTCCTGAATAGTGTTGATGTGAACCGTGCTGTCTCTTCTATAATGCCACCATTATGCAGAAGCCTGCAGGGGGAAGGGCAGATTCGTAGTTGTGAGAGTCTGCCTGTGCTTTAGGGTAATAATCCTGCATTCATTATTAATCTCCCTTTGCTTCCATGTCTCCTGCTCATTACCAAAGGCCAAGACATGACATGTTCAAGATCTTAGAAATTTTGAAAATAGCAGAACGGCTGCTTTTGAAGCCCGATTGTTAGTCTTAGAAATGACAACTGTAAGGCCATGTAATATTACTTATTTTAGTTTTTAGATATTGTCTACATTGTTTTTTGATCAATAGGCAAAGAGCCACTAATGAGCCATTATAATTTCCTTAAATTCACAGTCTCTGGAGTCAGTTTGTCTGGGTTTGTAATCCCTGCCAACCCTCTCACCGTGTGATTCTAGGCAAGTTACTTTTCTTTTCTAGACCTTAGGTTCCTCCTCTATAAAATTGGAATAAAAATGAAGGTCAACGTGGGAGGATTACATGAAAAAATGAATGTGACAGGCCAAGTTTATTGCTGGATATATAATAGGTACTCAATAATGTTAGCTATTATCGTTATTACTAATCAGATTTTTATTACCCTGGATTTAAAAATAATTTTTCTGTATATAAAGAAATAGTTTGGAAAGTAAAGTGTTTCAATTACAACAATAGTTTATTTCTTTTGTTGGTGACTATTATTTTCTTGGTTCGGTGAGTCCAAAAGCTTTTAGCAGGCAAGGGAAAAGTCCCTTGGAAAATGTATATCAGGTCACTGTTTTTCTGATGGATCACAGCAGGAAAATAGTTTATGTTCTCACCTTAAAATAAAAGGAAGCTATTGATTCCAAGCTGTATGGAAAGGGAAACTTAAAAACATTTAAAAAGCGTTGATAAGTTTTTTAAGGGAAAAAAGGGCAATGCATGCTTTTAACAATTCAAACAGTACAGATAGATATAAATTAAATATTCATGTGTCCCTTCTCAGGATTAAGCATTAAAAAATTATAAAAGTAGTATCCATGCAAGTTTAAAAAAAAAGAGAAAGAATATAAAAGATGCACATGAATACAATATTGGAGCCCACTGAACCTTTATCTTGCCTTCAAGGGCAAACCAGTTTTTCATGTATACTTCTATCCATTTTCTTTGCTTAGAACAGAATTTCCCTTTTTTCTTTTTCCTTTGTAAAACACAAAGTAGATACTAGACATATTCTTCTACACCTTGCTTTGTTTCTTCTGATAATATCACAGAGATTGTTACAAATTGGCACGTAGAGATTTATGTTGCTTTCTAAACAGGCATGATATTTCAGCTGCAGTCCCGTAATTTATTTAACCAGTGTCGTTATAGTGGATATGTTGGCTTTTTATGTTTTTTGCCTTGTCAATAATCTTCAATGAGAATTACTTATTTATATATGTTTGTGTGTGTGCGTGCGTGTGTGTACACATGTGTATGGGTATGTGATGTAAGTATCCTACAAGCACATGTAGGAGAAATTCTGACGTGCATATATATTTGCTAGTTTTTTCTACTTTGCCTTCCAAAGAGTTTCATCAGCGTAGCCTGCCATCAGCAGAGGGAGAGGTTGCCAGTTTTCCCATTCTTTTGCTTGCACTGGATAGTATCGCACTTAATATTTTCTATTTTGATACGAGAATATAGGATCTCATTTTGTTTTGCATTTTAAAATTATGCGAGATCAATGTATATCAGGATAAATTCCTAATAGATCCGAGATATAAATGCAAAACCATATGTGTATTAGAAGAAAACATGGGTGAATTACTTAGTAATTTGGGAATAGAGGAAGTGTTCTAATAATGACTCAAAACCCATCAGCAATAACAGAAAAGAGTGACACATTTGCTATTTTAGAAATAAAAAAGTATGAAGAAACGATAAAAAAGTAAAATGACAAACTGGAAAAAATGTTGTGACTTCTATCATAGATATAGATAGGGTTGATATCCTATGTGGCGTATGTGTATGAGTAAATTAAAATTTGAGATGAAAATAACTATTAGCCTGATAGAAAAATGGGCAAAAAATAGGTACAGATGAAAAGATGAAAAACAGAAAAAAAAAAAAAAAACACTGCGAGGGGCCCTTATGCGTGAAAAGGTGCCCAGCTCACTCATAATAAGAAAAATGCATGTTACACCCTCACTGTTGTTTTTCACCAGATTGGCGGAAGTCCAAAGTTTTCATAGCAGACTCCAGGGTCAAGGCTGCAGGTAAAGGGCACTCACAGGCCCTGCTCATGGGAGTGCAAAGTGGCACACCTTTGTGGAGAAGAATTTTACAGTATGTAATGGAATTTCATGAGAATTTATCCTCTGACCCCACATTCCCACCTTTTTGGACTCGATTCCAAAAGTAATCTGGGAAACATAAAAATGACATGTGTACATTGCTACTCATTGCAGTACTGTTTGTAATAAAGAAAGACTGTATGCCACTGCCCTCCAGCCTGGGCGACACAGTGAGACTTTGTCTCAAACAACAACAACAACAACAACAACAACAACAACAACAACAACAACAGACTGTAAATAATAAGATATTGAAATCTAGATTCCATCTGTCTAGCCTGAAGTTTGCAGCTCTCCAAAATAGATCTGATATCCCAACTTTGGCATTGGCAATATTTAGCTTATGTGCAGATGGTTTTCAGCTGCATATCAGAGGTTACGAGCACTCTAAGGGGTTCTAACGCTCAAATCTCGAAGTAGGTGGAGTTCTTTCTTGGGCACTCTCTAAGTTGGTGCCTTCTTCCTACCTTTCCCTTCCCTGGTCCACTCTTGTCCATCTGCCTGGCCCTTCTTTCCTTCAGTGCCCTTCTCTAATATTGCTTCTCCTTTTAAGGCACTGGAGGACCTGGCATGAATGTTCTAAGGCAAGATCAGAAGGTGTTAACCTCTTAGCAGGTATTTGCTCTGATGACCAGATCATCTAAAAGTGGCAGTGTGTTTGTATATTTATTTTATTATTTATTCCACCTCCACTTATCCAAATTAATGTATGAAATTGGGATGTATCTTAAAATTGATAAGAACTTGCATTTAACTTCTACCCCTCTGGAAGAGTTTTTGCAGAGTTGATGGTGTTTCTCGTAGTTGATGGCATCTTAGAAGCCCAACAATGTGTGCATAAGGGGGTAAGCCATGTGGAATCACCATTATTTATTGGCAAATAGCCATAGACAGTTTTCCTTCTCACTTTTCATTTTTAGTGAGTTTGTTTTCTGTGTTATTTCATAAATAAGGCCTCTGCTGGGTGATTGTGGGTTGGCTCAGAGCTAGCAAATACTCTAAATTGAGAAAGGAAAAGTTTAGGGTATTATCTTTTTGTTAACAATATTAACATTTATACAGATATCTGTCTTGAATTCTTAGCATTTGACATAATTAATTATTCCCTCTTTTTTTCCCTTCTTTTTTTGAGACAGAATCTTGCTGTGTAGCCCAGGCTGGAGTGCAGTGGTGCAATCACAGTTCACTGCAACCTCTGCCTCCTGGGATCAAGCGAATTTCCTGTCTCAGCCTCCTGAGTAGCTGGGACTATAGGCATGCGCCACCATGCCTGGCTAATTTTTGTATTTTTACAAAATACAAAGAGACAGGATTTTGCCACGTTGGTCAGGCTGGTCTTGAACTCCTGACCTCAAGTAATTTGCCCGCCTCTGCCTCCTGCAGTGCTGGAATTACAGGCACAAGCCACCGTGTCTGGCCTGCTTTTTTTTTTTTTTTAATTTATTTTTAATTTTTTAAAATCAGATAGGCTCTTTAAGACTGTAAACTCCCTGAGGGTAGAGATTCTATTCACAGCCGTATCCCCAGTACCCAGAGTACAGCCTGGCACGTAGTGAATCCTGATTGCCTATTGTTTGTTGATTGACTGATTTATGCCTCTAAGAGGAACTATCTTTTGATAATATTAAATAAGATGTCCTAATACAAAACTGATAGAGTTCAGAAATAATTAAGAATCTCCTGGCCAGGCGTGGTGGCTCACGCCTTTAATCCCAGCACTTTGGAAGGCTGAGGTGGGCGGATCACGAGATCAGGAGATTGAGACCATCCTGGCTAACATGGTGAAACCCTGTCTCTACTAAAAATACAAAAAAAAATTAGCCGGGTGTGATGGCGGGTGCCTGTAGTCCCAGCTACTCAGGAGGCTGAGGCAGGAGAATGGCGTGAACCCGGGAGGCAGAGCTTGCAGTGAGCCGAGATCTCTAGCCTGGGCAACAGAGCGAGACTCCGTCTCAAAACAAAAACAAAAACAAAAACACAACAAAAAAAAGAATCTCCTATGTTCAGCGGGAAAGGAATATTTGTTGGGTGGGGGGGTTCCTAAAAGATTATGTAATTTTTTGGCATTTTGACATATTCACAGAATTCCTATTGATTGAGGTTACTGCATCAAGTATAGTACAGTCATGTGTTGCTTAAGCACAGGAATTTGTTCTGAGAAATGTGTCAGGCTATTTTGTTATCATGCGAACATCATCAAGTGTACCCACACAAACCTAGATTGTACAGCCTATGACATATCTAGGCCATTATATGGTATAGCCTATTGCTCCCAGGCTACACACCTGTACAGCATATTGCCGTATTGAATACCGTAGGCACTGCAGAGCATCTAAACTAGAAAAGGTACAGTAAAAATATGGTATGAAAAATTTAAAATGGTGCACCTGTCTAAGACACTTACTATGAATGGAGCTTGCAGGACTGGAAGTTGCTCTGGGTGAGTCAGTGAGTGGGTGGTGAGTGAATGTGAAGGCCTGGGACATACCCTGCACCCTACTGTAGACTTTATAAACACTGTACACTTAGGCTACACTAAATTTATACAAAATATTTTTCTTTCATAATAATAAATTAACCTTAGCTTACTATAATATTTTTACTTTATGAACCTTTTAATTTTTGAAAACGTTTTCACACTCTTGTAATAACACTTAAAACACAAGTATATTGTACAGCTGAACAAAAATATTTCCTTATTGTTTAAGTGTTTAAAATTAAATTTTATTTACTTATGGCCAGGCGCAGTGGCTCACACCTGTAATGCTAGCAGTTTGGGAGGCCGAGGCAGGTAGATCACGAGGTCAAGAGATTGAGACCATCCTGGCCAACATGATGAAACCCCGTCTGTACTAAAAATACAAAAAGTTAGCCAGGTGTGGTGGCAGGTGCCTGTAGTCCCAGCTACTTGGGCGGCTGAGGCAGGAGAATCACTTGGGCCCGGGAGGCGGAGGTTGCAGTGAGCCGAGATTGCGCCACTGTACTCTAGCCTGGTGACAGAGTGAGACTCTGTCTCAAATAAATAAATAAATAAATAAATAAAAATAAATAAATAATTTTATTTTATTTATTTATTTTATTTTTAAAATTTTATTTATTTTTACTTTTTAAATGTGTTTGTTAAACGCTAAGACAGAAACATACACATGAGCCTAGGCCTACAAAGGGCAGGATCATCAATATTACTGTCTTCCAGCAACACATCTTGTCCCACTGGAAGATCTTCAGGGGCAATAACATGTATGCAGCTGTCATCTCCTATGTTAGCAATGCCTTACCTTCTTCTGGAATACCTGCCTCCTGGAGGACCTTTCTGAGGCTATTTCACGGTTAAATTTTTTTTTTTTTTTTTTTTTTTTGTGAGACAGAGTCTCACTCTGTCACCCAGGCTGGAGTGCAGTGGTGCAATCTCAGCTCACTGCAACCTCTGTCCCCCAGGTTCAAGCAATTCTTCTGCCTCAGCCTCCCGAGTAGCTGGGATTACAGGCGCCTGCTACTGCACCCGGCTAATTTTTGTATTTTTAGTAGAAATGGGGTTTCACTATCTTGGTCAGGCTGGTCTTGAACTGCTGACCTCGTGATCCAGCCACCTCGGCCTCCCAAAGTGCTGGGATTACAGGTGTGAGCCACTGCACCTGGCCAACTTTTTTCTTTCTTCTTCCTTTTTTTTTTTTTAAATAAGTAGAAGGAGTACATTAAAATAGTGATGAAAAGTATTCTATAGTAAATACTAAGTGATAGGAATTTTTAAGCTCCATTATACTCTTGTGTATCAACTGTCATATATGTGGTCCATCGTTGACTGAAATGTCATTATGCAACACATGTTTTCCCTTTATTTTGAAACCAATGTTGGCAAAATTCCAAAGTACAATAATTTGCATTATTTATTCATTGTCATACTTCTTGAGGGGTCCTATGGTAAGAGTTATCTAGTGACTTGAAAATGACTGGGTAGAAGAATGTGCCAGGATATAAAGCTGGCATCTGATACAGATAGTTCAGATGGATTAGGATTATCTGTCATTAGGATTATTTATTTATTTTGAGACAGAGTTTTGCTCTTGTTGCCCAGGCTGGAGTATGGTGGCACGATCTCGGCTTACTGCAACCTCCACCTCCTGAGTTCAAGCAATTCTTCTGCCTCAGCCTCCTGAGTAGCTGGGATTACAGGTGCCCGCCCCCACGCCCGGCTAATTTTTTGTATTATTAGTAGAGATGGGGTTTCATCATGTTGGCCAGGCTGGTCTCGAACTCCTAACCTCAGGTGATCCACCCGCCTCGGCCTCCCAAAGTGCCGGGATTACAGGCGTGAGCACCTGCACCCGGCCCTTATTTATTTGTTTTGAAATAAACTAACAATTGCTAGTTTTTTTTTATCATTAGCTAGCAGACATCTGTGACATTTTCTTGTCTGCATAATATGGTTCTCATAGTATTGCTTTGTCATTTGAAATTCAACATTCATTCAGCAAATATTTAAGGAGTATCTCCCATGTAGCAGGCCCTGTAATAAGTGCTGGGGATATAGTTACGAGTAAGGTGTGAGTCTCAGTCCTAAATCTTTGTTAAATACAACAGTGAAGCTTGTTTCTTGAAGCTCATTTCTAACGATCACTATGGCCTTCCAAGCTTTAGGAGATTGGAGAAGCGCCATATGCATGTGGTCCCACACATTGCCCCTCTGTCATCCTCCCCTCACCCTTTACCTACTTGCATATTGTTTAGTGTGCCGTGACAATTTGAATGTCTACTCTGTGCCCATCACTCTGTTGGGATTTGAACGTTCAAGGAGCAGCAGATAAAAATGTATTCAGTATCTCTTAAATAGTAGTAAAGACAGGCCAAAAAATGAATGATTTTCAGTGTACAAGAATTGTCTACACACAGTCTGTTATAGGAATTCAGAGAAGAAAGAGTACTAGGATCAGATTGATAGTAGAGGAATATCACTCAGGTGGCATTGGGAATAATTTGGAGGATACTAACAGGAGGTAGGTGAATAATCTTTTCTGAGTTGAGTAGGGAAGTGACATAATTGATTTATGTTTTATATAAGGCACTCTGGCTGCTGGGTGGCAAATTAGACTATGGTCTGGGGGTAGAGGAAATGAATGCAAGAAATGAGTCAGGTTAGCAAGGATCATAGTATTCAGCTGATAAATAGTGTAAGTAGTTTCCATGCCTTTCATTGTTTCAACATTTTTTTTTTTTAGCTGGGCATGGTGGTGGGCGCCTGTAATCCCAGCTACTCAGGAGGCTGAGGCAGGAGAATGTCGTGAACCCAGGAGACGGAGGTTGCAGTGAGCGGAGATCATGCCACTGCACTCCAGCCTGGGTGACAGAGCGAGACTCTGTCTCAAAAAAAAAAAAAATATTTTTTTTTGCCATGTTTATAATAAAATACTGGGGGAATTTTTTTTTTTTTTTTAGATGGAGTCTTGCTCCATCGCACAGGCTGGAATGCAGTGGCATAATGATCTCGGCTCACTGCAACCTCTGCCTCCCGGGTTCAAGCAATTCTCTGCCTCAGCCTCCTGAATAGCTGAGAGTACAGGCATGCCCGCCACCACACCCGGCTAATTTTTGTATTTTTAGTAGAGACCGGGTTTCACCATCTTGGCCCAACTGGTCTTGAACTACGGACCTCATGATCCACCCTCCACAGCCTCCCAAAGTGCTGGGATTACGGGAGTGAGCCACTGCGCCCGGTAGAATTTTTTGGCGTGTGTGCCAAGTTACCAGAAACTCTGATGTGCTTACCAGTCCTCCCACCTAGTGCTCTTATTTGAATCTTTCTTCCTAGGTGGAGAATCTACACATAGACATCTGTATGTTCTCTTAGTTCATGTCATTTGATCTTAGCTTCTGTTCTTATACAGATACTGTTGAAGGTGCTGCAGTTTTCAATTTTGGTTTTCCTTTCTTTATGGTAATCCTATTTTAATATATAAGATCCTTTCAGGCAACTGAAGTATGCAAGAGGCAGGTGGAATAGTAGCAACTTTAGGTATTAAAAATTCATATAATAAATATGATGGGTTTGGATTATTTGTTGCATTGCCAGTGAGTTTATTATAGTATATAACAATATTTAATCAAAATGGTGATAGGAATAAAAGGCCCACTTTGAGGTAAATCATTAATTTTTAAGGCAGACAAGTTAGGTTTTTAAGAATTTCTCAAGCTGAAGAATATTCAGTGTACACTCTGTGCCTGAAAAAGCTTAACACATAATCCACAAAGGTGAAATTGATTTGATACTCAGAGTTAAGATTAGGGCAAGTTTCACTTTAGTTTGTGGAAATTATTAGATAGTACTGTCAAGCATTGAAAGTAAAGGAAGAGAATGCTTATCATTACATTTTAAGTGAAAAGATATAGCATAGATTACACATTTTTATATTTATTGTTCACAAATATTTCCATGTTCTAGCAATTTTCTACTGTGTTGTAATTGCCTGTTCATTTTACTCCACTGTTTTTCTCTCCCCTACCGCAGCAATCCCAGTGCCACTGGATATTTTTGAATGATTAAGTGTGCTACTTACTTCTTTTTTGTGTTCATTTTTTTAATAGAAAATGCATCCGATGCAGATTTATGGCTCCTGAACAGTTGCACTGTAAAAAACCCAGCTGAAGACCACTTTAGAAACTCAATTAAGTAAGTAGAAATTGATTTTTTCCTATTTTGTATAATCAAAGTAAGAATTGATACCAAAAGATTAGCTTTTTAAAAATGTCAATATAGATATTTAGTTTATATTAAAAAAGTATGAGTTGGACTTTTAAGATTATACTATTTTGAATTTGTCTGATACAGAATGATGCTTTTTTTATTTTTTATTTTTAAATTAAATTTACTTTAAGTTCTGGGGTACATGTACAGGATGTGCAAGTTTGTTACATAGGCAAACATGTGCCATGATGGTTTGCTGCACCTATCAACCCATCACCTAGGTATTAAGCCCTATATGCATTAGCTATTTATCCTGATGCTCTCCCTTCCCCCACCCCCTAACAGGCCCAACTGTATGTTGTTCCCCTCCCTGTGTCCATGTGTTCTCATTGTTCAGCTCCCACTTGTAAGTGAGAACATGCAGTGTTTGTTTTTCTGTTCCTGTATTAGTTTGGTGCGGATGACGGCTTCCAGCTCCATCTGTGTGCTTGCAAAGGATGTGATCTCATTTCTTTTTATGGCTGCATAGTATTCCATGGTGTATATGCACCACAATTTCTTTAGTCTGTCATTGATGGGAATTTGGGTTGATTCCATGTCTTTGCTATTGTGAATAGTGCTGCAATGAACATATGTGTGCATGTATCTTTTTAATAGAATGATTTATGTTCCTTCGGGGATATACCCAGTAATGGCATTGCTGGATCAAATGGCCTTTCTGGTTCTAGGTCTTTGAGAAATCGCCACACTGTCTTCCACAATGGTTTAATTAATTTACATTCCCACCAACAGTGTAAAAGTGTTCCTATTTATCCACAGCCTCGCCAGCATCTGTTGTTTGTTGACTTTTAATAATCGCCATTCTGACTGGCGTGAAATGGTACCTCATTGTGGTTTTGGCTTGCATTTCTCTAATGATCAGAGATGTTGAACTTTTTTTCATATGTTTTTTTGCTGCATAAATGTCTTTTGAGAAGTGTCCATGTGCTTTGCCCACTTTTTAATGGGGTTGTTTGTTTTTTTTCCTATATATCTGTTTACATTCCTTATAGATTCTGGATATCAGACCTTTGTTATGTGGATAGATTGCAAAAATTTTCTCCCATTCTATAGGTTGTCTGTTCACTCTGATGATAGTTTCTTTTGCTATGCAGAAGCTCTTTAATTAGATTCCATTTGTCAATTTTTGCTTTTGTCGAAATTGCTTTTGATGTTTTCATCATGAAATCTTTGCCTGTGCCTATGTCCTGAATGGTATTGCCTAGGTTTTCTTCTTGGGTTTTTGAAGTTTTGGGCTTTACATTTAAGTCTTTAATCCATCTTGAGTTAATTTTTGTATAAGGTATAAGGAAGGGGTCCAGTTTCAGTTTTCTGCACAAGGCTAGCCAGTTTTCCCAGCACCATTTATCAAGTAGGGAATCCTCTCCCCATTGCTTGTTTTTGTCAGGTTTGTTGAAGATCAGATGGTTGTAGATGTGCGGTCTTATTTCTGAGTTCTCTATTCTGTTTCCTTGGTCTATGTATCTGTTTTTACACCAGTCCTATGAAGTTTTGGTTACTGTAGCCTTGTAGTATAGTTTGAAGTTGGGTAGCGCGATGCCCCTAGTTTTGTTCTTTTTTCTTAGGATTGTCTTGGCTATATGGGCTCTTTTTTGGTTTCATATGAATTTTAAAGTTTTTTTTTCTAATTCTATGAAGAATGTCAATGGTAGTTTAATGGGAATAGTATTGAATCTACAAATTACTTTGGGCAGTATGGCCATTTTCATGATATTGATTCTTCCTATCCATGAGCATGGAATGTTTTACCATTTGTTTGTTTCCTCTCTTATTTCCTTGGGCAGTGGTTTGTAGTTCTCCTCGAAGAGGTCCTTCACTTCCCTTGTTAGCTGTTTTCCTAGGTATTTTATTCTTTTTGTGGCAATTGTAAATGGGAGTTCATTCATGATTTGGCTCTCAGTTTGTCTATTGTTGCTGTATAGGAATGCTTGTGATTTTTGCACATTGATTTTATATCCTGAGAGTTTACTGAAGTTGCTTATTAGGTTAAGAAGTTTTTGGGCTGAGACGATGGGGTTTTCTAGGAATAGGATCATGTCATCTGCAAACAGAGACAGTTTGACTTCCTCTCTTTCTATTTGAATACGCTTTATTTTTTTCTCTTGCCTGATTGCCCTGGCCAGAACTTCCAATGCTGTGTTGAATAGGAGTGGTGAGAGAGGGCATCCTTGTCTTGTGCCCGTTTTCAAAGGGAATGCTTCCAGCTTTTGCTCATTCAGTATGATATGGGCTGTGGGTTTGTCATAAATGGCCCTTATTATTTTGAGGTCTGTTCCATCAATACTTAGTTTATTGAGAGTTTTTAACATGAAGGGATGTTGAATTTTATTGAAGACCTTTTCTGTATTGAGAAAATCATGTGGTTTTTGTCTTTAGTTCTGTTTATGTGATGAATTATGTTTATTGATTTACATATGTTGAACCAGCCTCGCATCCAGGGATGAAGCCCACTTGATCATGGTGGATAAGCTTTTTGATGTGCTGCTGGATTCGGTTTGCCCAGTATTTTATTGAGGATTTTTGCATTGATGTTCATCATGGATATTGACCTGAAGTTTTCTTTTTTTGTTGTATCTCTGCCAGGTTTTGGTATCAGGATGATGCTGGCCTCATAAAATGAGTTAGGAAGAAATCCCTTGTTTTCAGTTGTTTGGAGTAGTTTCAGGAGGATGGCTTTTTGAAGGGTTTTTTGTGTGTCTATCTCCTTAAGAGTAATACTTTAATGGGAACTTTTCTAATAAGTAATTTCAGTATTTGTGAAGTTAGCTAATAGGTGATTTTTGAGTATTTGTTAAGTGTTAACTATGTGTTCTTCTCGGAGAATCAATGCATACTTTGTGAAGTTGCCTGACACAGTCCTTGCCTCTTTTCCCTGCCCATTAGCACTGTTCTAAGTGCTGCAGTACCTGGCTTTCAACGGAATTGCACTTTGTTGAAGGGAGGTGGGCATATTAAGTCCTTGCTTCTTTCTTTGTTCCCTCAAGTTAACGTGGAAGAAGTATCCTTTTTTCACATTTTCTCTGAATCTTATCTCCATGGATCTTCTTAGAAACCTTCTTCTAGAAATTATTTCCTCATTCCATATTTCCAACCTCTCCAACTCCCCTGGAACCTTTTCATTGGTATTTAAACATACCTGGGTCTAATCGGCCCCCTGTGCCCCTGTTAGCTATTGTCCTACATTTTTTCTTGCCTTCCCAGCCAGACTTTTAAAAATTCTTCTCTTCTTAATTTCATTCTTATACTCATTCTTTTTCCCCTTTATTGGTTTTATTGTGAAATATATTAAACATACATTAGCGTTTATAAAACACATACAGTTTAAATAATAATAAACACTTAAACATCTGCCACCCAGTGTAAGAAGTATAACATTGTCAAGACCGTAGAAACTGCCGTGTTTTCAATCATAACTCCCAAGAAGTAACCTTTATCTTGACTTTTGTGAGTCATTTCCTTACTTTTATTAGTTAATGTATCATCTATTAAGTATGTCTTTAAACAGTGTGTTGTCTTGTTTAGCCGTATTTTGAACTTTATCTGTTGAACTTATACTGTTTGTGTTCTTCTGAGATTTACATCTTTTTCTCAGCATTACGCTTTGAGATTTATTCATGTTAATGGGTGTAAATTCATAGAATTTGCTACAATTTATTCATTTTATTATTAATAGAGTTTTGAATTTTTCCCAGTGTTTTGCTTTCATGGACATTCCTGCTATGACTATTTTAAACATGTTTTCCGGTGCACATGTGTAAGAATTATTCTAGAATATGAACCTGGGAGTTGAGTTACTGGGTAACATATCTGTGTACATTCAAACTTTATTAGGTAACGCCAATTTCTTTTCACGAATGGATGTAGTAGTGTGCATTCTCACCAGTAATGGATGTGTGCATTTGTTGTTTTCCATTTTTGTCAGCACTTGATATGGCCAGACTTAAGTTTTTGCAAGTCTGTTGGTGATGATGGTATTTCGTTTTGGTTTTAATTTACATTTCCTTTTTTTCTTTTCTTGAGACAGGCTCTCACCCTGTCGCCCAGGCTGAAGTGCAGTGGCAGGATCTCGGCTCACTGCAACCTCTGCCTCTCGTGTTCAAAGGATTCTCCTGCCTCAGCCTCCCGGGTACCTGGGATCACAGGCGGGCGCCACCACACCCGGCTAATTTTTTTTTTTTTTTGAGAGGGAGTCTCACTCTGTCACCAGCCTGGAGTGCAGTGGGGCAATCTTGTCTCGCTACAACCTCCAACTCCCGGGTTCAAGTGATTCTCCTGCCTCAGCCTCTCGAGTAGGTGGGATTACAGGCGTGCACCACCACACCCAGCTAATTTTTGTTTTTAGTAGAGATGGAGTTTCACCATGTTGGCCAGGATGATCTCAATCTCCTGACCTCGTGATCCGCCTGCCTCGGCCTCCCAAAGTGCTGGGATTACAGACGTGAGCCACTGCGCCTAGTCAATTTTTTATATTTTTAGTAGAGATGCGGTTTCACCGTGTTGGCCAGGCTGGTCTTGAACTTCTGACTTCAAGTGATCCACCCACCTTGGCCTCCCAAAGTGTTGGGATTACAGGCATGAGCCACCGCGCCTAGTCAGTTTTTTGTATTTTTAGTAGAGATGTGGTTTCACTGTGTTGGCCAGGCTGATCTCGAACTTCTGACCTCAAGTGATCCACCTGCCTCGGCCTCCCAAAGTACTGGGATTACAGGCGTGAGCCACTGTGCCCGGCCTTTGTTGCATTTCTGTGATCATTAATGAGTTTGGGCTTTTTAAAATAGATCTATTGGCTATTTGGATTTTACTTTTTTGGTAAAATGGCTTCTCAGGTCATTTGTCTATTTTTCTGGTTTTTTTTTTTCATTTTAATCATTTATTTGTGGCCATATATTATGTGTCTTACATATCCTAATCCTTAGATATTATACACGTTGCAAATATCTTCTCCCAATTGTGGCTTATCTTTTCATTTTCTTTTGTGGTATCTTTTGATGAAGATAAATTCTGGTTTAAAGTTTATTAATCCGTTCTTTTTGGTCTGTGTTCTTATTGTTTAAGAAGTCTTTTCTTACTCTGAAGCTATTAAGATATTTTCCTATATTTTCTTCTAAAAGTTTCATGGTTTTACCTTTTACATTTAGGTCTATAATTCATCTAGAGTTGACTGTTATTATTTTTTATTATGGTATCAGAAGGGGTCCAATTTTATGTCTTTCTCTGTAGATAACCAATTGTTTCAGTATCATTTATTTATTTAAGTTCTATTCTTTCTTCTTTTATCTGTGCATTGCCCACCCTCTCATATGTTGAGTGTCCATAGATGTTTGAATCTGTTCTGGGTCCTCTATTTCATTCCTTTGATCTATTTCTTTATTCTGGTTCTTGTTCTACATAGTCATAAGTAGTACAGAGTTACATTAAGGCTACCTATTTGATAGTGCTAGTACCTTTTTGTTCTTCTTTAAGAGTGTATCTGTTTTTAAGTTGAACAAGGAATACTGTTGTGTGTTTGTGATTACATTTAATTTTTAGATGATTTTGGGGAGAATTGAATCTTCACAATTTTGAGTTATCCAACTCTTCTATCCTGACTTTTTAAGGATTGATTCTTTTCTTTCTATAGCTCTTGTGCATCTTTTAGACTTTTTTCTCCCAATGTAGATATTGAATTATTCCAGTGCGTTAAGAAAATAAACTTATTCTTTCTTCTTTTGCCTGCACAGTATGTACTTTATATTTTTATACTACTTTAAATGGTAAACTTTAAAAATTTTTTGTTTTCTGTTTTTACTGCCTTGGTCAGGGACTTAGTTGTAGTAGCAATGTGAAGGATGGTTGTGTGTAAGGAAGAGTATAGATCAGGAGTCCAGTGAGGACAGAGTGGTTGTAGTCCAGGTACAGAGGATCTCATCTAAAGTGGAGGTGTTCAGAATTGGAAGGAATACATTGACTTGAGATGGAAGAATTCTTTACATCAGGGGTCTCCAACCCCTGGGCTGTAGACGTGTACTCGTCTGTGGCCTGTTAGGAACTGGCTGCACAGCAGGAAGTGAGTGGTAGGCGAGCAAGCATTACTGCCTGAGGTCTGCCTGCTATTAGATCAGCAGCAGCATTAGATTCTTACAGGAGCACACATCCTATTGTGAACTGTACATGTGAGGGATCTAGGTTGTGCGCTCCTTATAAGAATCTAAACTAATGCTTGGTGACCTGAGGTGGAACAGTTTCACCCCAACACCACACCTCCCACCCCCGGTCTGTGGAAAAATTATCTTCCATGAAGCCGGTTCTTGGTGCCAAAAATGTTGGGGGGACCGCTGCTTTACACATTCCACGTTGTCCAAGATGACTCTAAGGTCTCTGGCTAGAATGAAGTGAGGAATTCTAGGAAGGGAGTTATTAAGAGATGACATGTTTTGGTTTTGAATGTGCTGTATTTGAAGTTACAGATAAATATTTTAATAAGATAATGAATATACTTGAGCTTTATTGAGTGTCTTCTATGTGACGGGCAGTGTTCTAAGTGCTTTAGATGAATTAGATATTATCTAGCTTAATTCTTGCAGCCTATCAATGAGTTGTAGATTCCATTTGTATTCCTGTTTTATAGGTGAAGCAGCATCTGTTTTACAGATGAAGGTCTCTAAGGCTGCTGTTCAGTTCATAAATGGTAGAAGTGGGATTTTAACCGAGGCAGTCTGACTAGAGTCTGTGCATTTAACCATTTTATTACTGTGCTTCCTAGATAAAGATGTCAAGTAAGTGGTTGCAGAATTGAGGCAGATATCAAAGAGGTCAACACTAGAAACACAAATTTAATATTGTTTGCATAGAGTTGATAGTTGAATGTGATGTCATCCTTAATTCAAAATGGTGGAAGGAACAGAGGAGTTCTTACCGGAGCGATGGCAAGAGGCAAGGGAAGGGAGGATGGAAGAGGGGAGTTAGGGTCAAGTTTAGGAGCAGAAGAAGGACGAATTAAACTAAGGCAGAGAATGGTATTCACCAGATGCTGTCCGTTTTCAGAGAATGCTTTTTTTTTTTAATGAGAAGCCTGTGATTGTCTCAAATTATGTATTTTTCTCTGTAGAAAGGTAAACAAGATACAAAGATACTTTACTGCTACTGATACCCCCTATGTACTGAACCTAGAGAATATAGTTTCTGTGATTATCAACTTTATAATGTAATTAATGGACATAGTTCTAGAGTATTTCTAAAAGTTTAAAAACTCAAATATAACTTGTGTCAATGGGTTTTGTTATATATGTGTTATTAATATGGTTCAAAGTAATGAAATGCTGTTTGAATGATTAAGTAGAAATGGCAAGAAAAGTTTGCCATTTAAACACTACAAAGCTAGTGGTAGCAAGCACAGGTTCCTTTAATGTACTATTCTGCTTGATTGAAAGAAAATTTAAAAAGATATTATATATGATTAAGTATTTTTAATGGCCTTGAAGACTTTTGATCATCACAACTAATTCTTATTAAGATAACACTTAAACTAACATTTGATTTCTTTCCAGAATAAATACAATCCTGTAAAAGGTACAATAACAGTTAACATTGGGAAAATATCAGATTGAGGTGACATTTATACATATAAAATCTTTCAGTGATGGATTACTCTTGTCAAGCATTTTGCTTTATTCAGATATTTTTCCAGTTGTCACCATTGCCTAACACAAAACAGCAAAGATGAGTAGTGTAACATTGTTAAATGTTAAGTCGTGCTACACATGTGCCTTTTCTCATCCTCCAGCACCATCCTTTCCCTTTGCTGTCCTCTCTTGCATGCGTTTTGGTTTTCCATGAGAGTGAGGTAAAGCTTAGATTCAAAGAGAGCCTGATAAGATGTTGCTTCTCCTTCTGTTGCACCCAATCCTTTATACCCAAATGTAAAGATTTACAGCAGTGGGGTGGGACCTGTCTTTTTCTAACCTGGACTCTTTACCCATGATTGCTTCACTTTGCTACTTATTCCTGTGTGTCATCATCTCTCGATCATCTGCTTTTGTTTTCCTTCCAGTACTTCTTGGTGTTAAATAGTTGTTTTAAATTATGCATCACATCATTTTGTTTCTCTTGAGCCACCACACAAAAGATCACCTTGTTTTGACAGGAATAAAGAAAGATGACTCTAAGGGATTTACTGTCTTTCATGTGATTAATACAGTCTCAATGATTAAGATCCAGAAATTGTGCATTTGTGACATGACAGTTATGGACTGAATTATTTTGTCGTTTGTTTTGGGGCTTAATACTTTTTTCAAGGTTTTACAGTGTTTGTATTATTGATATTCAGACTGATAAAAGAGTAAGAATTTTAAGTAGCAAAAATAGAGATAAGAGTGACTTTTTGGTTGCCTTTTCACCTTAGAAATCTGAAATGTTATTGCCCTTACTAATTTAGAAAGAATCGCTAGGAAGCCCCCTGTGTTATGATGGCAGCCTGCTGGATGCATACTAGTTCCTCTTGAGCATTTGTCAGTTGCCCTGGCTTTGTTTTATCCATTAGACCATTTTGATTTAGACAATATGGCCTTTAACTTGGGGGGGTTCTTGAGTAAATAAAAAAGATCAAAAGTTTCAAAAAATAAAATTTGCTCTTAATGATAGTATCAAATCAAAAAACTCCTTTGGTTAATGCTTTATAGAAGTGTGGGATCTTTTCCATGCCACCTACAGGAGGTCATTCAGAGGCTGGTGAAAATAAACACATCTTGTGTGTCCTATATAAATGACAGAAAGAATAGCCAGCTTGCTTTGATCATGGACTGTCAACCTCTATTTGACCTTGTGCATTATTAACCCAAATGGGCACTGTGGTTTAGCCATACTGATAGTGGATAGACAGGAGTCACTTGTTTTTAACTGCCTTTGCCTGTAGAAATAAATGGTAATGTCGAAGGGATGGCTTAGGTATCTGAATGTAATTACTTGAAACGACAATTGAAAATAAAGGCAGAACTGGATAAAGACAAAAAATGTGTGTTTGAGACAGAGGATATCTGCTTTGTATAACATCTTTTCACTATAGGAAAGCACCTTCCATGCTATTCTGTTGAGCAAAACATAAATTATTGGATTGTTATTCCTATTATGAAAATATTGTTTATGTAGATTTATTTTTGAGTTCTTTTTCTTCATAAATTGAAGTTGGGGGAGGTACCAGAATATTATTTCAACTTGAACTTGTAAAGTAAATTGCTTTCAAAAAAGCTGACTTCATAAGAATAGAGAAGTGGTTACCTTTTCAGTTAGTAATTATCCAGTTTAAAAGAATTAAAAAAAACCCTTTCCAGTTCTCTTGTTAACCACATTCACTAGTAATTTTCTTTTTTAACTAAACTTCTAAAAGTTACTTTTATTTACTTTTTGAGACCGGGTCTCGTTCTGTTGCTCAGGCCGGAGTGCAGTAGCACGATCACGGCTTACTGTAGCCTCATCCTCCTGGGCCAAAGCAATTCTACCATCTCAGCCTCATGAGTAGCTGGGACTACAGGCATACACCACCACACCCAGCCAATCTGTTATTATTATTATTATTTTTTTTTAGTAGAGAGGGGGTCTTGCTATGTTGTTCAGGCTGGTCTTGAACTCCTGACCTCAATCAAGTGATCCTCCTGCCTTGGCCTCCCAAAGTGTTGGGGATTACAGGCATGAGCCACCTTGCCTGACTTCCAAAATTAATTTTTAATTAAAAAAATTTTGTCATTAGAAGGTAAAAAATCACAGGGTTTTGATTTGGCCTTTTGTGAGAAATAAGTTAGATGATGCAAGTTATTTGAGTTATACTTTAAATAATACTATAGTTTGTTGATTTTTTGTTAAACTTAGATATTTTAATTTTAACTCTTCTAATTATATGAAATGGCTATAGTTTAGTATCAGTTTCATCTTTTTGTTTAAAATGTTAGTGGCAGATTCAGTGAATCATTGTGTGCTTTTACCAGTCACAATCTCCTTTTTTCAGCTATCCTTGCCCACCAAAAAGTATCCTTTTACATGGAAAGTTAGTTCAAAATATTAGACTGAATTAATTAGTATTATTGGTTGGGTATTGTCTAATAAGATTGTCTCCCAACAGTGCTATGCTTAATATGAATTTACATTTTCCTATCATTTGTCATCTCCTTCCACTGTTTGGATATTGTCTGTATGCTGATTTCTCCCAAATCTTCGTCTTTGATCTGTATATCTCCTTACAGGCTCCAGCCTTGTATATCCCACTGCTTCCTTGACTTCGCCATTTGGATGACCTTGACCATGGACACCTCAAATCATCATGTCAGGGCCTCCTCCTTATCTACCTCACCTTTTCTCTAGCTAGCATTTCCATTAGTATTGCCCATCTTCTTTGATTGTGGTCATCAGGAAATTGCATTATCATTTCTTAGTGTAACAAGGGTTTTTAAAAAAAATTTGTTCAATGCCTCTCTCTCCTACCTCTTTTCTTGCCACTGGGCTATAGAATTTTACTTCCTCCCTGACATTAGAAAGTTTCCCAAGCACATAATGTATTTGCATATGTTCTTCCCTTCCTTGGACTGTCTTCTCTCTTTCCTCCAAATGCATGCCCTCACCTCCACCCACCCCACATTAATCCCACCTGGCTAAATAGTTGATCTCTGGAACTCATGTCAGAGATAACACCTGTGGGGTCATCGCCCTTCTAAGCTTCACCTCACCTCTTAGCTCCAAGGTCTGTTCCATGCTAGTTCTTTATCCCATATTAACAATTAACATCTGTTGTTGTGTAGTATATTCTATTATTTGTTTACATATTTGGCTTGCTACTAGATTGTGAGTTTTGAGGTTAGGATACTGACCTCAGAAAAATTCTTTTTATGAAGCCTTTGACGCTCTGACTCTACTGTGTAATGATTTTCCTTGTCCTGGGAAACAGATATCATTAATAGACAAAGACCATTTGTCAACGGTTGTAAGAATGTTCTCCCAAGGTTGTAGTGAGTCCCTTGACAGATACAGGCTGTGTATTTGTAGAAAGGGAAAAGGACATTCTAACTTCCTAATTTCTAACTTCTAATATTGTATTCCTGAGGGAAGTTGTAAAAGGAGTATCTCCCTTCTTGGAGTAGTCACCTGGTCATGCTGGCAGGATCTTGTGCTCCTCACTATCCTAAATGAGCTCCGGGCCAGCTTCAGGGCTGTGGCCATTAGATTAGTTAAAGCATCATGTCTTGAGTGAGAGAGTAGGAAAGGTGGATAAAAACCTGGTTAGTGTTTGGCCTTGAGTTTGGCACACAATTATAATTACTCAATACATGTTTGTATAATTAGGTTGAACTGGTTTTTCCTCTTTTTGGGAAAAGGGTTTAGTATCGTTATGCTGTCATTGCATCAAGTCATCGTTAATATATTTATGTTAAGTACATTGTAAGTTGTATAAGTAATATAATTGCATTAATATCAGAACACTTGTCTTACATTTGAGTTTCAAATTGTCCAGATTTGAGAGTGAGCAAAATACACCAGATATACCACCAAAATTGAAAAAAAAATCAACTGCTTGCTGTTGGGGAAGAAGTAGTAATGTTGGAAAGGTTGACTTGATAGAGGATTTTGTAAGATGAGTGAAAAAGATCTAAAAGGACAGTGATGTCTCTGTTATTGACTGAGGTATCCTTGGTCTCTAGAATAGTGCCTGATGAACAGCATTGAGTTACTTATTCACTGAATTGAATTGAAAGATTTGATGAAGGCCAAATTTCTCTAAATACATTCTTGTTTATGGATTAGGTCTTATTATCTATCATATGTGAATGAATTCATTTTATTCATCTTATGTCACAGTTTTGTTTAGTCTATTTTCTGTTGTTGCGAGGATTTTGTAATTTTTTCCTCATGAGTTTGTTTGGAGTTGATAATGGTATTTGAGGAGCAAGTTTTCTAGAAACATAGATGAAGAGTTTTTTGTAAAGTAGGGGGTGAGAGTTATGTATGTTCAGAGCAGCTTCTGACCATTTCCTATTGGAGGCTTCAAGTTGTCTTCTAACTCTGGAAAAACATGGAGATGAGTGAGAGGAAAGACAGAATATTATCATGTGATGTATGCCAGTGAGCAGTTTTATTGGAAATACAAAAGAAAGTCTATTTTAGTGTTTAATTCCTGGTTTACATAAAAAAAAACCAAATGAAACTGTAAACTTACAGTTAAAAGATTAGTAAGTTAATTTGCAAATCAGCAACAGAAAAAGCAGTTCAGAGGTGGTAGGCCATTTTAAAATGCAAAACTGAGTTTTGTAGATATCCAAAATCTTTTTGAAGACTAGTATTTTGCATATTTTATGATTAATGTTACATCAACAGTTGCTTTGTTTTTGCCATTTTAAGCAAGAGAGTGAGTGAAAGAGGGCAGTGTATTATGTGCTGGCAACAGCTGGCTGATAGCATTGAAATACTTACATAATTAAATATATGTGTTGGCTGTTGTCCTAACAACTCTGTAGGTGGAGGCTCCAGAAAGCATGCAGAAACTTGCTTTAGCAGGATTAAAGAAAAAATCAACATGATCTAAGTCTGTTCTTTCAGCCAAGAGTGATTTCCTATTGTTTTGGTTTGAAAGACATTCTACTTATTCTTGGTGTGTGTGTTTATATAACAGCAGAGAAAAAAAGGCTCTTGTTTTTTTCTTCCCTTATTGTTTGCTCTAAGAGTGACAAACATAATCTTTCATAATTTTTAGTCAGTAGTATTGTTTAATAACTGATAATAAGTGAAATAAAAAAGACTTTTTAAACCCATAGGACATGTTACCAAAGTATTAAATATTAACCCTTTTTATTTCTTACTTATGGTTACACTTAGGTGTCGTTCTCTGGGCCACATTAATGAAGTTATTTAGATTGTAGGCTATATTAAGGCATAGATTGCTATGATCCTGGGAAATTGGATAGGAGTGGCAGGTAATATGCAACTTACTTTTACCTAACAGCTGTGGATCTAAATCTTACTCAAAGTGCCCTATGTTTACATATTTTACTGTTTTTGTAGCTCTAAGGCTGAGGCTGGTCCCTACTGTACCTTTGATGAAAGGATGGCACTTTTGTGGGTGTTAGAGTGCATAGACACAGTGCAGCACCACTGTGTGTGGCTGCCCCATATTAATACCTGTCATTTCTTTATCTGTCTGCACCCATTTTCAGAGTTCCTTAGGGGCAGCCACTATATCTTTTATCTGTATCCCAGCATCTTATACAGTGATTGACAGTGATAGTTGAACAAATGAATGAACCAACTCATATGTATGTTTCCTTTGCATGTTTATCTTTCCCATCCCTTCCACCTTCTGTGTCTGTCAGATCAAATGTCTTCCACTGGATTTTCATAGAACTTTTTCTGTGTCTCTTTCTTATTAGATTTTAAGAGTTTGAACTTGAGGTTATCTGCATGTCATAGAAAACCTAAAAAGTAGAGGCTTACATGACTTAGGGGATTTATTTTTCGTACATATTGCAAAGTCCACAGTTAGGAAATTGCTGGCTTTGCTTTACCAGTTTAAGGGTGTGAGGATTGAAGTCGGTTGTTTTAAAGGTCTTTCCCTTTTGGTGTCAAATGGTTATTGCTCTCTGGCCATCACATGCACTTTCCCCCACAAAAAAGATGGAAGTACCAAACTGGATGTGCCGGCTGAGTCTGTCCCTTCTTTAAAGGAGCTTTATAGGAAGTCCCGCTCAAAACCCGTGCTTGCATCTCATTGTGTGGAGTCATATCACAGGACTACCTCTATTTGTAAGAGAGGCTGGGAAATGTAGTGTTTTTTTTTCTTTTGTTTTTATACTGCACACATTGTTGCTCCCAACAGAATTGGGATTCTGTTAGTAAGGGAGATGGGGCTAATGTTTATTGGCTTGATATCTCTGCTATAGGGTATAAACTTTGGGACAAGATACACATTTTATTTATCTTTCTATCATTTATCAGGTCCATTGTATTGGAGGAGGTCCTCAACATACTTGTGAACAAATGATCCTCTTTTCTCCTCTTATCTTTATTCAGAACATTTAAGAAATGACATAGTTGACATGTAAGAACTTTTCCTCTTTTTGCTTACTCTGAGTGGTCTCTGATGAAGGAATAACAGAATACATAGGAGAAGTTCATGGCTTAGTTGTTGGACACACGTATTTTTTAAAAAATGGGACTTACATATATTTTCTGCTCTTAAGACCTGCAATGACCATATTTGAAATGGAATCTATAAGGAAAATATGTTTTTCATTGTTCTGAGATTCATTTCTGTGATATAATAATCATAAGCCTGATTTAAAACCTAGATATTTTAAAATAATTTAGACATAAAACAAAAGTGGAGTTTATGATGATTATCATGGAGGGTCTTAACCAATTGGAAAACAGGTTGAAGGACAGTTAAACTCATTTTATAATTAAGCGTTTAGAAAATAATATTTTGTTTAATTCTAAAAAAATTTAGGTACAGCTGAAAAATACCACCTCTCACTAAGATGGAAATTTAATGTTTTAGATTTCACTTGAAAAAAAAATGGAGAATTTGATATAACCAGTGAAAATCTAACCAATGGGAAGAGTCTTACAAAACTTGCTGGAGATTTTTTATAGGTTGGCGCCATTGGATATTATCAGAGGGATATTAACGCTATCAAATTCTCATTCCAGGATACAACCTACACATTCTGCAGCAGTGTCTTTTTTGTGTTTCTGTACACAGAAACTGTCGAGAACTACCCAGATATAATTAGGTTCTCCTGACCCATTCTTTACTGTTTCTTTGTGTGCATGTGTGCTCGCACGCTCAATGTAGATGCATTAAGAAAGAAACTGACAGAATCACATGATAGAAAGTGTTTTGGGAAAAATACAAATTAAAATGGATGTCAAGGATCTCTTTAACAATATGTTTTAGAAGTCAACAGCTCATCCTTTGTGCCAACCAACAATTTGCTTTCCAGCTCATAAATTTCGTTTCCATTACAAGAGGAATCAGATAAGCAAGTTTATGGCAAAACTAAAAAGTTTAATTTGGTGCTTTCCTTAAGTACCTGTCAGTATTTTATGATAGTTACTGAAGGAAAAGACTTGTTTTACCTCAAATGAGAAAATGGTTTGAGTCAACATATTTTGTAGTATTTCAGTCATCCATGGTTGAAACATTGATTAACTCTTTTGATGCTTTTACCATTTTAATTTGATAACAAAGGATTTGATGTCATTGATCAAGTAAATTTTTTAAAAGGTAATTTTTAAAAATAGGGAATAGAACTGGAGTGTATTCATTGAGCAAATTCTAAGAAACTTTAAAAAATTCTCTTCTATCTAGGCTGCAAGCTTTTTCTTACTTGTCATTTCAGATACTTGTATATCGAGAAATTTGCAATATACCAACTTGGTAATCGGTAATGGGTGGCTTGAGGGGTATACAGCATAATTAGAACTTAAAACTCAGAGTAATCCAGGGCAGATGGTGGCCTGAGTATGTATTTTCGATCCCCTCATTGTCACACTGCCTAAATAACTTTGAACAACCGTGGGAGCCTTTGTACCTGGTGTTAGAGGGGAGCACATATGCAGCTGAGACTCTGGGTCTTGGGCAGAAGTTGTGCTGTATAGATGGGGTTGGGGGAGTGATCTTATCTGTATTCCTTGTGGTGATGGAGAGAAGAGTCCAGGACCTAGAATCTGGAGAGTCTTAGCTCTCCCATAGACCTGGGGCAGTGTCTTGAAAACTTATCAGACCCAGTAATCCTCTTATATAAAAAGTGTTTTGCAACGTACCCTTTATTATACTGAAGTGAAAATCTTGAATAATATAATCTATGCACACACATAATTAACAAATCAATTAGCACAGTGCTCTGAATGTGATTAATATAAGGAAAAAAAGAAAAAATTGTTAATGCAATACGTATTTCAAAATACAAATGCTTAGGCACAAATATACTAGAAGACCTAATCAAATGGCCTGTATACAGAATTACAGTGACAGTGAGAGTAATGAATGCAGTCTGATATGTGTGTAGCCTTAACAGCTTAAATGCCAAGAATAGCATTGGTGATCTAGTGATGCACCTTTCCAGAATGGATGATGACTCTTGCTAAAGTTCTTAATGACACAAAGTATGTTCTTCCTTCCATTTTCACAGAGGTTGGATTCCTGAAACTGTACAAGAAATACTTAAAATAAGTCCTCACTTAATGTCAATGATAAGTTCTTGGAAACTATAATTGAAACGATGTATAGAGAGATGAGTTTTTTTTTTTCTAAGCAATGTTATAAAGAAACTGTCGAATGAAACAATTTTATTCCAGGAGCTACTATATGTAAAATGGAGATAGGTTCTAAGGAGATATTATAAATATATTTTTTACGTATATGCATGTTAAGTGGGGCTTTCAGAACTCATGCAGGTCGTGTGGAATTCTCTGTACAGCATAGATCTGTGTAGCGGAAGACATCTAGCACCTCTGACTTCGGCCTGCTTAATGGCAGTTGCACCCCCCCAATTAGTATTATATCCAAAAAGATTTGGATTTAACCACTTACTGATTAAAATTTCTATATGGCCTGAAGCACACAAAACAAGATAAAAGAAAAACAGGAGAATA